>NC_000003.12:68494848-68797878 GCF_000001405.40 Homo sapiens | reverse complement strand
ACGGATCCATCCATGGAGTGCTCTTCATTTTACAAAGCTGAAACTCTGTACCCATTAAATAATAACTGAGGGTGATGGTATTCGTCACCCTCAGCCTCTGACAACCACCGTTCTACTTTCTGTCTTTATGAATTTGACTACTCTAGGTACCTCGTATGGTATTTTTCTTTTTGTGACCAGCTTATTTCACTTAGATAATATCCTCATGTTCTTCCATGTTGTAGCATGTGTCAGAACTGCCTTCCTTTTTTTTTTTTTTTTTTTTTGAGATGGAGTCTCACTCTGTTGCCCAGGCTGGAGTGTAGTGGCATGATCTCAGCTCACTGCAACCTCTGTCTCCCAGGTTCAAGTGATTCTCCTGCCTCAGCCTCCCAAGTAGCTGGTCCTACAGGTGTGTGCCACCATGCCCGGCTAATTTTTTGTATTTTTAGTTGAGACAGGGTTTCAACGTGTTAGCCAGGATGGTCTCGTTCTCCTGACCTCGTGATCCACCCACCTCAGCCTCCCAAAGTGCTGGGATTACAGGTGTGAGCCACCACACCTGGCCCTGTCTTCCTTTTTAAGCCTGAATGACATTCCAGTGTATGTACATACCACATTTTGTTTATTCATTCATTGGTTGATGGGCATTTGGGTTGCTTCTGTCTTTTGGCTATTGCAATAATATCACTATGAATACGGCTGTACAAATATCTGTTCAGGTCCTTGACTTCAATTCTTTTGGATATATATCCAGAAGTGGGATTACCAGATCATGTGGTAATTCTGTTTTTACTTTTTTAAGGAAATGCCGTATTGTTTTCTACAGTAGTTGTACCATTTTACATTTCTGCCAGCAGTGCACAAAGGTTCTGTTTTCTCCACATCCTCAACAACACTTGCTATTTTCTATTTTATTTATTTACTTTTTTTTGATAGTAGTCATTGTAATGAAAGGGAGCAGGTTTTTGTTTGTGGTATTGCCTTGCATTTCCCTTGTGATTAGTGATGTTGAGCATCTTTTCATATGCTTGTTGGCCACTTGTATATATTTGGAGAAATGTCTATTCTAGTCCTTTGGCCATTTTTAAATTGGGGTGTTTGATTCCTTGTCTTTGAGTTATAGGGATTCTTTATATATTCTGGATATTAACCTCTTATCAGAGACATGATTTGCAAATACTTCCTCTCAAACTGTGGGTTGCTTTTTCAAGCTGTTAGTTATGTCTTTTGATGCATGGAAATTTTAAACTTTGATGTAGTTCAATTTATTTTTTCTTTTGTTGCTTACGCTTTTGGTCATATCTAAGAAATCACTGCCAAATCTAATGTCATGAAGCTTTTCCCTGTTTCTTCTAAGAGTTTATAGTTTTAGGTCTTACATTTAGGTTTTTGATCCATTTAGAGTTACATATATAGATTTTAAAAATAGTGAGTAGCAACCCTGCCACATTCTTTTGGAATGTATAATTCCAGTATATTTATAGTTGCACTGTGTCTTTTTGGTTCCTAAGGCCAAAGGATTTCTTTTGTCCTTTAAAAGTGGAGAGATATTGTCTATATTAGAATTATATATACTGTAGTAGTGTATAATTTCTTTAAATCTGAACCTTATAATCAGGTGTTTGTTATTCTACAGTTTGTCACTAATTTTTCATTTATTGCTTTATTTCCTAATCATTGTTATATATGCCCACTGCAACCAGCAAGTGGTTTATTTAGGGCCTATAGAACTTGCCCTGAGTTTTTAGCAACCCAGTGCAGTCCAGTGGTGATGGCCACAGGGGTGCTTGTGTCACCCCACCCCTAGCTCCAAGCAGCTCAGCACAGAGAGAGACTCCGTTTATTTGGGAGAAAGTAAGGGAAGAAAACAATAGTCTCTGCTTGGTAATCCAGAGAATTCTTCCAGCTCTTCTCCAAGACCACCAACGTGGTACTTTACAAGTGTGCAAGAATCACGGTGTTACTGGGCTTGGGGTGCCCCATAATGCAGATATGGCTTAGATCACAACACCCACATCTGTTTGAATACCTGGAATGTCTTCCCAAAAGAGGACAGGTACAAACAAACTCAGACAGCAAAGACTACATTAAATAACTAACCCTTCAATGCTCAGACACCAACGAACATCCGCAAGCACCAACACCATCCAGGAAAACATGGCCTCACCAAATGGGCTTGAGCTTCAAACAGTAGCTCGAGGATTCAGTTTTTCTTTATCTTTTGCCTCTACTTTCCTCTGGATTTTGTATTTATTTTTGGGTTCCATGTGGTGGCAAGATGATGACAGTAGCTCAAGCATTACATCCTTGTAAATTTTGGTTTAGCAGGATAGAGCAATGAACTCTAGTCAATACGGCAGAACACCCTGAGTTAGCCCTAACTGGGGTCTTGCTTGGGTAAGCTTGAGTCAATAACTCGTGACTAAATCAGTGGTTGTGGCTAGGGGTAAATGCAAGGCGTTGGCCATCTTAGGTTGGGGTCATATGATCTGTAGCTGAAGCTGGAAGGTAGGGCCTCATGTAAACCAGAAGATTGAGAATGGGGGAAGGGTGTTTTATTAAAGGGAAATTGGATGTGTTACTAGCATTGAGGGTAATGGATACTGAATGGCCCCAAACTAACAATTGTCAAAGCTGTCTCCATCTAGAATGCGTTGTACCCTCTCTGTTATCAGTATCTGAATCTCTTTAAGACCTAGCTAAGATCTTCACCTCTTTGAGTCTTTCCTGCTGAACTCCCAGCACAAAATAATCTCTAATTTATCTGAATAACTATGGAATCTGTCCTTTATTTTACAAGCATATAAAGTATTATTTATCTCTCAGACCCTGTGTGCTGAGGACAAAAAGACTGTGTGTCTGTGTGTGTGTGTGTGTGTGTGTGTGTGTGTGTGTATTGAGACACAAATCTGATTCAAAAACAGGCTTAGTTTAGGCTTTCTAACACTTGGTAGGATATGTTTTTTCATCTATATCTACTCTTGGTTCTGCAACAGCTGTATTTTTTTTTTCTGTTTGTCTTTTTGTTGGGAGCAATTCCTATGACTTATCTCTCTGCATTAGTGGTATTAATAGGATGGCTATTAAAAATAATAAAGGGAATCAGAATTGTTGGATCATATTAAATAATGGTGCTGCATCATGCTTTCTGAGGTATGGAGTGTATATATTTTACCCCACCAAAATGATCGACAGAGATGTCTTCTTGGCTTATTGGGCTGCAGGCAGGGATGCCAACTGTGACATCTGCAGGTAGGCATAGCCGTTCACTAGTGAGATCACTACACAGTGTGGAATTTTGAAAGCAATATGATGAAAAGAGGGAGTCACAGAAAATAGAAACGATATGAAAGTGCTAAGGAGAGGGGAGAGCTGAGCAGCTGTGAATGGTGCGGGGGAGGAGAGAAAGTCATCTGAAGGCTAGAGCTGTCCCTGTTGTTTATATTTATTTGAAAGTAAGGGACTTTAAAGCCGGGTGTTAGATTACTTTGTAATAATGCAGCATGTATTTAACATGAGTGAAATACAATGATCTTTATTTACCCTGTGGCTTTTTAAATTATGACAGGAGAAATGAAAACAGCCAGAGTAGAAAACAAACCTCCCCATGTTAATGATTAGTTCTTCAGGAAGGATAAGTAGAGGGGAAAAAAGTGACACAAATTAATTGGAGTAGTCTTTCCTTAGCTTGGGTTCATGGACAGTGACTCCTTAAAACATGAATTCCATGTTCTCATCAATGGCAAAATAAATTCTCATGTATCTACCAAAGCTTGGCAAAAAGATATTAGAATTTTCAAGAATATCCTTTTATTCTAAAGAGAGGAGTTTGAAAAAAATCAGGGTTTATACAGGTCAGGATCCTCAAAGCTCCTCAGGGAATAGAAGATGTTTATGTCCCATTGATTCTGACAACCTGTCCACTTTTAAATGAGTCATCAGGGATGTGTTGTACGTGGAACAGCTTCAAAATTCCAGTGTCTTGACACATTTTTTGATTACACCATTAAACACAGTAAGGTTACATCTTGAGTTATTATATAGACCGGCAGGTAAAGGGATGGCATTTTCTGAATTGCACTTTATCTCTATGTAATTCCTCTTTCTGCACCTACATTTGATTCATTGTTACAGGGTGAATTAAACTTGCATGCATGAAGCAGTTTTTAAAGTCCGTAACTCAAGCACAGCAATAAAAATGGCAGCTCCTTTTTAAAAAACCAGCTCAAAGTTTCACTCATTCCTTTCACAAAAGATCATAATTTTTACTCTTCATGAAGTTCAGTTAACTGTTACAGGAGAGAGCATTGATTCATACTAAGTGTTTTTAATGCTCTGTTGCTCAAATATAAGCTCAAAGTTAAAATGCCATTTTTGCAATTTAGCTTTCTGACTAATTATTGCATAAGCGGCAATTGGATTTCCAAATTGGGCTGCCTAGCTATGAACCACCAAATAGGATTGCTTATCTGAAGCAGTTTGCTGCAAAACCAAACCCTGAAATGAATTACAAGCAAACAATTAGAATGGAGGGTGTTTTCAATAGAGCAATAGCCGTCTGAGTGCAGTTATTGTCCATATATTCTTTTAATTTTTCAGTCTGCTTGGTGGAATTTAAAAACAATATTCCATTCTCCTTTTCTATTTAGTAAATGTTGGGCTCATGCCAGTGAACCATCTTCTTTTTTTCTGAATGGAATTAGACAATCTCACTCAAAGATCCATCTCCCAGGGTACATTTGGATAAATCAGTTTCTATGTCCCTGAAATCAGAGAGTGATTAACTGCCTATATTTGCCTGCCAAAATTGAGATGCTTTGCGAACTCAAGAATAATAAAAGCAGAAATATAGGAAAAATGTAATCCTGCCATTAAGAGACAACATAACTCCTTGATCTCATGGAAGCAGTAGCACAGCTGTATAAGGATCATGAAGAGAATAAGAAGGCTTTTTACCTTTGTGTAGATGGCCTCAGTTTAATAGAAATATGAAAGTATCAAACTCATTTTAGTGCTTGAGATTTTGCTTGAATTTAAGATGAAAGGTCTGAGTTTCATTAGGAATGGAAGCAAAGTTGTTTCTATCTTCAGAATGTATTTTGTTCATAAGTGGCATTCTTTTAATCTAGTTAATTTGAAAAGATCTTAGATGAAAATTATTGCTGCATGAACAATAATTACAAAATTACATGTGCAACCGCAGACCAATTTGGGAACACAGAAGATTTTTGTCAATGAACAGCAGGGCAAGAGATAGAATAAATCAATCTGTTCTGAAACTTTGAGAGCTTTGAGGGGTTTATCTTTGGAGTATGTGTGTGTCATATTTTGTATCTGAAATAGAGAAAGAATACTATCCTAATGTTAGAAAAATTTCTTCTTTTTTTGTCTACTGTGGAGGTTTGCAAACTGTGCGGCATGCTAAGATACTGGGGAAGCTTTTAAAAATCAGAACACCTAGGTCATATCCCAGACTATGAAATCATAGTATGTCCCTCCAAGTTTGAGACATCACCTCTCTCTCTTCCAAAAATTTTCATTGACTCATTGAGGGAGAACATGATTGTCAATGGGTGAGTCTATATGTATAATCATAGCTAATTTTCTCAACCAAAAAATAGAAATAAGATTAATAATTGATGATTTCCCTCCACTAATGATGAAAGGACTTTTTAGTCTGCTAACTTCTTATTCTTGATAAGTAATACTTAATAATATGGTATTAGTTCAGCCTTTCATTTTGCGAATGAGTGAAATGAGCTTGCAAAGATGGGTTTTGATGGCATGTTTCTAAGAACAATTAGATTGTTTAATAATTTGAGAAAAACTAGAAAACTAATGAAATCCATTAGTAGGCCATTACATATTGAAAGTCCTCTGAATTTTCTGACAGTCTCAGAGTTTTTTTTTAGAATCTAAATCTCTGCCTTAGGGTACAGGAGTATGCCTGAGAGCAGGGATTATAAACTGGTGGCCTGTGGGCCAGGTTTGGCCCACTGTGCTGTGTTTTAGATTCTGGAAATACCACATCAAGGTTCTAATTTCTAGTTTCTAACAAAAGTTTCACATATCTAGAGCTGAAAAGCTGCTGCTCCTCTGGGACAGGGCTCCCTTTTGCTTCTGTGTCCTACTAGGTAACATAGCTGCCTTTCTTATTTACCTTGTAGTCTTTGAAGTTTGAGATCTCTGCTTCATGACAAGAGAGTGAGGCACAGTATGGTTTATTTCTTGGGCTTCCTGACAGAAACAAAGTCATTTATTTTCTTATTTTCTTTGTCTTTAAGTGATGATACGTTATAAAGAGAAATATAGTCCTCTGCTGCATTAGCTTCCTAAGGATGCCATAACAAAGTGCTACAGCTGGGTGGCTTAAGACAATAAACGTTTATTCTCTCACAGTTCTGGAGACTAGAAGTCTAAAATCAGGGTGTTGGCAGGGCTATGCTCCCTCAGAATCCTTTAGAGGAGGATCCTTTTTGCGTCTTCCAGCATTTGGTAGCCCCAGGCATTCCTTGGCTTGAGTTGGAGCACTTCAATCTCGGCCTCCATTGTCATACTCTCTCTGCCTCTGTCTTCACATGACATTTTCCTCTTCTTACAAGGACACCAGCATGTTAGATTAGACTTCATCTTAACTTGATTACACATGGAAAGGTCTTATTTCCAAACAAGGTCACATTTACAGGGATTAGGACTTAAACATATCTTCTGATGGGACACAATTCAACTTCTAATACTTGTGTTGTGCAGAGAGCATGGACAGTGTGACTAGTGCCCCAGGGCCATGTGTGGTCAGATACTTAAGTTGGTTCCCTTTTGTGGACCAGGTGGCTTGAGATCAGTCCATAGGAGAAAGATGACTCTATCTTCCATGACTTTGTTTTAGTTCTTTACCATGTTTCTTCCTTTTGGTCACATGTGCTTATAAGAGTTTGCATCCATCCACGTTTGCCTTATCCTTCCACTGACCTACTACACACATTGGGGGTTGCCATAAATACTTTGAAAGGAAATAAGTATGTTGAGGAAGTGGGCCAGAGAGCAAAAATGGCCAAAGTAGGGTTCCTGAGACTTGCTTCCTTCCTTCATTAGTGCTAAGGGTGGTACAAAAGGTAGGAGAGGTCCTTTCACCCCTCACTGCTCCTGTGTTCTCCCCAGTTGGCACATTTTCCTTTGTTACTATGCCATTGTACCACTTTGTTCCCTGGTTGGGATGCCTCTGCACAAATGTCAGATTTGAGGTCATTTGCAGTAGTCATTTAGGGGATTCTCATATCCATATGAATATGATGCTGACCTTCTACCTGAGAACTTACTGTATAACATGACTCATTTGAGTATACTCAGCATGGTCCTTTTTCCCCATTTATTTTGTTAAATTATGAGTATTCTCACTTTATCTAATCTGATAATCTCTCTTTTAATTTGTATGCATAGATCATTTACATTTAATGTAATTATTGAAATATTTTGACTTAGGTTTACCATTTTATTGTTTTCTGTTTGTCACCTTTGCCTTTTGCTTCTTTGTTCCCATTTCCTGCTTTCTTTTATTTGAATAATTTTTAGTATTTCATTTCAATTTATTTATTGACTTTTTTATGCTTCTTTTTTTTTCTTTTTTAGTGATTGCTCTAGGGCTTAAAATGTACATATCTGATCTTTCAAAGTCTGCATTAGAGTTAATATTTTGACACTTAGCAAAACGTAGAAGCCTCACAAGCATATACATCTCTTTATCCTCCTCCCTTTATATGATAATTATATATATTACATCTACATACATTGAAAACTCTATTCGAAAATGTTATAATTTTTGCTTTCAACAGTTATACATATTTTTAAGAACTTGAGGCGAAAAATAGACTATATTTACCCAGATATTAACAATTTTTGTTGTTCTTCCTTCATTGATTTTCTTCCTCCAAGTTTCCCACTGATGTGGTTTCCCTTCAGCCTGAAGAATATCCTTTAGCATTTCTTGTAGGGCAAGTCTATTGCCAGTGAATTATATCCTCATTTTAGAGGTGAGAGGTTACCACGGTTTTATTGATGTGTGTGGGTATGTGTTAAATGTGTGCATTTCTTTTGTTTTCTGATGAGAAACAAAGTTAATTCATCCGATGGATATTTTTACAGTGGCTACTGCGTGTCAGGCACTAGTTGAAACTAATTACATGGCAGTGAACGAATCAGAAAATTTTTTTTGCCCTCTTGAGCATCATGTGTAGGGGGATAGACAGTAAATAAGCAAATAAAGCATAACATGTCATGAATTCTATGGGGAAAAATAAAGCTGGGGTCAGAGATGTGCTCCCCCAGCTTTATTAAGGCACAATTGACAAATAAAAATTACATATATTTAAGGTGTCTAATGTGATATTTTGATATACATATACATTGTGAAATGATTACCGCAGTTGAGCTAATTAACATATCTATCACCTCACATTGTTACCTGTGTGTGTATGTGTGTGGTAAGAATATTTAAGATCTACTCTCTTAGCAAACTTTGTCATTAAAACAGTATGATACAGGCATAAAAAGAAGTGCATAGGCCAGCAGACTAGAAAGCCCAGAAATAAACCCTGGAATATATGGTCAACTAGTGCTTGACAAAAATCAACTCAACTCCAAATGGATTAAAGATTTTTTTTTTTTTTTTTGAGACGGAGTCTCACTCTGTCGCCCAGGCTGGAGTGCAGTGGCGCGATCCCAGCTCACTGTAAGCTCTGCCTCCCAGGTTCACACCATTCTCCTGCCTCAGCCCCCCTAGTAGCTGGGACTAGGCACCTGCCACCATGCCTGGCTAATTTTTTGTATTTTTAGTAGAGACGGGGTCTCACCATGTTAGCCAGGATGGCCTTGGTCTCCTGACCTCGTGATCCACCCACCTCAGCCTCCCAAAGTGCTGGGATTACAGGCGTGAGCCACCACACCAGGCCCAAATGGATTAAAGATTTAAACATGGCTGGGTGTGATGGCTCCCACCTATATATAATCCCAGAGCCTTGGAAGGCCAGGGTAGGAGGATAGCTTGAGCCCAGGAGTTCAAGACCAGCTGAGTGACATAGTGAGATCCTGTCTCTACAAAAATAAAATAAAATAAAATAAAAATTTAGCCAGGTATGGTGGCGTGTGCCTGTAGTCCCAGCTACTTGGGAAGCTGAACTAGGAACATGGCTTGAGCCCAGGAGTTGGAGGCTGCAGTGATCTATGATGATGCCACTGCACTCCAGCTTGGGTGATGAAGTGAGACCCTGTCTCTTAAAAAAAAAATATGTAAACACAACGCCTAAAACTATAAAACTCCTAGAGGAAAACATAGGTGAAAAGCTCAATGATGTTGGTCTTGTCAATGATTTTTTGGCTATGACACCAAAACACTGGCAACAAAAGCAAAAAGTAAATGAGTGGAAACTGCATCAAACTAAAAGTTTCTGCACAGCAAAGACTTGTGCTTTTAAATAGCATAGTCAGAAATGACCTCTCCGAAAAAGGAAATGTTGGAGTAAAGATTCAAAGAAGATGAAGGAGCCAGCCCGATGATATCTGGGGTAAGAATGTTCCAAGTGAGGGGACAGTGAGGGCAGCTGTCCTGAGGCAGAGGTGATTGGCATGTTTGAGGAGCAGCAGTAGTGTGGCCAGGGTAGTGAGGGAGAAGGTGGTAAGGAATACAGTCAGATGATTGAGGCTGGAGCTATAGAGATACTGCCATGAAAATGAGGTGAGAAAGTGCAGCCACGTGTTACACACCACTGTGCAAGATTTATGTAGAGAAAGCTCTATTTTATTTTTAAATGTGTACTCTTCTGGGGCTATAATGGATCAAAACCCTCAAATACCTAAAGGAACTAGTCTTACCTCTTACAGAAATATGCAAATGCACAGCCAGCATTGCAATCTTCCAATTTTGCCGGACACACTGGAGAGAGATGATTGAGTTACATCTCTTGATTTTTAAGTACTAACAACTAAAACATTTTCAGAGCCTTGACCCAAATGAAACACCTGTGGGTTGGAATCGGGTTACAAGTTGCTAGTTTTGAGTGCTCGTCTAGAAGCTTTATTACACAACATGCAGCTCCAATCCATCATTCTTTAAGGAAAATAATGGTTTGTGCATAGATTGCTTTAAATTTGATTTGTATTCATTATGCCTTCTTTTGTTTAATTTGATGCAGTCAGGGACTGTACCATAGCGAATGACTAGGATAAAATAATTTTATTTGCAAGTGTTGCTGCTTGTGGTGTAGATCAGATGTGACCTAGTGAGATGAGCCAAGGGGCTCTGATGTGTAAGTGGCTCAAGGACGAGTCCCGTGATGCCGATGGACGTTCGCCCTCTTCCCTTCTTTCTTCTTTACAATGGCAGACTTTGGACATTCATCTGACTTTATTGCCTGAGAGGCTTATTATATTTAGCACAGCTTTCTCCACAGCCTGGTGATATAATTATGATTGTTATCTTCTCCTTATCTCCCCTCTCTTTCCCCTTTATGAGATGAAAACCTCTGGTATAAATATGTGACAGTGAGGGCATGTGCTTTTTCTTCTTCTCAGCCTAATGGATGAACAGCTGGGAGTTAATGAGCTTTTAATAGTGAGTGTAGGGGGTTAGTTTGTTGCAATTTCAGTCTCCGCTGAATACTCTTAGGTCTGGTTGTTTTTCTGTTTCCCCTTAACATTAGCTTTATTGATACCTGCAAACACCTGCTTAAAATTCACTCAGCATGGAGGGGACATATTTCTCTTTGGATCACCTTGGCCTCAACTGACTCTTCTTTAATTATGAGGCTCCTGTGGAACTTCATGTGAGGTTTTATATCTTCATTTTTAAGGACCTAAAAATGTTATATAGGATTACATTTTTATTTAGCACAGAAATAACTTTCTGCATGAGCTTTGTATATTTTTTCCTGACTCTTTTTATTTTTTCTCCTCTGTCCTTAAAGGCAAAACAAGACAAAAACCTTCTTCCACAAATACATTTTGTAGCAATGTTCTTAGCCTTTATTTCACATTTATCCTTCCCCAGTAAATTAAAATTTTCTCAGACCTACCCATTGTAAATCCTGAGTCATAAAATGATTTCCTGTAGCTGAAAAAATAATCATGATTAGCAATAATACCTAACTTATATGCAGTTTGTGGATCACCCATATAAAGCTTACAAATCACTTTCGTGCATCTGTATTTTCTCATTTGGTATTCACAATTACCTTCTGAGATGAGCTAGATAATTATTACCATTTTACAAAGTAGAAAACCAAGATACAGTACATTATTAAGACTAAGTGATTATAAAAGCTAATACTTATATGTGGTAAGATTTCAAACAGTAGAAAGTGTATATAAACATTTAGCTATTAGAGGTAACCATAGCTAACTCTTTCCTTCTTTGAAGGGGTGGAGTCTCACTATGTTGCCCAGTCTGGAATGCAGTGGCTGTTCTGCAGTGTTTACTCATAGGTGTGATTGTAGCACACTGCAGCCTCAAACTCTTGGGCTCACCTGATCCTCCCATCTCAGCCTCCTGGGTAGCTGGTACTGTAAGCACATGCCACCTCACCTGGCCTCATAGTTAACTATTTTCTTGTGTTTCCTCCAGTAATTTTCTTTTTTTAAAATTTAATTTTAAGTTCCAGGATACATGTGCAGGATGTGCAGGTTTGTTATATAGATAAACGTGTGCCCTGGTGTCCTCCAGTACTTTTCTAAACTTATATCTACTTTTTTAAAAAAACACAAAGTAGAGAATGCTCTCCATGTCATCCAGCAATTTGCTTTATTAATTTAATTCTAGATATCAAGCCATATAGATCACCTTCCTGCATTGTGGGGACTTAACGTAGTTTATTTAACCAGTCCCCTATTGATGGACATATGGGTTGTTGCCAGTTGTTGGTATTGTGAAAGAGTACTGAACGGCCTTGTACATGATCATTGTGTATGTTTGCAAATACATCTGTAGAACAAATGTCTAGAAGTAGAATTGCTAAGTTAAAGAGGGTGTGCATTTAACATTTAGATGCCTCTTAAGAAAAGTGCCCTAGTGAGAGGTTACAGCGTGCTGGCAGTCCTCACAGCCCTCGCTCACTCTCGCTCACTCTCGGCACCTCCTCTGCCTGGGCTCCCACTTTGGTGGCACTTGAGGAGCCCTTCAGCCTGCCGCTGCACTGTGGGAGTCCCTTTCTGGACTGGCCAAGGCCGGAGCCGTCTCCCTCAGCTTGCTGGGAGGTATGGAGGGAGAGGTGCGGACGGGAACCGGGGCTGCACGCGGTGCTTGTGGGCTAGCGCGAGTTCCAGGTGGGTGTGGGCTTGGTGGGCCCCGCATTAGGAGCGGCCGGCCGGCCCTGGGCAGTGAGGGGCTTAGCACCTGGGCCAGCAGCTGCTGTGCTCCATTTCTCGCCGGGCCTTAGCTGCCTTCCCGCGCGGGGCAGGGCTTGGGACCCGCAGCCCGCCATGCCTGAGCCTTCCCCTGCTCCTCTGTGGGCTCCTGTGCAGCCTGAGCCTCCCCGACGAGAGCGCAGCCCCCTGCTCCAGGCGCCCAGTCCCATCGACCACCCAAGGGCTGAGGAGTGTGGGCGCATGGTGCGGGACTGGCAGGCAGCTCCACCTGCAGCCCCAGTGCGAGATCCACTGGGTGAAGCCAGCTGGGCTCCTGACTGGTGAGGACTTGGAGAACCTTTATGTCTAGCTAGGGGATTGTAAATACATCAATCGGCACTCTGTATCTAGCTCAATGTTTATAAACACACCAATCAGCACCCTGTGTCTAGCTCAGGGTTTGTGAATGCACCAATCGACACTTTGTAGCTATTCTGGTGGGGACTTGGAGAACCTTTATGTCTAGGTCAGGGACTGTAAATACACCAATCGGCACTCTGTATCTAGCTCAAGGTTTGTAAACACACCAATCAGCACCTTGTGTCTAGCTCAGGGTTTGTGAATGCACCAATCGACACTCTGTATCTAGCTACTCTGGTGGGGACTTGGAGAACCTTTGGGACCAAACTCTGTATCTAGCTAATCTGGTGGGGACGTGGAGAACCTTTGTGTCTAGCTCAGGGGTTGTAAACGCACCAATCAGCGCCCTGTCAAAACAGAACCACTGGGCTCTACCAATCAGCAGGATGTGGGTGGGGCCAGATAAGAGAATAAAAACAGGCTGCCTGAGCCAGTAGTGGCAACCCACTCGGGTCCCCTTCCACCCTGTGGAAACTTTGTTCTTTTGCTCTTTGCAATAAATCTTGCTGCTGCTCACTCTTTGGGTCCACACTGCCTTTATGAGCTGTAACACTCACCGCAAAGGTCTGCAGCTTCACTCCTGAAGCCAGCGAGACCACAAACCCACTGGGAGGAACGAAGAACTCCAGAGGCACCGCCTTAAGAGCTGTAACACTCACCTCAAAGGTCTGCAGCTTCACTCCTGAGCCAGCTTTACCCCTGAGCCAGCGAGACCGTGAACCCACCAGAAGGAAGAAACTCCAAACACATCCAAACATCAGAAGGAACAAACTCCAGATGTGCCACCTTAAGAGCTGTAACACTCACCGTGAGGGTCTGCAGCTTCATTCTTGAAGTCAGTGAGACCAAGAACCCACCAATTCCGGACACACTAGTATTTTATTGCAATATTTTCACAATATAGCCATTTACATCAAAAGTTGTGCCTTCCCCTCATAATCTCTCTTAACACTTTGAATCATAAAGCTTTTCAAAATTGCTAGTCAGAATTATTTTAATTTTTGCTTCTTTAATTATTAGTGAGGTTGAGCATCTTTTCATATGATGACAAGCAATCTGTGTTTCTGTTAACGTGTGACCCTTTGGATTCTTAACCTTTTCTTAATTGATTTTTAAAACTCTTTATGTATTGAAGAAAATAGCTGCATCTGTCTTGTTGCACATCTTTTCCCTAATTTGTCATTTGTGTTTTGACCTTTTTTTTCCATTTAAGACAAATGTTTATTGCAAGAGTAAACAGGGTCATTATAAAAATAAACTTGGGAAAACCTGAAAAGCAAAAAGAAGAAAACTGAAGTCTCAACAATCTTTTTATTTAGTGACAATCACACCTGTTATTTTGGTATCTATTCAGTCCATCTCTTTTTCTTTGTTTCTTTGTTTTTGTTTCTTTCTTTCTTACTTTCTTTCTTTCTTTCTTTCTTTCTTTCTTTTTCTTTCTCTCTCTCTCTCTCTCTCTCTCTCTCTCTCTCTGTGTGTGTGTGTCTGTGATTTTTCTTTGAAGTTTATCTTGCAAACTCTGGAGCCATCTGGAGAGTCAAAAAAACTAGGTGGGAAACTCTGAAACAGATAGAGCCATCATTTTTTGGATCACTGTCCCCTTTCCATTTTCTTTGAGAAAAGTCCTCAGTGTTTACAAATATCTTTTTCTTGTTTTCCTAAATTTATTCTTGGAAGGCCTCTCCTCATCTCAGTTTGGTCTTTGGTCACAGTGCTGAGGCCCCCAGGCTGGATGAAGCTCCTCTGTGCTTGTCTATCTGGTTCTGAGACTGTCTGCCTTTGTTTTGGATTTTCTACATGAATGACCATGTAATCTGCAAATAGAAATAGGTTTATTTGCTTTTTATTTCTTTTTCTTGCCTGATTTTCACTGGCTAGGACCTCTAGTTCAATGTTGAATGGAAGTGGTGAGAGCAAATATTCCTGCTTTGTTCCCAGTCTTAGGGGGAATGCATTTGATCTTCATAGTTGTGTATGTTTGCTATAGGTTTTCTGTATGTGCCTTTTATTAGGTTGAAGAGATTTCCTTCTATTTCTAGTTTTCTGAGAATTTTATTTCTTATGAATGGATGTTGAATTTTGTCAAATATTTTTTCTGCATCTACTGACATGGTCATATTGGTGAGTTACATTGATCTATTTTTAACATTAAATCAACTGCATTCCTTGGATAAACCTTACTTGGTCATTACATATTATTATTTTTATATACTGCTGGAAATGATTTGCTTTTTTATTGTTGTAAAATACACATTTTTAAAACAACTTTAAGGTGTTCAATTCAGTGGTACTTAGTACATTCACAATGTTGTACAACCATCATGACTGTCTAGTTCCAGACTGTCTTCATGACCCCAAAGGGAAATCTCATATGCTTTAAACTGCTACTCCCCATTCCCCCTCCCTCTCCTTAGCCCTGGCGATCACTAGTTTGCTTTCTGCTCTAGGGATTTGCCTGTCTTGGTCATTTCATATAAATGGAATTGTACAACATGTGGCCTTTTTGTCTGTCTTTTTTCTTTTTTCACTTAGCATCATGTTTTTAAGGTTCATTCATGTTGTAGCATGTATCAGTACTCAATTTTTTTTCAATCACTGGATAATTTATTGTATGAATATATCACATTTTATTTATTCATTCATCCATTGATAGACGTTTGGGTTGTATTCACCTTTTGGCTATTTTGAGTAATTCCTCCATAAACATTTGTGTATAAGTTTTTGTTTGAACATCTGTTTTGCACCATTTTACATCCCCATCAGAAATGTATGAAGTTTCCAATTTCTCCATATCTTTGCCAACACTTACGTTTTCCTGCTTACAGCCATCCTCTTGGGTGTGAAGTGGTATCTCATTGTGGTTTTGATTTGCATTTTCCTAAAGACTGATGATGTTGAGCATCTTTTCATATGCTTCTCGACCATTTGGTATCTTCTTTGGAGAAATATCTATTCAAGCCCTTTATAAGTTGGGTTGTTTGTCCTTTTTTCTTTTGTTGAGTTGTAAGAGTTTTTGATGTATTCTGGATACTAGACCCTTGTCAGATATAGATTTTCCAGATATTTTCTCCCATTTTCTCCGTTGTTTTTCTACTCTTGAAAGTATTCTTTGATACTTAAAGTTTTAAATTTTGATGAAGTTCAGTTTACTTATTTGGTTTGTTTCTTTGCTTGTGTTTTGGTGTAACATCTAAGAATTCATTGCTAAATCGAAAGTCATGAAGATTGACCCCCATACTTTTTTCTAAGACTTTTGTGGTTTTAGTTCTTACTGATTTGCTAGTGTTTAAAAGGATTTTTGCATCTATTTTATGCGAGATATCTGTCTGTAATTTTCTTTATTTTTAGTGTCTTTGGTTTTCATATCAGAGTAATGCTGGCCACATAAAATGAGGTAGTAAATGTTCCCTCCTATTCCTTTTTCTGGAAGAGTTTGTGTAGAATTTATATTAATTCTTCTTTAAATGTTAGGAAAAATTCAGCAATGAAGTCTTTAGACATGTGGTTTTCATTGTGGGAAGGTTTTAAAGTATAATTTTAATTTATTTGATATAGAGATACTCATATTGTCAGTATCTTTTGGAATGAGCTTTGGTAGTTTGTTTTTCAGGAATTTTTCAAATAAGTTATCAAACTTATTGGCACGAAGTTGCTCATAATATACCATTTTTCCTTTTATTATCAATATAATCAGTAGTGATGTTTCCCTTTTTGTTATTAATATTGGTAATACATATTTTTTCTCTTTTGTTCTTGATTAATTTGGGGAGATTTATCAATTTAACTGGCCTTTTGAAGAGCAGACTTGTTTCATTAGTTGTTTTTAATTATTTTTCTCTTTTTCATTGCTTCATGCTGATGTTATTTTTTTCCATTTTTTGCTTTGGATTTAATTTGCTCTTCTTTATATAGTTTTAAGTTATATGGAATCTTAAGTTTTTGACTTAGGACCTTTCTTGTTTTTGAATATAAGGATCTATTTTTGTAAATTTCCCTTGGTCACTGCTTTAGATATGTCTCACACATTTTGATATGTTCTATTTTTATTTTCATTGTATTAAAACATATTCTAAAATACTTTTATGATTTCTCCTTTGAGCCATGAATTATTTAGGAATGTATTGTTTACTTTTCAATAGTTTGGATTTTTCCAAATACTATTCTTTTATTTACTTTTAGTGTAAATCCTTTGTAGATAAAGAACCTGCCAGGTATGCCTTTTAGGTTTTTAAGGTTTTTTTTTTTTTATGTCCTAGAATATGATCTGACTTGATGAATATTCCATATTGTACTAAAAATATGTATTCTGATGCTTTTGGGCATACTTTTTCCATAAATACCAGCCAGTTGCTGATTATTTGTTTACTTGTTTTATCAATTACTGAGAGTCAAGTTTTAAGGTCTCTGTATTAGTCTGTTTTCATGCTGCTGATAAAGACATACCTGAGAATGGGCAATTTACAAAAGAAAGAGTATGAATTAGATTTACAGTTCCATGTGGCTGAGGAAGCCTCACAATCATGGTGGAAGGCAAGGATGAGTAAGTCCCATTTTACACTGATGGCAGCAGGCAAAGAGAGAATGAGAGAGCTTGTGCAGGGAATGCCTCTTTTTAAAACCATCAGATCTCATGAGACTTATTCACTATCACAAGAACAGCATAGGAAAGACCTGCCCTCATGATTCAATTACCTCCCACAGGGTCCCTCCCCCACTACATGGGAATTGAAGATGAGATATGGGTAGGAAACAGCCAAACTATATCATTCCACCTCTGGCTCCCCCGCAATTCTCATGTCCTCACATTTCAAAACCAATCATGCCTTCCCAATAGTCTCCCAAAGTCTTAACTCATTTCAGCGTTAACTCAAAAGTTCACAGTCCATTGTCTCATCTGAGACAAGGCAAGTCCTTTCTGCCTATGAGCCTGTAAAATCAAAAGCAAGTTAGTTACTTCCTATATACAATGGGGGTACATGCATTGGGTAAATATAGTCATTCCAAATGGGAGAAATTGGCCAAAACAAAGTGGCTACATGCCCCATGCAAGTCCTAAATTCAGTGGGGCAGTCAAATCTTAAAGCTCCAAAATGATATCCTTTGACTCCATGTCTCACATCAAGGTCATGCTGATGCAAGAGGTGGGCTCCCACAGCCTTGGGCAGCTCCTCCTCTGTGGCTTTTCAGGGTGTAGCCCTCCTCTCAGCTGCTTTCATGGGCTGGCATTGAGTGTCTGCAGCTTTTCCAGCAGCACGGTGCAAGCTGTTGGTGGATCTACCATTCTGAGGTCCTCTTCTCATAGCTCCACTAGGTGGTGCCCCAGTAGAGACTCTGTGTGGGGGCTCCAACCCCACATTTCCCTTCTTCACTGTCCTAGCAGAGATTCTCCATGAGGGCCCCGCCCCTGCAGCAAACTTCTGCCTGGGCATCCAGGTGTTTCCATACCTCCTCTGAAATCTAGGCAGAAGTTCTCAAACCTCAATTCTTGACTTGTGTACACCTGCAGGCTCAACATCATGTGGAAGCTGCCAAGTCGTGGGGCTTCAACCCTCTGAAGCAACAGCCCAGCTGTACTTTGGCCCCTTGAGTCATGGCTGGAGCAGTTAGGATGCAGGGCACTAAGTCCCTAGATGCACACAGCAGAGGGACCCTGGGCCCAGCTCATGAAACCATTTTTTCCTCCTAAACCTCCAGGCCTGTGATGGGAGGGGCTGCCACAAAGGTATCTGACATGCCCTGGAGACATTTTCCCATTGTCTTGGTGATTAACATTCGGTTCCTCTTTACTTATGCAAATTTTTATAACTGGCTTGAATTTTTCCTCAGAAAATGGGATTTTCTTTTCTATCTCATTTTCAGGCTACAAGTTTTCCAAACGTTTATGCTGTTTCCCTTTTAAACCTGAATGCCTTTAAGAACACCCAAGTCACCTCCTTAATGCTTTGCTTCTTAGAAATTTCTTCCAGTAGATACACTAAATCATCTCTCTCAAGTTTGAAGTTCCACAAATTTCTAGGGCAGGGCAAAATGCTGCCACTCTCTTTGCTAAAACATAACAAGAGTAACTTTTCCTCTAGTTCCTGACAAGTTCTTCATCTCCATCTGAGACCACCTCAACCTGGACTTTATTGTCCTTATCGCTATCAGCATTTTGGGCAAAGCCATTCAACAAGTCTTTAGGAAATTCCAAACTTTCCCACATTTTCCTGTCTTCTTCTGAGCCCTCCAAACTGTTCCAACCTCTGCCTGTTACCTAGTTCCAACATCACTTCCACATTTTTGGGTATCTTTTCAGCAACACCCACTCTACTGGTACCAATTTATTGTATTAGCCTGTTTTCATGCTGCTGCTAAAGATATACCTGAGACTGGGCAATTTATAAAAGAAAGAGGTTCAATTGGATTTACAGTTCCACGTGGCTGGGGAAGCCTCACAATCATGGCAGAAGGCAAGGAGGAGCAAGTCCCGTCTTACTTGGATGGCAGCAGGCAAAGAGAGAATGAGAGAGAGCTTGTGCAGGGGAACACCTCTTTTTAAAACCATCAGATCTTGTAAAACTTATTCACTGTCATGAGAACAGCATGGGAAAGACATACCCCCATGATTCAATTACCTCCCACTGGGTCCCTCCCATAATACACTGGAATTCAAGATGAGATTTGGGTGAGGGCACAGCCAAACCATATCAGTCTCCAACTGTAATTGCGTGCTTGTCTATTTCTTTTAGTTCCATGAGTTTTTGCTCTGTTTATTTTGAAACTCTGGTATTAGATACATTCCCATTTAGGATTATGTTGTTATCTTGATATATATTGACCTCTTTATGATTATGAAGTTCCTGTTTTTACTTCTAGTAATAATCCTCTTTTCTGAAGTTTACTTTGTAATTTAATATTAATGTAGCCATTCAAAGTTACCTGTATGAGTGATTGCATGGTATATATTTTTCATTCTTTTGCTTTTGATTAATGTATATCTTTATAGTTAAAGTGGGTTTCTTATAGACAGCAAATAGTTGGGTTTTCTTGCTTATTCATTCCAAAATCTCTGCCTTTCTAATTAGTGTGTGTAAATGATTTACATTTAAGATAATTTTTGATATGGGTAAATTGAAATCTACAGTCATGTGTTGCTTAACAATGGAGATGCTTTCTAAGAAAGATATTGTTAGGTAATGTTGTCATTGTGCACATATCATATAGTTACATAAACCTAGATGTTATTGACTACTACACACCTAGGTTATATGGTATGGGCTATTGCTTCTAAGTTACAAACCTGGACAGCATGTTATGGTACTGATTACTGTAGGCAGTTGTACACAATGGTAAGTATTTGTATGTCTAAACATAGAAAAGATACAGTATTATAACCTCATACTTCCACCATTGTCTATGTCGTCTGTCATCGACAGATACATTATTATGTAGCACATGACTGTTGCATATTACTATTTGTTCTCTACTTTTATATATTCTTAATTTGTTTTACTGCCTTTTTTTGAATTGAGTAGTTTTTATGATTCTATTTTCCCACCATTATTACTAATTATCTATACCTCCTAATTGTACTTTCTTTAAAAATGGTTATTCTTGGGCTTTACTATCCAATAAGGCAGGCACTATCCCTATGTAGCTGCTTAAATTTAAATTTTTAATTAATTTACAGTTAAATGCTTGAAATTTCATATCCTTAGGTAATCTAATGACATTTCAAGTGTGCAGTATCCACATTTGGCTAGTGGCTACCATATTGGACAGTATAAATATGGCACATTTTTATCTACACAGAATGTTTTCTTGGACAGTGCTACCCTGAAGCTTAAAATATGTCACTTTGTCTCACAGTCTACCTTCAAATAATATACTGCCTTATGTATATCATAAATATGTTCCCGCAGTGTGCTTTTGTTTCATGCCTCTATCTACTGCTTTAAATTCCATAGTGTATTATTATTTTGCTTTAGACAGTTATAGTATGAAGATTAAAAATAAGAAAAAATCTTTCATATTTTTATAATTTCCAGCACTCATTATTTCGTTATATATATATTGAAATGTCTATGCAGTGTCATATTCCTTCTGCTCTGCCTGAAGAAATGTCTTTATTATTTCTTATTGTGCTGAGTTGCTGACAATAATTTATTTAGCTTTTGTTGGTCCAAGAAGGTTTTCATTTTGTCTTTTAAAAAATTATCATACACACCAAAATATATTATAATTTGTTTTGCTATTTCTTCTTTGACTTGATGATTATTTAGTAATTTGTTGCTTAATTTCCAAATGGTTTTTCTGATTTTCTTATTATTGGTTTCTAATTTAATTAAATTGTGTTTAGATATCATGTTTTTTGTGATTTTAATAGTTTTAAATTTACTGAGACTTACGGTATGTTCCACAATATGGTCTATTCTGATAAACTTAACACGTGCTGAAAATAATGTGTATTCTGATGTTGTCGGTTGTACTCTTCCATAAATAGTAAGTAAGTCCAGCTGGTTGACAGTTCTGCTGTGATTGATGGTGGTGGTGTTAATATTGTCTAGTTATTTCTATTAGTTGCAGAGAGAAGGGGGAATCTCAAACTATGGATGTAGAATGGTCTCTTTGTCCCTTTAGTTCCAACACTTTTGTTTCACATATTTTAAAGCTTTACAGCATACACTTTCAGGCTTTCTATATCTTTCTGTTAAACTGACCCTTTTGTTATAATGAAATGTTCCTCTTTATCCATGATAATGCCTTTTGTTTGGAACTGTGTTTTATCTACTACTAATATAGTGATTCCAGCCATTTTATGCTTACTTTCTGTATGGTGTATCTTTCTTTCATCCATTTACTTTTAATTTTCCTGTTTCTCACAGTGAACCTCTTATAGATAGCATATATTTGGGTCTTGTTTTTGTCTATTCTGACGGTCTCTACCTTTTAATTGAATTATTTAGTTTGTTACCCTGGATTATAATTATTATTATGTTTAGGTTTGAGTCTACCGGCTTATTTTTTTGTTTTCTGCTTGCTGCCTCTCTTTTTATGTCCCTCCATTCCTCCATTCCTCTGTTACTCTGCCATTTTTGAATACTTTTTGAAATTCTACTTTAATTTTTGTACTATATTTTGCCTTCATTTTTAAACATAACATTTTGGGTTGACAGTTTTTTGCTTTTTCCCTCTTAGTACTTCAAAGATCTTGCTCCATTGTCTTCTGGGTCATTTTTTCTTGCTTTCTTGTGTGAATCTCATCATTTTTTATTGAATGCTGGACAGTATGTGTGGAACAGGATACTGAAGTAAATATTATTTATGATTTATGACAGGAAACAGGTCTATCTCTTCTGCTATCAGGCCAGGAGTTGGGTCAATCTAGCCAGCAGTTAAGCTGGATTTGTTTTTGGTTGTTGCTATCATTGCCCGGGTCCCCACAGCCTTCCCTTGCCTTCAGCTCTGGAGTGTTGCTACTTGTGGTCAATATGGGACCTGTATTACCAGAGTACATTTTTAAGATTTCCTGCTTCACCCTCAGCTTTGAGCAAACCCCGAACACCCTGCAACGTGGAAGAAGTCTCTCTCTTTGCTCTTGTCCCCTCCCCAAAGGTAGGCTGGAGTAGCTTGTGAATAAGTTCAATACTTGAGTTGGGAACAGGGGTACTGTTTCTTGGCTCTTCTGCTTCCAAGGGTGGGGCTTTCTGAATGCTCCTCATACTCTCTCCATGGCAGCTGAATTTTCCCTTGTATGTGTAGCGGTAAGGTGGTTTGGGGAGGGAACAGATTTCCTGCCACATTACTCTCCCCAGCATTGTGTTTTGTGCCTATTTCACAGTGACAGCTTATCCCCAGTCTAAACCTACACTGCCTAGTGAGTCTCTCTCTGTCTTCTCTTGCACTGTCCCCAAGCTTTCTCATGAGCACCCAGTGGAGGAAATTGGAAAAGAGTGAGTACAAATTCCCCCAAATCCTATTGTGTTAGAGGCTCCCAGCTCACATAAGGGCTTTAACAAATAGCTAAAATCTGAGTTGTTTTCTGATTGTCTGCCTGTATAGCAGCTACCGTTTCTTCCCCTGGTCTGACAAATGTCAGTTAACATCCTCACATCCTTTGGAATTTACTTCACTCATTCTTTGTTACTTTCTGAGGGTCTAAAGATAGTTAAGATTTTGTACATTATCTAGCCTTTGTTGTTATGATGGGAATAGCTTTCTTTTTTGCAGCTTTTTAATATCCCGAGAACAAGTATAGAGCCTCCTCCTATGTTTTGACTTTATTTTTATTTTTATAAATTTTAGCTACACAATTTCCTTTTCACAGAGTCACTTATAGTTTTCTTCCCCTATGCCTCTGATTTCATGTTTTGATTAGAAAGGGCTTTCTTACTACTAAATGAAAGAATGAAAAGAGGATCTCTCATGTTTTCTCATAGTGCATTTACAGTTTATTATTTTACATTAAAATTCTTGATTCACCTGGAGTGTATTTTGATATATAGCATTTTATATAAATTCAAATTTATTTCTTTCCAAGTGGCTACTAGTTGACCCAATACCATTTGTTGATTAATTGATCTTTGCTCTACTGCTTCTCTCATATGTGCTATTAAAAAGTAAAAGGCAAGATTCAGGTGGAATGCTCAACATTTACTGATATTCCATTTAATTGTATTTCTTGGTTTTCTTTCTGATGTTGCTTGAGACTAGAGAGTGTGGAGAGAATTTTCCTTTCCACAAGCAGTGCCTCTGTATTCATGGTCTTATCTTTCTTTCCCTCCGGTTCAAGAGCCATTTCAAAGGAGATAATGTGTATTAAATAGTCAATAAAATGTAGTCTCTTACAGAAGTATGGGGTAATTTCCATCTATCTAATGCTTGCAGCAGAATGAAATAATTCAGTAGTATTAACATTATACTATAAACATTTGGCCTTGTTTATAAATTCCAGGTTTTTATTGCTATTGATCTTAGCAGGTATTTCCAGGAGTAAACTACTTCCAGAGGCTACCTTTCCAAGTATTGCCACCTCTCCTAGGACTGGAGCTTGGGAGAAGATCCCTATTTTTATTGTTAGCCTCTCTAATGTCTACCCCCAGGCCTAGCTTGACTGCTGTAGTTCATCTCCTGGATGAAGAAGGAAGGTCCATTTCTGTTTGGTCTCTCGCTCCAGAGGCTTTGTTTCTGAATGAAAACTACTCTTTGGACAAACATGTTGACAATACGGTTCTGATCTTAGGCTGTTGGTTACTGCTTGAGTAAGTCTCACGCTTGCTATAAGTTTTTTTTATTGCTGTTTTCATCGCACATTATTCCTTGTTTCCCTGTCCTTCTCATGTCTTCTTAAGTGCCTCTGCTCTTAATCTTCATCTGTCAAACGAAAATTTTATTAGAAATTTAACTAAATTGTCACCATTCCACCATTTTAATTTACCTGATGTGGCATAATAAATAATGTGTCTGGTTCCTGGGACACAGCTTTGAAAACCCTTGGAATTTGCTGAGTGATAGGAGTGTCTTTGATATGCTACTGAGGTGACTCAGTGAGTCATATCCTTACATAGCTTCAGGTGGGGGCAGGTCATCAGAAAGACCAAGCACAGGATTAGAGGGATGGAACTTCCAGTGTCTGCATGGGTAGAGGAGGGGAGCTGGAGATTGGGTTTAGTCACATGGCCAGTGATATAATCAATCATGCCTAAGTATTGAAATCCTGATAAAAACTTTGGACACCAAAGCTTGGTGGAACTTCCTGATTGGTGAACACATTGATGTTTCAGGAGGGTGTTGTACCCTGAATCCAAGGGGAGAGGGTATGGACACTCCACATCGAGGACCCTTCCAGACCTTGCCTGATGTGTATCTTTTATAATAAAATGGAAACTATACATATAGAGCTTTGCTGAGTTCGATGAGTCATTCTAGTGAATTATCAAAGCTGAGGGACTTGTGGGAACCCCTGAATTTGTAGTCAAGTTGGTCAGAAGTGCAGATGGCCTGACATCTAAAGTGGGGTCAGTCTTGAATATTTGCACAATATTCAATTAGGTTGCATAATTCCGGCTGCTTATAATATTCCCTATTATAGGGGACCTTTTTGAGAATGACTGAGCTGGAGTTAATCATGACTTTTAATTTTAATAGATGCTCTCTCATATAGATGATTGAGATCATTAGTTGTCTGATTAACAGAAAAAGTCATTTGGAGAAGGAATTATTGTTTTAAAAAGATGAAACATGCAGTGTTATTCAGAGTTCTCCAGAGAGACAGAACCAATAGGATGAGTGAATGGATGGATGGATGGATGGATTGACGGATGGATGGATGGATGAGAGGGGATTATTAGGGGAACTGGCTCATGTGATGATGGAGGCTAAGAAATGACAGGCAGTCTGCAAGCTGGAAACCCTGGGATGCTGGTAGCATGCCTCAGTCCAAGTCCAGCTCCCCTCCCTCTACCCATCCAGGCACTGGAAGTTCCAACCCTCTAATCCTGTGCTTGGTCTTTCTGATGGCCTGCCCCAACGTGAAGCTATGCCTTGGAACCAGGGAAGCCAATGGTGTAACTCTCAGTCCAAGGCTGAAGGCTGCTAGTGTTAAGTCCCCAGAGTCCAAAGACCAGAGAGCCTGGAGTTCTGATGTCTATAGGCAGGAGAAGATGAGTGTCCCAGATCCAGGAGAGTGAGGGAGAGAATTCACCTTTCTTTTGCCTTTTTGTTCTATCTGGGCCTCCAGCTAATTGGATGGCACTCACCCACCTTAATGATGGCTCTTCCCTACTCAGTCCACTGACTCACATGCCAGGTCCCTCTGGAAATGTCCTCACAGAAACACCCAGAAGTAATAATTTACCAACTTTTTAAGTATTCCTTAATATCCAGTTGACACCTGAAATTAACCGTCACACATGCCTTAATATTTTATTTGAACTTAATACCCATAAATGAACTCATTTACCAATCATCTGATGGATGATCAAGGCTCTTCGTTGAACGTGGATTGAAAATCTGAATTCCATATGGTCTTGCTTCCATAAAGCTCATCTATTTTATGTCATCCCTGAATTTCAAGTTTTCTGGTTAAAATGAGGTGTAGGCCTTAGACACTTGTGAAGCCTTACAGAATTAAAAAAAAAATCTTCATCCCTCCCTTTTATACTTATTTTGCCCATTCCTCATTTGGTTGCATTTTTTTTACAATTTGCTTTTGAGTCTTACCAAGCATTTGGATTTGTTTTTGAAGAAGCAATTCTCTTGGTTACACAATACTCAATTAGGTTGCATAATTCCAGCTACTACAAATGATGTAAGCAGGTTTGGTAACACACAATTTTGGTGAATATGAAGCTCACCTCTTGCTCTTCGTATGTGAGAGCATTCATTATGCTGTGGCATTCTGTTAGAATATTCTAGAAAGGCGTTGTGTGGTTAGTGGTCTTCACACCTCTGAATCTGTTTGCACATTTTAAGTTGACATCTAAACTTCTTCTGCATTAGTAAAATTTTACTGGAATTTCATCTTTTAATGAAATAAATTTGGAGGGGTGGTACTTTTGATAATACGAATTTTTAAACTTTTTTTGTTGGGTTTTAATCTGGAAATGTTTACTCCTAGTTCCATAGTAATGAGATGGGAGTGTTCCCTTATCCCCCTCGCAGGAAGTGCGACAGGGTGTGGCTCATATTTTCAGTGCCCCGCTGCTCAAACCCCAAAGGGGAGCATGCAGATGGGCAGATACAGAGGCCATGGGGAGCACTTTTTGGGCTCCAGTCCCATGGCAGTGTCTAGGGGTGTCATGTCTGCGATTCCCGAAGCCCCAGTGGATGTGTGTTACAGTATGTTCTTTCAACTTTTCTGTCTGCAGGCAGCTTGTGTTAACCAGCTCAATTACACATTCTGCCTTATCACAAGGACAGAGGGCTTTCTGTATCCCGGGGTTCTTGCCCTAGTGTACCAGAAAAATCAGGTCACACGTGGGCTTGGAGGATGAGTGCAAGGTTTTATTGAGTGGTGGAGGTAGCTCTCAGTGAGATGGATGGGGAGTCAGAAGGGGGATGGAGTGAGAAGGTGATTTTTCCCTGGACACAGGCCACCCAGGGGCTGGACTCTTCTTCAACCGCCCCCAGCCAAACTCCCCTTGGTGTCCGAGTCGTTCTGCTGTTGTTGGTCTGCCGGTGTCTGCTGGTGTGTCCTGCTCCTCTTGATGTCCAGCCGCTTGTGTGTGTGCCCTCTAGAGCTCAGGCTTTTACGGGAACAGGATGGGAGTATGGCAGGCCAAAAGGCAACTTTTTGGGCACAAAAACAGAAATGCCTGTCTTCATTTAGGTCCATGGGCACAGGCCCGAGGGTGGAGCCCTCGCCGGGACCCCACCCTTCTCTACCTGGCACTTCCCTGCCCTCTTCCTGTATCAGTAAGAGATGGGTTGCACAAAAAAATATTTTCTTTATAAAGTGGGAGAAGGTGAGGTGGGTCTTGAGAGCCGGCATGTGCCTCCATCATCATCCCAATTTTTAAAAATGTATGAAGGATAATCTGGAGATTGATTCCTTAAAAACTGTCTGTGGATCTATCCCTTGGAAATTCCTTGTATATTTCTAGGGGTTCACATACCCTAGTTTGAAAACTGGTGTTTTAGAGCACTGGTTAAGAGAGCTTCTGCTTTATTTCCATTTTTATAATTGCTTTTATTTTTATAAAACCAGCCTTTGCTTATTTCAGAAATTTTCTCCTCAGTCTCATTCCTCACAGATAATCACTGTTATCAGCAATGGTATTTCCTGCTAGACTCTTTCTGGGCATTTCAGAACATGCTATCATCAACCTGTCCTGAGCTGTCACAAACTTTTCTACCCTTATAACAGCATGTAAGATGCATAACCCCTACAACTGACCCAATTTTGGCATCATTCCTAAAGCAGTCATGTTTTTAGGAGGGAGATATTTTTGACAAAGTGTTTTTCCCAAGAATTGTATTAAAAACAAACAGAAAACAAAAATGAACCCACAACCCAAAATCTGGGATGTAACAAATTTAGCTTTTGGATGGGATTATATTTAGATATATTTTTTTTTCATGGATCTGATTTCCTGACTGGCTTGGAGGTTGGGCATAGTCCTATGCAGGGATATTTTTCCTGGAGTTTCATGATAGTAAGGTACCTCTGGCAGTTCTGTGGCCATTGATAGAGCTTTTACACGGCAGTTGTTTTCTGTGTTAGTGTAAGCCATGTATGAAAAAGAGGATTAAAAAGATTAATTCCTGAATTCGAAAAGAATTTACTGATTGTTTACTACAGGGATCCATCCACAAATAAAGGAGTTGTGTTCCCTGCCCTTATAGAGCTTACAGCCTAAGAGATGGTGTGCAAGAAAAGATTGTTAATTAATTAAATATTATGAGGATGCTACTCGGTGGGATTTCTGCATTTGTTTTTGGGAATTTTTTGGTTTTTACTAACACACAATAATTGTACATATTTATGGGGTATAGTGTGATGTTTCGATACATGTATGCATTGTGTAAAAATCAAATCTGGGTATGGTAGCGTATCCACCACCTCATGCATTTATTATTTCCTTGTAGTAAAAATGCTCAAAATCTTTTCTTCCAGGTATTTTGAAATATACACTACTGTTAATCATAGTCACCCTACTGTGCAGTAGAACAGTGGTCCCCAACCTTTTTGGCACCAGGGACTGGTTTAATCAAACTTGATTTTTCCATGCACTGGGATGGGAGGATGGTTTGGGGAATGCCTGAAGCACATTACATTTATTGTGCACTTTATTTCTATTATTATTACATTGTACTGTATAATGAAATAATTATATAACTCACCATAAGGTAGAATCAGTGAGAGCCCTGAGCTTGTTTTCCAGCAACTAGCTGGTCCCATGTGGGAGTGATTGGAGACAGTGACAGATCATCAGGCATTAGATTCTCATAAGGAGCGTGCAACCTAGATCCCTCCCATGTGCAGTTTACAGGAGGCAGTGCTCAGGCAGTAATGCAAGCAATGGGGAGCAGCTGTAAATACAGATGAAGCACTTGTCTGCCACTTACCTTCTGCTGTGCAGCCCAGTTCCTAACAGGCCACAAACTGGTACCTGTTTATGGCTCGGAGGAGGTTGGGGACCCCTGCAATGGAACACCAGAATTTATTCCTCGTCTCTAACTGTAACTTTGTAGCCATTGACGAATCTCTTCCCCATCTCCTTCTCCCCTCTCCTATTCTTAGCTCTGGTTCCCACTGTTCTACTGTTATGGGTTCAGCATGGTTAGATTGCACATATGAGTCAGATCATGCAAGGTTTGTCTTTCTGTGCCTGGTTTATTTCATTTAACATAATGTCTTCCAGATTCGTCCATGTTGTCACCAATGACAGGATTTTACTTTTTTAAATGACCCGATAGTATGCCATTGTGTATATATACGATATTTTATTTACCCATTCATCCACTGATGGACACTTAGGTTGATTTCATATCTTGATTCTTCATGCTATTGCAGTAAACACTGCAGCTATTTTTTTTGGCATATGATTTTATTTCTTTTGGATACATACCAGGTAGTGAGATTGCTGGAACATGAGATAGTCTTCTATTTTTAATTTTTTGAGGAACCTCCATACTGGTTTCCATAATGGCTGTACTAGTTTGCATTCCCACTGACAGTGTATAACCACTCCATTTTCTCCACATCCATGCATTTGTTATTTTTTGTCTTTTTGATAATAGGCATTCTAACTGGAGTGAGGTGATGTCTCATTGTGGCTTTCATTTCCCTGATGATCAGTGATGTTGAGCATTTTTTCATATACCTGTTGGCCATTTGTATGTCATCTTTTGAGAAATGTCTATTTAGGTCTTTTGCCCATTTTTCAATGGATTATTTGCCTTTTTTACTATTGAGTTGAGTTTCTTATATATTCTGGATCTTACCCCTTATCAGATGTATGGTTTGCAAATATTTTCTCCCATTCTGCGGTCATCTCTTCACTCTGATTGTTTCCTTTGTTACATAGAAGCCCTTTTTAGATGTAATCCTATTTATCTATTTTTGCTTTTCTTGCCTGTGCTTTGGGGATCTTATATTTTGGAGGTTTTAACAATTGTTAGTCAGTATTCTTAT
Organism: Homo sapiens; assembly: GCF_000001405.40. NCBI lineage: Eukaryota > Metazoa > Chordata > Mammalia > Primates > Hominidae > Homo > Homo sapiens. Next base: position 68,768,030 of record NC_000003.12, on the reverse strand, counting down.
AACAAGTTGTGTGTGCATGTGGGTGTTTGGCTGCTTAAGCAAATCTGAAAAATGTAGCAAATAAAGATTTGATTTTTTTTTTAACCTGAAAATAACCTTAGCAGTATAGGAAAAAAAGTACTAAGGATAGAAAATTTATAGATTTTTAGAAATATTTATCAAATGCAAAGGAATCAATTCTTGTACATGTATGCATATATGTGTGTGCACATATGTATGTGTGATATGTGGAAATATATATATATATTTGTATGTATACATATAAGGACTTACCTATGAATGTAAGATACTATGGCTTGAAAATCATCTGTCTGGTTAGATTTTGAAATATATAATCAGATTTATCAAAATTATGCTGGTATATATTTGAAAAATTAACTCCCTCATCTTTCTGTGTCCCAAATTCCACTGTTCAGTTGCAATTACTGCTCTCTTTTTATATATTATATATTAACACCATATTTCTAATCAATATATATACATTGCAATTTATTGATACATCAACTTTAGATTTTACTTATAACCTCTTGTTAATATATAGTGTTTCCTTTCTTGGATAGTTTTTCTGTTTCTAACTGCTTTATTTGCATGTGTAAATGTTTGTAGCTTATGCATTTTATGAAATTTCCTATTGTTCCCGAGATCATTTCCATTCTGGCTTTCTTTTCTATTCCGGCTTTCTCTTCTCTACTGGCTAGTTGAAAAACTGAGTCTGGGGCTTCCTTTCGCCACTCTTTTGAATTGGATTCCTTGATTCCTGGGCCCCATATCTCTCTCTAACTCTACCCTTTTATTTTGCTATAGCATATCCTCTGGTAAATTATTAAATAATTGTGTTAATGAAAATAAAAGTTTTGAGTACAGTACTTGGGTGACAGGTGCACTAAAATCTTAGACTTCACCACTATACAATTCATCCATGTAACCAAAAACCATTTGTACTCCAAAAGCTATTGAAATAAATAAAATATTCAAAACAAAAAAATAAACGTTTTTAGGCAGGATCTGATATATTTGCTAAGTCTCATGCTTTATTGATAGTTTTGTTGGGTGTGGAAATCTTTTTCAGACTTTTAAAAGCATGAGTCCATTGGTTTTTAGCATACAGTGTTACTTTTGATAAGTATAATAAAATTGTTTTATTTGTTTTTCCACATGTTAATATTTGTTTCCCTTGGCTTTTCAAAGCTCTCACAATTTTCTTTTTGTTATCCCAAAAAATTTGAATTCCATGAGGAAACACCTTGGTGTAGGTCTGCTCTTCATCCCGTGTTTCTGGGCACTAACTGAATTCAAGTCTTTCTGATCTTGGATATGTATTCTTTCTTTGGTGGTATCTTTACTCTGCTTTTTGTAGTTGTTCTTTATCTCTGAAATAGGATTCGGGGACATCTGGATTGTTTCTCTAAGTATTTTCTGTTTGCTTTCATAATTTTCATCTCTTTATCTTTGCTTTTGGAATTTTCTGAGTTTTTTTTTTAGGAAAAATTGATTTTAGCTATTAAAAAATTTAAGAATGCTTTTGTATTATTGTCTGATTGATTTTTTTATCATAGCATTTGTATTATCTGTACATATGTCTCTCTGAGAAGTATCATAGCAGAAAGGTTAACAGCATTGTTTGAGGATCCTTATTACCTGGATTTGATGTGTGGTATTTTTTTTTAAGAGTATTTGACGATGACCTTATGAAACTTTGTCTTGTTCCCTTACTGTCCCTATTATCAAAGACTTAATGAGATTATATATGTGTGTTTATGTGTGCAGGTGAGTGTATTCATTCTCTATTTGATCTCACATATATAAAACTCATGAGGAAGTACATATAAACTTTAGGTACCTGGCATATTGTAAGTGCTAATCATTATCTCTTTCTCCTTCTCTTTCTCTCCTTTTTGAGTAGTACTACTATTATTGGTATGTTTAGGTGCTTTTCTGTTCCTTGTCATTGTTTCTCCATTCTCTAGTTCTATCTTTTCTGTTTATTTATTTTGGTCTCTTTCATATTGGAGACTTTCTCCCAGCATTGTACCTTTTTTATGGAAGCATGGACTCTCTGAATATGGATGGGAATGGTGACTAATGGACTTATTTTTGAGTACACTGATGGTCAGCTTAGCCTCTTGCTGTCAGCCCCATGCATTGAAGCACCTATTGAGGTCCTTTAAAGTGAGGGGATACTGAATCTCTTCCCCTCGGTATCCACTTCTGCCTGTCTCAGTCAGTCACTCCTAATCCACCTGCTTTCCATCCTCCAAAAGGCTATTAAATGTCTGTCAACAGCTGATGTGTCCACTTCTGTACTTTGCTCTTCTGAGTTCAGATCTTATGTTTTCCTTTTCTTTGGTTTTAGTGGGGTCTTAGGAAAGAGAGAAGATACACACAGGCGGTTACTCTGCCATCTTTAATTAGAATTAGAAATTTAAAAATCAATTGAAATCTGGTACTGCTAAGTGCTATTAAAGAGAGATTCATGGTGCCACATGAGAGTAGCATTCTCATATTTTAATTCTGGACTTAGATACTTAATGACATATATAGTGTGTAAACAAAAATAGCATTTGTAAGAGAGTTTAACACCTAAAATATTGTTTAGGTTATGATAAAAAAAAATGCAGCTTATTGCTGGAGCCTATTTTACTTAGGGCTAAAATAGAACAAAATTTCCTAAGGGAAGATGTTAACAATACAAATATACTTTTTATATTTAAAATGTACAAGTAGAAACTTATCACCAATTTCTACATTATACATACAGAGATTTATTTAGTTTTGTTCACGAGATGGTCCTGCATACAAATTTAGTAGAAGAACAAATAAGAAATCTATCCAACTGTGGATGAAATGTTGCTGAAATCACAAATGCACATATTGAAAAGGACTTATAAGGACTAAAACAAGTCCTTTTGTTTATTTTTATCTTCTAACTCTCCATTTGGCTTTATTCTAAATATGATATATATAGTTTTTTTTAACAGTTCTTTGAAACTGAACCCAAGCAATTTCACTGCTCCTTCTGGCTTCTTTGTCTTTTGGTTAACCACACACTTGGCTGTCACTCTGCTTTTTCAGGGATGCTGGGAAAGGGGGATGATTAGGGTAGAGGGAGGATGTCAGTGAAGGGCAGTGTCAGTGCCCTGCTTGTCAACTGCCTCCAAATGGAGAGTTTTTTGCATTCTTTTCTGTGTCTTTGCAACTATGCTCTCTCAGAAGCAAGGTACTCATTGTGATGGACTGAGCATGGGGAGCCACTTCATTTGATTTCCTCTCCACTAGTGGCCCTGCTGAGTTTGAAACCTTTACAAGCACTAGGCAATAGTAAAACCAGAGCCAGACAAACAGGAACTGGAGTGCCCAGTACAGTCCATTGCAACAGGGATGAGAGTCATGATATTTCCCAGTGATCGAAAATGAATTAGGCTAAAAAGCCAATTTACTACATATATAAGCACACAGAGAGAGACTCTTCAGAAACACGAGTGATTTGTTTTGCTCAATTATTTTTCCACTGTGATACTCCCTAATACGAATCATTTCACCTTTTTTCAGCCTATGAAGTTATAATTACTAAGTGACAGTGTATTAGTCAGTGGGGGCTTCTACAAATACCACAGTCTGGACAGCTTAAACAAAATAAATTTATTTTGTTATAGTTCTAGAGGCTAGAAGTCTGACAACTTCAAGAAGTTGTTGATCTTGGACCTCTGGCAATTCAGTTTCTGGTGGGGGCTCTCTTCCTAGCTTGCAGACGGTTGTCTTTTTGCTATGTTTTCACATAGCCTCTTTCTCTGTGGGGGTATGGGGAAGAATGAGCTCTCTGATGTCTCTTCCCCTGAGGACACTTGTGCTATCAGATTAGGACCCCACCTTTATGACCTATTTAACCTTAATTACCCCACTAAAGCTCTATCTCCAAATACAATCCTACTGAGGGCTAGAGTTTCAACATATGAATTTGTAGGGGACAAATTCAGTACCGTTCATAACACAGTTTGATGGAATATTTACAAAATATAAGTGGATTAGGTTCACTAAGAAGTAAGTTGTATCTCAGTATAACATTTGAAAGTATATGTTATTTATTTAAATCAACTAACTCTTAGGGAGCTATTTCTAGTTCAGTGTATGCATACTTATGTGTGTGTGTGTGTGTGTGTGTGTAGTCTGTCATACATACTAAAGACCAAGGTTTACCTAATGATGAGATCCCCTCAGAGCATTTATTCCATGGTGTTTATCATCTTGAGATATTATGAACCTTCAAATCTATGATATTATTAGAAAAAAAGTGGTAAACAGATAGTAGACTTCTGATTAAGAAAACTGACAAAAGGAAAGTCCTTAGAAAAGGTAGTGTTTTGAGTAGTAAGGGAAGACAAATTTTAAGACTTATTAGAAGTGATGAGCTTGGGAGGTTTTTAGATATCTTAAAAAGTAAGGTAAGCGACTGAGGAATGTTGGTTAGAATATAGTATTTTTTTGTGTTGATTTTTGACCCATTGAATAACTTTTCTTGTAATATCTATTAGAATCGAACAATAATAGTTAATCTCACAAAGACAGAGTGTTCCAAGCAGATGATAAATTTTCCTTGAAATATATTAAAGTTAGGAAATACATTATATCTTTTTGGTGTAGGAAGAAGGCTCTGAGTGGAAAAGGGAAAGAGAGCTGGGATATAATTCTTAGACTGGATTTTGCTACATGGCTTTTCAGGGGAAATAATGTAATATAGTCTAATATATCATCCTCCATTTTACAATTGCCTTTTGCCACATGATCATGGATGTTCACAAAAGCATTCAAGAGCTTCACCAATTTTCCTAAAGGTCTCTCTTTAGGCCTTTGCTACTTAAATCACTCTCTTTTGAATATTTCAGTTGACTTTCTCATCTTCAATTGTTGACCTAAATCTGCCAAATTCTCAGTTAATAGCTATGAATGGTGTTCAAGCAGCTCTCAAACATCACTGTGTCTCAAAAAGAAAAAGGAAAAAAAGGAGTCTCGCTCTGTTGCCCAGGCAGGAGTGCAGTGGCATGATCTCAGCTCCCTGCAACCTCCACCTCCTGGGTTGAAGTGACTCTCATGCCTTAGCCACCTGAGTAGCTGGGATTTCAGGCATGTGCCACCACACCCGGCTAATTTTCATAATTTTAGCAGGGACGGGTTTTGCCATGTTGGCTAGGCTTGTCTTGAATCCCTGGCCTCAAGTGATCTGCCTGCCTCAGTCTCCCACAGTGCTGAGATTACAGGCGTGAGCCACTGTGCCCGGCCCCAACATCACTTTTATTGACTTCATGAGATTCTTCATCTTTTGTAATATTTGCATCATAGGATATTTTAGACAGTCACTGAGAGATAGACAGACTTAACAGGACAGCACCTGGTGTTGAGTGGGGACTAGTTTTATGTGGGCAAGGCATACTTTATTCTGATGAATTTAAGAAGTGCATAGCAAAAACCATACCCTGCAAATAGACCATCGGCTGTATCAAAAACTGGGGAGAGGAAGACTGTAAATGAGCCATCTATGCTCCTATAAAGCCTTTCCTTTGATGCTCTACCCATTTCCTTCTACCTATTCAGACATCTCTATGAGATTTTCCCCCATAGCATACACATATGTTGTAATTTCCCACATCTTAAAAATCCCGGCTAACATCTGTCTATCCTATTGGTGGCATTCTCATTTCTCTCCTTGCCTTGATAACACCATTTCTCAAATAGTCATTATAGTTATTGTCTACAATTTCTCAGTTCTGCTCTCTCTCCAACCCATTCCAATCAAGATTTACCTCCATTCTTCTGCTACATTTTTTTTTTTTTAAATTAAGGCCACCAATGGCTTTCCCAGCTCTTAACATAGAGGTAATCTTTTTCTTTATCCTCTAGCTACAGTTTTTCCCTCTGGGATTTTATCTAGTCTCATGGCTTTAATACTAGATACATACGCCAATAATGAGCAAATGTCTTTCCTAAAGCCAGATTTCTCTCTTGAACTCCAGACTTAAATATCTGGACTTCTCTCAGTTACCTGTCTATTTAAGACATGAAATTTAACAACCAAGCTCCTTGTTTTCTCTGGTTTATTTAAGGGACGACTCCATTCTTGTTCAAACCCGAAACTTTGGAGTTAGCCTCTTAACATCCAGAATCTCCACATCTAGAAGCCTCTACTTCCAGAATCCAACCTCTTCTTCCTACCTCCACTGCTACCACATTGGTCCAAGCCACCACCAGCTTTCCAGGGATTACTGTGGCAGGAGCTGGTGTCTCTGCTTCTTCCATCCTTGCCCCTCTTTAATCTGCTCTGATCACAGTAGAATCTTTTAAAATATATGTCACATTAAGTCATTATAAGCTCAAAATATCCAGTGGCTTCTCAGCCCACTTTGAGTAAAAGCCCAAGCCTCTATAATGATCCATGGGGCCCATGTAATCACCCACACACCTTTCATTATCTTTCTGGCATCATCTCCTTATTGTTTCTGCTCTGACACAGCTCTAGTCACAAGGGCATTTCCCCTCAGATTTTGCAAGGCTTTTATCTTTTCAACAGCTTTAATGTCTCACTCAGTACTCAAATGTTAGTTTCTTAGGCTCTTCCTATTTTAAATTGCACCTTTCTTGCTTTGTGTTTTTCCTGTCACTAAAATATGAAAGATCTTCAAGGAAGATGATTTTTTTTTTTGCTCATTTTTTTCAGTGTTATATTAGCATGTGCTTGTCAAAGAGTAAATATTTAGCAAATAATTATTGAATAAATATGTAATAAAAGCCAAAAGGCATTTATTCAGTATCTGCAGTGTTTCAAGTAGTTCACTGTGTTCTTTAAGCACTTTATTTAAACTTCATAATTGTCATGTACTACTTACACATGCGAAATGCAAGACTGAGAGGCTTAATCAAATTACCTAAGTCTGGAAGCTAGTATTCCAGCTCAGTTCTTTTGACTCTTAAGTTCAATACCCTGTCTTTTGTTACCAGCAGGTAACGATAAATCCACTTCCATCTTAGGAGAACAGTCAGATAATTCCATTTGGCATCTCTACTTTTTGAGACCACAGGGGTCTCTCTCTTCTACTGTCCTATCCTCACCACCTGGCAGAGGCCCTGGCACATAGTAAGGCCTCAGTGGATATTTGTCTTCACAACTAAACTACCAAGTTTGTCCATCAAATGGCTACTATCGTCTTCTACACTGCGATGTCTTCCTTGATTAAAAGCCAAGTTGGGATAGGGATAGGAGAAGAAAGTTGAGAATTACTAGAGAACTGCAACTAGGAATACTGGGCATGTTCGCCAAGGGAAGCCACTATCTGTGGCCTCATTTTCTGCTTTCATTTCATGAAATCTTGTATTTAGCCTTCTCTTTCCTCTATTCTGCTCCCGTGGAGAGATAGGCTGAAAATGCCATACAGAAAACCACACTCAAATCAAACAGATGCCTTCTAAGAAGATCAGTGGAGTGTGAGACTTCTCTTTGAGGGTGTATTTTCTAGTGCTGGGCAGGAGGAGGAAGGGGAAAAAGGATTTCAACAAAAGGAGAAGGATGCAAGGGAAATAATAGCATAAAGAAAGTCTCCCTAATCTGATGCTTTCTGTGTCTCTATTAGCTTTCAAGTAGTTTCAGCTGAAGAACTTCTATTGCAGATGTGGTTTTGTATTTTGTCCCTTTCACAATAGAAAAGCCCTGTCTGCACTGGGACAAATGGGTATTTTTTCTATTGTTTGAAACTTTTCTTAAAAGTATATTTAATAAGAAAAAAATGATATGTATTTAAGCTATTTATTCTTCAGATAAAGTTAATCCATCCTCTATAGCAGTCCTGAAGCAATCAATTTTTGTTGTAAGGATTATCATAACACTTTTAATGGTGTCTACATCAACTATTCTGGTGAATGAGGAAACAGGCATCTCACATGTTACAGCCCTGCCAGTATTTTAAGTCTTCTTTTTTGAACAGAAAATATGCAACCCGATTGCAATTTCAGAAGTGTGGAAAGGAATCGAGTAACAGTTTCAAGTTTCCCCACTTAAAAAATATGTCTCAAAGAGCACCAAGAACAGTCTCTGGCACATAGTATGCTGTACGTAAGAGTTGGTAAAATAAATAGAAATTAGTACCTACCCATCTACCCCCCATCTGCCCACCCAGACAAAGCCAGAAGGGAAGTAGCTTAGCCACTGAAAGGATTAACAGCATGAAGGGGACAGTGTTTTGTTTTTTGCTTTGTCCAGTTTCCCTCCTAGGAGCAGCCCCATTTCTGGATAACGCAGTCTTGCCTGCTCCAATTCACACTTCAAAACTTAAAGTAAACTCCATATGAGAAGTTTCATCTGCAACTTCTCACTTATTGCAGGGGCCTCATGTTATGTTCTCAATATTTAGCTTCAGTTTTCAAGATGGATCGCCACACCATTATGTTCCCCTGCTGTTTTAGAGGAAAAATTCATCTTTGTTTTAAGTGAATTTACTTGAAGTGGCCACTCTCTGGTACCAGGCTTATTGAACAAGGCATCCCCCCTGTACCTTTTTAGAGAAGTAAGTAAGTTTATAACAAGAGCTGCTAGTTTCTTGCATTTCAGCTTTCATTTTTCTCCCATCCTACAATACTGTATGTCATACATGGTTGTAAGACATCTGTGATGGTTACTTTTCTGTGTTATCTTGACTGGGCCATGAGGTACCCAGATACTTGGTAAAAATTATTCCCAGTGTATCTGGGAGGATGTTTCTGGATGAGATTAACATTTGAATCAATGGATTGAGTAAAACAGATGGCCCTTTCAAATGTAGGTGGGCCTCATCCAATCTGCTGAGGACCTGAATAGAATAAAAAGGCTGCTCTACCCCTGAGTAAGAGAGAATTCTTCCTGCCTGACTGCCTTTGAGCTGGGATATAAGTCTTTTCCTGCCTTCAGACCTGAACTGAAACACTGGCTTTTGCTGGGCCTTAAGACTGCTGACCTTCAGATGGGAATGACACCATTGGCTCTCCTGGTTCTCAGGCCTTTGGACTTGGACTGAAACTAGACAAATGGCTCTCCTGAGTCCCCATCTTGCAGACTGCAGATCTTAGGACTTGCCTACTACCATAATTGCATGGGACAATTCCTTAAAATACTTCTCTTTTTCTCCATGTATACATCCAGTTGGTCCTATTTCTCTGGAGAACCTTAACTAATACAATGTTATAACACGAGCTGCTGAAACAATTATAAGCAGCAATTTCTATGCGCCATTCACACTGGATCCTTATTTTCTGCCATCAGGCTTTGAGCACCTTTAAGTACCTGTTGCCGAGTACCTACCTCCTGTGCCAGGAAATTACAAAGAAATAAAAATATATCCTTATTCAAAGATCATAGTTGTATTTGTTCATTTTTATGCTGCTAATAAAGACATGGTAATTTATGAAGGAAACTAGGTAATTTATAAAGGAAAAGAGGTTTAATGGACTCACAGTTCCACAAGGCTGGGGAGGCCTCACAATCATGGCAGAAGGCGAAGGAGGAGCAAAGTCACGTCTTAACGTGGCAGCAGGCAAGAGTGTGTGCAGGGGAACTCCCCTTTATAAAACCATCAGATCTCATGAGACTTATTCACTATCACAAGAACAGCATGGGAAAGACATGTGCCCATGAGTCAATTACCTCCCATCAGGTCCCTCCCATGACACGTGGGAATCGTGGGAGCTTCGATTCAAGATGAGATTTGGGTGGGGACACAGTCAAACCACATCAGTTGTCCACTGTCACCAATACACAAATTTCTAAAAAGACTGTATGGAATCACACAAACACTGTCATCAAATTGAAAAAGATGTTGTCAGTGGGAAACTGAGCTATGTCCCATGACTTGCTGAGGTGGAGATGCCATTTTAGGCTCTACTTGGTAAAATACAAGCTATAAAGCAAGAGGGGAACCTTTCCTTCATCTTATGGTTTGAATCTCACCTCTTCTCAATCTCTAGTTATGAGGCCCTGGGTGAATTAGTTAATTTCTGTACATTTTCTTAAAGATAAAATCGGAGTAAAAAACAGTACCTACCCCATAGCATTTTTATAAGATTGCACAGGATATTTGTAACAAAAAAAAAATTCAAACAGTACCTAAAACCTATATTTTATCAAATCTAAGATGCCATCAGTTGTGAGATACAACACTATAATGTGTATTCCTAAGAAGGAAAAGCAGTGTCAATTATAATTGTAAGGTGCTATTAGTTATGTCACCTCCTGATGTGTTAGAAGGTGAAAAAAATATGTATCTTAAAATCAGTGAAATACAAGAGTTGGTGCTGTATAAATAATTAAAATTCTGGATCAGGCAACCTGATAATTCAGGGCACTGTGGCCCAGTTCTAAGTTTGAATGGAAAATAATCCATTTGTACTTGTGGATGGTTATATAGCAACAGAGTTCTAAGTAAATCATAGCATTACTGAACATCCAGATCATTTCTTGACTGCTCCAAGAAGTTGCTGACACATATATTTTTCATTTTCTTAGTGGGGTTTAAAGCTGCTTTCATTACAGACTCTCAAGGGTCATTTAGTAATCTAACCAAGGCATGATGGTTTGTTATGGACTGAATGTATCCTCTCAAAATTCATATGCTGAAGTCCTAACCCCAAATGTGATTATATTTGGAGAGAGGGCCTGTGAGGTGGTGATAAAGAGTAAATGAGGTCATTTAAGGGCATGGCCTTAATCTGACAGGACTGATGTCCTTATAAAAAGGGGAAGAGACACCAGAGTTTGTTCTGTCCTCCATGTGAGGACACAGCAAGAAGGTGACTGCAAGCCAGGAGGAGAGCGCTCACCAAGAATTGAACAGGCTGACATCTTAAGTTTGGACTCTGTCTCCAGAGCTGTGAGAAAATACCTTTCTGTTGTTTAAGCCACCCAGTCTATGTCTATGGTATTTTGTTATGGCAGCCCAAGCAGACTGAGACAATGACCAATGGGAGGACATTTCCTGAGAGGTAACTGTGAAAGGATCATCCTGGCCCCTGCTCATGGCTAGTCATTAGCTGTCAGGGAATGTTTGACTGAAAGTTGCTGATTTGCATTTGGAAACCAAAGACAGGATCTCCCCTCCAACCTTTCCCAGCCCTTACTTTTCTGCTCACTCAGTGCTAAAGTTTCATACTACTTTACTGACATTATAATTACTATTTATTTAATTTTACAATTGTATACAACTACCTATGGGAAATCAACGCTCTTGTTATGAACATTTAATTAGGTTTATCATTTAAATCACTTCTCCATATTCATGCTTTCTTAAGTAGTAGATTGAAAACTTTCTCTCTTGCTGGTAGTTTGATTCTCTGGGTACTGGTTCTGTCTGTGCATTTTACAAATGAAACTTCGCCTTAGCATTTGTTCTCACCAGTAATTGAATTTTCTTGCCATCGACGTTGAAGATGGCATGACAGGGATGGTCCAGAAAACATTCAGAATAATATCGAGGTTATTGTTTGGAAAGCCTGTCTTTATGGATCAAAAGTCTGAATCATGGAATATTTTTAAATTGGTTTTATTTTGAAACACATACACCAACAGAAACCAAGCAAAGCATTAACCAGTGGGAATCCTCAGGGAAACCTCTTTTAATGAGTAGATGAAATTGCTTACAATTCACACAACAATTTATATGTAAATGGATGTATCTGAAAATCATGAACACACTTGAGGGTACTTGAAAAAGTTGTCTTTCCTTAATAATTTCTGAACAGAACCTCTACAGTCTCGTTTATGTTATTTTTATCAGAGCAAAGGTAAGTCTCCCCAGCTGGGTATAGCCAGAGTTGGTGTATTAGTTATCCACTGCTGTGTAACAAATTACCCCAAATCTTGGAAACCTAAAACAATCAACAGACATTATTATCTCACACACAGCTTCTGCACACCAGCAATCTGGGAGTGGCTTAGCTGGGTGGTTCTGGCTCAGGATTTCCCATGAGAGTGTAGTTATGCTGTTGGCTGGGGCTGTAGGATCCACTTCCACACTTATCCATGTGACCAATGGCAGTAGACTGTAGCTCCTGGCTATGTAGTCCTCTGCATAGGGCTGCTCACAACATGGTTTCCCCAGGACAGATGATGAACATGTGAGTGAGCGTGCCATTGTCTTATCACCTAATCATGTACATGGCAAACCATCACTTCTGCTGTGGTATGCTGTTGTCACACAGACCAACTCTGGTTTAATGTGGGAGGGGCCTGCACAAGGAGTCTGTTTGCAAGTTTACTGACTCGGCTATTGTCAGGACACTTCAGTTTCTTACCACCTGGGCCTGGCTGTAGGGCTGCTCATGCCAGGGTTTCCCCTGAGTGAGTGATCTGAGGGCCTGGAGATGACAGCCACCTAATTTTGGACTTGACAAACCAGCACATCTGCTGCATGCTTTTGGTCATATAGACCAACCCTGGTGCCATGTGGGAAGGGGCTGCACAAACGTGTGAATACTTGGTGGTGGGGATGACAGGGGAGCATCTTAGAGGGTGGCAGCCACAGTTGACATGTGACCTAAGCCATGCCAGTCAGATGCACCCTTTCCTAGAACTGACACATGGAGCAGAATGGCAGGTTCAGAGTGGAATTACTCACTCAGGTCGAGCCATGAGAGTAGTTCCACTTATGGTTAGCTACATTCACTCTTTGTTCTACAAACTCCTGATCTTCCAGTAAAGTTTCTTTGCATTAAGTTAGCTCAAATCAGTTTCTGTTGTTCTAACAAAAGACTCCTGATAAATGGATTCCAATGTAAATTACCCTTAAGTACATGTGCAATACAGAAACTACTTTATCACAGGATGATGGAATTCAGGTGGTTGGTGATGGGAGATATAAATAGAGAGTTGTTGGGAGAGTAGCAAGAAACTGTGGTGCTAGATTGGAATCGGAGATGTCGATGTACCTGCGCACATACTTCCTTGACCTATTTGCTGAAAGGGCCTGAATCACTCCCTAGTTGTGATGAGTAAACCTACACATTGAGATTCGGGTTTCTAAGTCGGATGCCCCACAAAAAGTCATCAAGGATTCTTGAAGAAATTACGGGGGCAGGGAAAATACCAGGTAAGTCTGGAACATCTTGAGGGTCAGAAGGTTAGTAAGTTCTCAGAGAATGATGAGAATATGACACAGCTCCTCCTGCCTAGATCTGGGACAATTTGAAGGGTCTCCTCCTCCCCAGATATGGGACGATTTGAACATTAACATAGAATCAGTTTTACAACTATCATATTGATAATTGATTCAGGTGGAAATCATCAATGGGTACTAAAACTAGTAGGTGACAGTTTGATAAAGAATGGGATATATTCATAGTCTCACTAATATATCTCCCTCAAAATGCTTACTAATATAAAGGGAAAAATAATACCTTTACAATGGAGAAGCCTGACAGATACCATCCTAACCATTTAATTAAAGGTAGTAGCACTGATAATGGGATGAAAGGACATTGGGTGTTTCCTGATATGATGCACTGAGAATATAGAATCACTTCTGGGACAATCTGCTAAAAATGCATTGCTTGAATCTAATCAAGAGGAAGCATCACACAAATCCAAGCTGAGGGACATTCTGCAAAATAATTGGCATGTAACTCTTGAAAAATGTCAAGGTCAAGAAAGAAAGACTGAGGAGGAGTTTCTGAATAAAGGAGGCTAATGAAATGTGACAACAGAATGCAATGCATGCACCTTGGTTGGATTCTGATCAGGGGGAAAATAGCTATAAAAGGCATTATTGGGACATTGGCAAAATTTGAATATAGATTGTACATTACGTAGTAGCATTGTATCATGTCAGATTTTCTATCTTTAATCATTATGTAACCTTATGTCTTTGTTTTTAGAAAATACACAGTGAAGTAGTTAGGGGTAAAGGGGCATCATGTCTGAAATTTACTCTCAAATGGCTTAGAAAAACATGAGAGAGTGAATGATAAAGCAAATGGGGCCACATATTAACTGGTGAACCTGGGTGAAGTCTGTTACAACAGCAATTGCCAACTAATAACAAAGTACCACACATTTAGCCCCATGTTTCTGCAGGTCAGAAGTCTAGCACTGCCTGGCTGGATTCTCTGCTCAGCGTCTCACCATTGGGTTAAATTCAAGGTAGCAGCAGACTGCATTCCTTTATGGGGAGGCTCTGGGGAAGAATCAGCATCCAGGCTCACTCTGGTTATTGGCAGTTCTTGAGGTTGTAGGACTGAGATCTCCATTTCCTTGACATGTGGCCCCTCCATCTTCAAGCCAGCAATGGCACCTGGAGCTCTTCATCTGTCTGCTTTTCAGGGCTCATTTGAGCCCTGAATGGCCTGACCTGGATAATCCAGGCTACACTGCCTCTCTTAAAATCAACCAGTTGGCCAGTGACGGTGGCTCACACCTATAATCCCAGCACTTTGGGAGGCTGAGGCAGGCAGATCACTTGAGGTCAGGAGTTCGAGACCAGTTTGGCCAACATTGTGAAACCCTGTCTCTACTAAAAATATAAAAATTACCTGGGCATGGTGGCACACACCTGTAATCCCAGTTACTCGGGAGGCTGAGGCAGGAAAATCGCTTGAATCCAGGAGGTAGAGGTTGCAATGAGCTGAGATCGTGCCACTGCACTCCAATCTCAGTGACAGAGTGAGATTCTCTCTCAAAAAAAAAAAAAAAAAAACTCTATCAATCTCAGTCACATCTGCAAACTCTCTTTTATCATGTAATTAATGTGTCATAACCATGAGTGTGACCCCAGGGGTTGAGGATCCTGGAGGCCTCATTTCTGCCTACCACAGGTTCACAGAAGCTTTTTGCACTCTTCTCACCACCTTTATATAAATTTGAAATAATATGTTATCAAAATAAAATGTTACAAAGACTCATAAGCATAGCACAGGAAGTTGGAAAATGTCATCATAGCATCATTTTGGTTTTGGTGGTGTCATTTCCTTCTAACAGCACTGGGTTTGTTTTTCTCCCCCATTACCAACTAGGTCACCACCAAATCAAGCAAGGGACCTGTGAGGTGGTCGCCGTGCACAGGTGCTGCAATAAGAACCGCATAGAAGAGCGGTCACAAACGGTCAAGTGCTCTTGCTTCCCGGGACAGGTGGCGGGCACAACTCGGGCTCAACCTTCTTGTGTTGAAGGTAAGACCTCTCTGGTCAGCATCTCTGGTATTTCAAAAAGGCCAAAACCCACCAGGAATTTCCCTACTTTACTGTCTTTGCAACCCAAAGAAACCTAGGGTTGCTTTGAGATCAGTGTCAATCCAAAAATGTACATAAATACAACTCCAAAAATGTCTTGATGGTAAGATATGCCTTCAATAATGTCCCACAAGGGGTACCAATGGGGAGTTATATTATAGGGCAGTTGGGAAGATGTGCTTCAATTCCTTTTACCCACCTGTCTCCAAATCTCACTCACCAAAGCAATTGTTTCCTCTGATGCCCTGTTCTCCTTCCTCTTATGCTCTCTACTCAAAATTAGCAGCATGACTTTCTCACTTCATGCTTGGTGTTATATGTTAGTATCCTGTCTTTTATTTCTAGTTTATCATTTTAACAGACATTTATAGGACAGTCTCTTTGGAACAACTTCCCTGGGAATAGTTTGGAATCATGTATCGTTCATTTGTAATCTCCAAATCCCCTAGCAGAGTGCTGTGCCAATAGTTAAAAAATATATATGAATGTTGATGGTTGTAGGTGGAGGCCTGGGATTGATTTCTTTTGATACCCCTGGCTTCTTCCAGCAGACGCCGTGTTAGAAACAAGTGTCAGTCCCCAGGGGAACAAATACATGGGGTTAGTCCTGTAGCAGTTGCTCTGCAGTGTCACGAAACCTCCCTGAAAATGAACATTTCCTGTCTCATTTGATGCATGTCTAAAGGTCAGCAGTTAAAACACACACACATTCTTAACTCCAGATCATATTGCACAGTGAACAAGAACGGCTGATTTACCTGCATCCCATTCCCCCTACCAAACACACATATAGACATACACAACTATATGGGCTCTGTGGTTACAGTGGTATACATCAGCACCATCTGAGCCACCTTTAAAACAGGAAAGTGAAAGTGGAAATTTTCCACCTACAGTTCTTTATCAGAAACTTTGGGGGCCAAATGTGTTGCTGAATTCAGACTTTGCTCATATTTTATGTGGGTAACATAGTAAATATACCATCTATTACCTTACAGACCTACTGTACTCTCCACTTGCACCCCATAATCATAGAAATATTACTATATCTGCAGTGAAATGTATGAATATTCATGCAGCATGGGATAAGGCTGGATAAAGAACTTCATGTTAATTCAAGTCAGGTTTTGCTGTCATCTTACAGAAAACCTTTCAATTTCCAAAGCTTTTTGGATTTGGGGATTATTGATAAAGGATTGTCAACCTATTAAAAAAAGATGAAGATCTTTAACATTTAAAAAATGGCATTTAAAAGAAATATGCTGAGTCTGTATATCTCCAGCTGGGGAAGTCTAATGTATTTATCATCTCTATTAATTGAATCCAAATCACATCACAACCATTCTTTCTGCTGGCTGTCTCTCAAATCAGCCCACTTTTCTCCATCCCCACTGCTACGTCCACAGTCTAGGGGCCACCCTTAGATCTTGCTGAGTGTGCCACACCTCTCCTTCCGCTTTCAGTCCTCTACCCAGAATGATCTACACAAACAGAATGGATTATGTCACTCCCATACTGAAAACCACACTTTAGTGGCTTCCCACTCTCTTTAAGATA
The DNA here is from genome assembly GCF_000001405.40 of Homo sapiens. Lineage (NCBI taxonomy): Eukaryota > Metazoa > Chordata > Mammalia > Primates > Hominidae > Homo > Homo sapiens. The sequence goes on along the minus strand of NC_000003.12, from coordinate 68,751,245 downwards.
AACTCCAGGAGTTCTTTACCATGGCTTGCCGAGCCCTGCAAGATCTGTGTCTCAGTTCTCTTTCAAGTACTCTACCCTAGGCAATCCAGAGTTCTTCCCATTTCTTTTCATTTCTGCACATTACTAATTTATATCCCTTGCCTGAATCATTGCCCTCCTCCCCATGAGACACACCTGGTCTGCTTAATTCTTCTTATTCTCCTTTCAAATCTCTTGTAAGTTCTTGCAACACCCTGGATTTCCAGTTCATGACATTCATCCCATGTTATTGTAAAAACGTATGCCTTCCAGTTAGTATGTAAACAGCTTGTGGATGGGGATGTGGTCTCTTACTTTCATCTTTCCCCATTGGCTGGCCCACAAACAACTTTTAGTACAGTGGAGAATGGACTTTGCTAATCACAGATTGCTCTCTACAGACAATATGTTTGCTTGCCTCTGTAGGCCTTAAATGTCTTCTAACAAACTCTTTTTATATTGTCTAACCCAGAATAATGTTGTACAATATTCAAAGCACTTTTATTGGTACCTAAAAAGTACTGATAGGGCAGTGATGACTATTAGTATCTTTATCTTAGTAAAGAAAATGTGAATACCTTACCGCAAACTATCTTGTTTTAAATTGTATGTATGGGCAAATCCCCTTTGGCCACCACCCTAGAAGTAACTGCATTTATCTGTTTGGTCAATATATTTTTCTGTATATCTGTGTATTTGGAGATAGGTTTGTAGAAAACAGTGGTAGATTTCAATATGAGTGTGTGTTTTACACAAATGCTATCACATTGGATATTTCACGCATCCTGCTTTATTCCTATCAGTATTAGGTTGCAGAAATCTTTGTGTGCTGGTACATATTGATCTAACTGGGTGTTTTCAATTGCTCCATAGCATTCCATGTATGGATAGGCCATAATTATTTAGCCATTCGTCTTCCCTTTTAAAAATAATGATAGGGTCTTGCTCTGTCATCTAGGTTGGAGTGCAGTGGCATGATCATAACTCACTGCTGCCTTGAACTGCTGGGCTCAAGCAATCCTCCTACCTCTGCCTCCCAAAGTGTGGGGATTACAGGTGTGAGCCATTACACCTGGCCACCATTCCTTTATTGATGGACATTTTGATTGTGTTTATGGCAAAACAAACAGACTCTCAGGTTAACTAAATGGTTTCCCTAGTGTCACAGGATCAGTGATACGGACCAGTCCTGGAGCATCTGAGCAGAGTCTATGCAGTGCTGTCTACTAAAATGTTCTGTGATGATGCACATGTTCCCTCTCTATATATTTATGGACATAACCTGTGTAGATAGATATCTATATGTGATGATATATATGTCCAGTGTGGCTAGTAGCCATTAGCCACCCGTGGCTATGGAGCATTTGAAATGTGGCTAGTGTAAATTTAGATTTAATAGGGACTTGTGGCTTAAAGCTTCACATTGGAAAGTGCAGGTTATGCTTGATGTAAACATGTAACTTGAGTGTAACATTTGTGGTCAGAGAGTGCCAGTACCCTGAAAGGTGAGATTGTGTCTTTCAACTTGTGTCTCCTATACCTAACATTGTCTGGCAAACAGTCGGTGTTCAATAAATGTTTATTGGATCAAAGTCACTGAGAAGTGTAGGAAGTTTAAGCTTTGGTTGGGATGTATGTCTGATTTCATCTCTCTTTGATCTCTTCCTTATCTGAATATGTTTCCATTAGGGCTTTTTAGCTTTACCTGCTTAATCTTTATCCCATAATAATTATGCAGTATCATGCCCTAATTGGAATGTGAGAAGACCTATTCTCTGCTGATATGTTCCTCTTATCTGTCAATAAGAATAGAAAGGATCTAAAATATAAAATTTACCTGAATTTACATTTAAATTAAAACAAAGGCAAGAAGATGTTGGCATGGGGCACTAATTAATGCCGACATAGAAACTGGAATATCCTTTTGCATTTCTGTTAATCCACACCACAGATAATTATCTAGTGTTTTCATTGCTTTTCTATAAAACCATAGATTATATTATATAAACAGGGAAAATAATTAGCTGTTCCCCTTCTGCCAAACTTTTTTATCATAATTAACTTACGAAACCTCCCCTGAGTTATTGAAGTGGGTCTTTAATATACATTGGGGATTTGGGAGACGGGACAGGGAATTATTTGATCGTGAGACTGTGGTATGGGTCCTAAAACAGACAGCTATTCAGCTGGTAAGCATTCTTCTTTGTGAATCTTCGGCTGGCATATACAGGTCTGTTTTATGGTGGAAACTATATTCTACACATTTATGAAAATACTGCTCTATAGAGATAATGCTGAATGGTTTTATGATAAAATGAGACAAATGTGTAGTACAAGGAAGTTTATTTTGTCAAAATGGTTTCTAAATATTGGGTTTAAAAGACTAATAAAACAAAAGCTCAGAAATGGAAAGTAGTTACTTTTCAAAGCTATTTAAAAAATTTTTTGATGCCCCAATTTCTATCACTTTTTTTTTTTTTTTTTGAGACGGAGTCTCGCTTTTTCGCCCAGGCTGGAGTGCAGTGGCGTGCTCTCTGCTCACGGCAACCTCTGCCTCCCGGGTTCAAGTGTTTCTCCTGTCTCAGTCTCCCGAGTAGCTGGGACTACAGGTGCGTGCCACCATGCCTGGCTAATTTTTTTGTATTTTTAGTAGAGACGGGGGTCTCCCCATGTTAGCCAGGATGGTCTCGATCTCCTGACTTCGTGATCCACCCGCCTTGGCCTCCCAAAGTGCTGGGATTACAGGCATGAGCCACCGCACCCGGCCCACTTTTTCAAGATGTCAATTCACTTAGTTAAGAAGGAGAGTTACTGTGTGGACTGCAGACAAGTTTCATGGCTTTATGGGCTGTGTGATGAGACATAGGGTCTGTCTTTACAATGTGTTTTCACTGGGCTTGTTCTCCTTCCACTTAAAACGTATTTTTCTCAGTGCAGACACATGAATGACAGAGAGGATTTTGCCAAAACACTTTGGGAGTTGGGAGGATATGTATATTGCATACGTTGGTTCATTCATCATTTTAATTTGGCACCTTTGTGCCTGACCTGCCCTAGATGCCAGATGGAAGCATGATAAGGAGACTCAGGTCCTGGTTTCAAGGAACTCAGAGTTTACTAGTTCAGAGAAACAAAGTTTTATTAATGAAGGACTCAAAGGGAGAACAGAGAGGTGGTCAGGGATGCTGCCCCTTGAGAAGCAATGAGTCTGAATTTAGTAGGTAGAAGGATATGATGGTGGAGGGAGTCAGGGAACAAGGCAGCACGAAGCATATGAGAGTGAGTGGGGCTAACTCGGGAACTAGAAGTAGCTTGGTCTGGCTTGGAAAGGTAAAAGGACCCTTGATGTGAGAGGCCTTAGAATAAGTCAAATTTTAGGATTTAATTCCTGCCTTCTGGGAATTTGCGTTTTAAGAGAGTGTGCCAATAAAAAAGAGTATGAAGTATTATGAACAAAGTTTATATAAAGCACTGTAAGATTCCGGAGAAGGAGAAATGTGATGCCTAAATTTGACAGGTCACCTCGTCAGCATAGGTTTCATGGTGAGCTCACAATCAGTCAGGATTTGTGTGTGCGAGCATGCATGTGTGTGTATTAGTCTCACGCTGCTAATAAAGACATACCCGAGAATGGGTAATTTATAAAGCAAAAGAGGTTTAATGGACTCACAGTTCCACGTGGCTGGGGAGGCCTCACCATCGTGGTGTAAGGTGAAGGAGGAACAAAGGCATGTCTTACATGGCAGCAGGCAGGAGAGTGTGTGCAGGGGAACTGCCCTTTATAAAACCATCAGATCTTCTGAGATTTATTCACTATCACAAGAACAGCATGGGAAAAAAAAACCCACCCCCATGATTCAAATACCTTGCACCAGGTCCTCCCATGAAACATGGGGCTTGTATGAGCTACAATTCAAGATGAGATTTGGGTAGGGGCAGAGCCAAACCGTATCAGTGTGTGTGTTTGAGAGAGAGAGAGAGAAAACTCACAAGTGGGTGTGCAAAAACTTTAAATTCATGGAATTGCCCATGGTAGGGGCAGGAAGGAAGACATAAAATAGAGGTAGCATGGTGTTTATCATGGATTAGAATTATTTTCGTAAGTAAGAGCTTTGAGCAGGTCTGATGAACTAGCACAACCTCTCGTTTTGAGTTAGTATGCCTTCAAACTGTAGATCAGTTTCTCAACCAGGGGCGATTTTGCCCCCTTGGGGATATTTGACATTGTCTCAAGACAGCTGGGAGAGGGTGCTACTGGTGTGTAGCATGTAGAGGCCGGAAGTGCTGCCTTACATCTTACAATGTACAGGATTGACCGCCACGATAAAGAATTAACAAGGTCCAAATGTCAATGACACTGAGGTTGAGAAACCCTGACTTAGAGGTTCCCAAAGTATGTGGATATGCTTGTGTGGGTCTGCATTTAGTAGAGAGGACAAACGTAGATTCCAAAAGATCAGTGTATGTGTACTCATGCACTGACTCAGTATTCTGTGTACTTTGTGGAACTAACAATATTGTGTTACTTGCAGAATGTGTGAACAAGTAAGATTCCTTGTAAAAAAAATGGTTAGTGCTCTAACTACTGCTCTTATGCCTGTTAGCTGGGTCAAGTTGGTATGGCTTCTTTTCTTAACAAGAAATATAAAAGTTAATGGCTTAATTTTTAAAGAACACAGAATCTTGAAATAATAATAGGATTGAAATAACTGAAGACACAAAGTGTTAAAATCTTGGAGCATATTTTATAAAGCATATATTCTAGGAAGATGTTTTCTTAATTTTTCTGTTCATAGTTGCAGTAGAAACATACATTTTTCTTTAGAATATCTTTCACCATGTGTATTAGGGTTCTCTAGAGGGACGGGACTAATAGGATAGATGTATATATGAGATAGATGTATATATGAAGGGGAGTTTATTAGGAGTATTAACTCACACAGTAACAAGGTGAATTCCCACAAGTGGCTGTCTGCAAGCTGAGGAGCCGGGAAGCCAGTCCTAGACCCAAAACCTCAAAAGTAGGGAAGCCAACAGTGCAGCCTTCAGCCCATGGCTGAAGGCCTGAGAGCCCAGAGCCCCTGGGAAACCACTGGTGTAACTCCAAGAGTCCAAAAGCTGAAGAACTTGGAGTCTAATGTTTGAGGGCAGGAAGCATCCAGCACGGGAGAAAGATCTGCTCCTCTGCCTGCTTTTATCCTAGCTGTGCTGGCAGGTGATTAGATAGTGCCCACCCAGATTAAGGGTGGGTCTGCCTTTCCTTGTCTACTAACTCAAATGTTAATCTCCTTTGGCAACACCCTCACAGGCATACCCAGGAACAATACTTTGCATCCTTTAATCCAATCAAGTTGACACTTAATATTAACCATCACACCATGTAAATACAGCTAAACTAAATCAGCAAGTAAGAATCCAACTCATGAAAAGTGAGCATGTCCTTGGTTATTATAATTTGAAGTCTGGCTTATCTAAGTAACTGTATGAATACATAATTGTGTTCTGTTTAACCGAGTGATGTTTATTTGGGAAAAGAATACAAAATAAAACTCATTTTATACAATAGAGAGTAAGGAAAATGTACTAGAAGCAAAACAGCTAATTATCACATGAAATTTTCACCTCGACAACAGCATTATAGAATATAGCAGTTGCTACCACAAAACCAGGGAGGGCGTCACTGTCTTTTTATTTTTTTCTTTCTTTCTGCATAAAACTGGAAATTCATTACAGGTTGGCAGCTTGAAGACAGGGGTATTATGTGTTTTCATAAGTCAGGAAGCATGGGGCTTTTAAACGAATTTTATTTTAAAAATAGAAGTGACAAGACACTTTCTCATTTAAAGTGTATTATGATATTTTGTAACAGGAAAAAAATATCTATGCCTCCTACAAACTTATTTTCCTGTGGAGACAAGGCTCAGTAAAGTGGGCAGATGTTCTCACCAGTAACTTTAATAAAATCCTACTTCTGAGTCCTTTGTCCCTGCTAGTGAGGCTGAAGGTGCACTCGAAGCTTAAATTTCCTGGCTGTTTAATCACCTTATTCTCTGTCAGGTCGAGCCCTCAGTGGGTTCTTACCCTTGCTGTCAGTTTTTAGTCAATCCTTAACTCATAACGGAATTTGCAATGTGTCTTTTGATTATTGTGGTGTTTCCTTCTACGTCTGTCATTTCTGAGAGAGCACTTGCCATAAAGCCTTTCACAAAGAAACTCCATCATGGGTAACACTTTGACGAACAAGGGCACCTCACAATGTATTCTTCTGTGAGATGGGAAAATATATATATTTGCAAATAGGACTCCTTTACATTTCAGGGCAGCTTGCTATTTTAAGGAATCTGAGGCAAATCTGTTTTTAGAAGAAAGCATCACTCCATATTTTCCAATTAAACGAAAAACCTGGTAGATAATCTCATAAGAGTTCTGTCTTGGTCTTTCAGGTTTCCTTTTTAAATTTTTTAATTTAAATCCCTAAACACTAGGTAAATGCTGATTTTTTTTCCTGTAGTTAAGAAGTGGCATAGTGTTCTGTGATATACATCCGGATCCGTCATTTTTATTTCCCCCTCCAGCTCCTTTTCTAGGTTTTGGCATCAGAAGTACCTTGTGTCCCCATGGGTTCAGTAAGTAAGTGCTGACTGGAATTTATCTGCTGAAAGGTTGAGATTATCTGATTCATTGTTTTTCTCTGCAGGGAATTTATTCCGCAATTTCTCACTTCACTCCCACCTCAGTTGCTCTTCTGTTTTAGAGTTTGTTCTTCTCAAACTCTTCTGGCACCCAGTTTTGTCTACCTTATTGCACTACTTGGCTCAGACTCCTTCCCTGGCTGTCTGCTGCTGAGAGACCCAAGTCTAATCTTGAATTTTCCTCGAGAGCCCCTAATGGTTCCTTCCCAGACACCCTCCTAATCTGGGTGTCCAGGGCTTCCCTGACCATCTCTCACTTCAGCCACATGCGTCTGCTGGCTTCCAGGTGGAACCGTCACTGTCGCTCCTGTCTTCAGTTGTGGACCTCTGGCCACCTGTCAAGACTGCTTTTGAATCTTTCATGAAACTCTGATACCTTTCCAAAGTACACGGGTTCTCACTCCTGAGTGGAAGAAAGTTAGTCTGAGGAAGAGTTTTGAAGACAAAGTATTTTAAATTCAGCTCTAATTCTATGTAAATACAACTAAGCTCTGTCAACATTTATGTAACTTTTCTAGTCCTGCAGATGGTATTTTAAATTGAGGTCTGGGGGCCATCTCTTATTTATTTTTATATCCACTTGGAACCAATCTGTGGTATTCAGACAAGAATGAGTGGTCAACACTATGAGTATAGTAAAACTCTATGTAGAACTTCCTAATCTAAAATATTATTGAAAATTGTGTTACAGTAGAAAGACTACTGGATAGAGAAGAAGAAAATCTAGATTCTAGTACCACCCTCCACCCCTTTACTAACTCTGAGGGAAGCTCTGGTTTTTATCTGTGGTACCATCTGGCTCCCCTTTCTGGCTTCTGAAGGTTGTTGGGACAATCAAAAGAGGAACAGTAAGTAGAAGTGCTTTGAAAGTGACACAGCTCCATGAAGCTGCAAGGGGAAATTGTTATGATATTTGAGGCTGCAAAGAATATAACTTAACTTTTTCTTTTTTTTTTTTTTGAGACAGAGTCTTGCTCTGTCACCCAGGCTGGAATGCAGTGGCGCGATCTCGGCTCACTGCAACCTCTGCCTCCCGGGCTCAAGTGATTCTTCTGCCTCAGCCTCCTGAGTAGCTGGAACTACAGGTGCACACCACCATGCCCAGTGAATGTTCGCATTTTTAGTAGAGGCGGGGTTTCATCACGTTGGCTAGGCTGGTCTTGAACTCTTGACCTCAAGTGATCTGCCCACCTAGGCCTTCCAAAGTGCTGGGATTACAGGTGTGAGGTACCATGCCTGGCCAAGAATATAACTTTATTAGGTTTTACCTGCTATGTACATCCATCCCAGTTTAGTGGCAGTCTCTGGCACAATAAATAACCAATTTGGCTAGATTCCTTTCTTGGTGTTGGCAATGCCTGATTTAAATAACAAGTGGTTACCCTAGATCACAAATCCACCTGACTTAGGTACTATTTGTTTTGATGGATATCACTAGATAGTAGCTCAGTATATTCGGCCAGAATCGGGTACAATGTGGCCACTTGTGGAGAAGATTCTACAATGTCTGGCCCCTTCAGTGGATAATGAAATTGTCCCGTGCTCTCATCATGCCACATAGTGTTTGTCTGGGGAACTGTTTGAATGCACTGGCTGCCTCCTTCCATACAAGGATTTGTTTCTAGTAGATGCATAAGGGAGGGAGGTATGAATATAAGCGTTAGCACTTGGGCTCTAGCATTAGACTGCCTCTCTTCAAGAGCTTGTTTGACTGTTTTCAGACTCTGTGACCTTGCCCTAGTCACTTAAGGCCCCTGGACCTCAGTTTTTTCATTTCGATGAAGTACAAGATAATGTTTTTAAAAATATTTTTTATTTCAAAAGGTTTTGGGGAACAAGTGGTTTTCTATTACATGGGTAAGTTCTTTAGTGGTAATTTGAGATAGGTGAGGGGTGCACCAATGAGCGGTATACACTGTACCTCATGTGTAGTCTTTTATCCCTCACCTCCCTGCCCTGAAAAATAATTTTTAACCTCAGGTTTGTAGTGAGGTTTAAATTAGAAAATGCAGGAAGGAAATTAGCCGGGTGCCTGGCCCTCAATAAAAAGTAGCTGTTAGGATTTGTAAAGCTTTGTTTGAACTAGAGTTTCTGACTTCACAGGCAGCATAGTTTGAGTCAAACCTGTCAGGAAAGTCTTCAGGGCTTCCTATATATAAGACTGTGTTGCCTGCAGAGAAAATTTAACTTCTTCCTTTCTAATTTAAGTACCTTTTTTATTTTTTTCTTGCCTGCTTGCTCTAAGACTTTTGGTACTCTATTGAATAGAAATGGTGAGCGTAGATATCCATGTCTTGTCGTATATGACCTTTATAATGTTGAAGTACATTCCTTCTGTATAAAATTATCTTTGTTGAGAGTTTTTATCATAAAGGGATGTTGAATTTGGTCAAATGATTTTTCTGCAGGAGATGACCATATGATTTTTATCCTTCATTCTGTTAATGTGGTGTATCACATTTATTGATTAAGCATTCTTGCAGCCCAAGGATAAATCCCATTTAATCATAGTGGAGGATCCTCTTAATGTGATGTTCAATTCAGTTTGCTAGTGTTTTGTTGAGGATTTTTGATGTATGTTTATCAAGGATATTGGCCTATAATTTTCTTTTTTGTAGTGTCCTAATCTGGCTTTGGCATGAAGGTAATGCCGGCGTTATTAAATGAGTTTGGAAGTGTTCTCTCTTCTTCGATTCTTTGGAAGAGAAAGTGGAGAGTTTTTATTTTTATTTTTATTTTTTTTTGAGATGGAGTCTTGCTCTGTCACCCAGGCTGGAATGCACTGGCGTGATCTCAGCTCACTGCAAGCTCCACCTCCCGGGTTCACACCATTCTCCTGCCTCAGCCTCCTAAGTAGCTTGGGACTACAAGCACCGGCCACCACGCCTGGCTTTTTTTTATTTTTAGTACAGATGGGGTTTCACATTGTTATCCAGGATGGTCTCGATCTCCTGACCTCATGATCTGCCTGCCTGGACCTCCCAAAGTGCTGGGATTACAGGCATGAGTCACGGCACCCGGCCAAGTTCTTCTTTAAATACCAGGTACTAATAAATTCAGTAAAGCTGCAGAATACAAAATCTACATCCAAAACTCAGTCGCATTTCTCTAGCAATGAACAATCCAAGAAATTAAGGAAGCAATCCTATTTTTATAATAGCATCAAAAAATATAAAACACTTAAGAATCAATTTAACCAAGGAGGTAAAAAAATCAGTACACTAAAAACTGTAAGACATTAATGAAAGAAACAGAACAATATCCTGTGTTCGTGGATTGGAAAAATATTGTTAAAATGTCCATACTCTCCAAAGCAATCTACAGATACAATCCCTAACAAAATTCCAGTGGCATTTTCCACAAAGATAGAAAAACAGTCCTAAAATTCATATAGAACCACAAAAGACCCCAAATAGCTAAAGCAATTTTGAAAAAGAAGAACAGAGTTGGAGGCACACAGCCCGATTCCAATTATATTACAAAGCTATAGTTACCAAAACAGTATGGCACTGGCATAAAAATAAATAGACATGTAGACCCATGGAACAGAATAGACAACTCAGAAATAAATCCATTCATTTATAGTTGACTAGTCTTTGACAGGGTGACAAGACTACACAATGGGGAAAGGATAGTCTCTTCAATAAAGGGTGCTGGGAAAATTAGATATTCCCATGCAAAAGAATGAAGTTAGACCTGTGACTTAAACCACATGGAAAAGTTAACTTGAAAAGGATGTAAATGTAATCTGTGAAGTGAAACTATGAAACTCCTAGAAGAAAACATAGGGAAAAAGGTCCTTGATATTGATCTTAGATGTTTTGGTTATGACACCAAAAGTACAGGCAACAAAAGCAAAAATAAACAATTGGGACTACATCAAATGAAAAAGCAGCCTAGAGAATGGTAGAAAATATTTGCAAGCCATATATCTGATAAGGAGTTAAGATCCAAAATATAAAAGAAACCTACCTGCTCAAGTGCCAAAAATTAATACCCTAATTAAAAAGTAGGAAAAGGAGCTGAATTGATATTTTTCCAAGGAAGACATACAAATGACTAACAGGCATATGAAAAGGTGAAGGAATGCCAGGCCCTCCCATGTTCCTGTGGCTTCTTGTAATTGACTTTAAGTGGTTGCTGTCCACTCACTAGAATGGCATGGAGAGATGAATACCATGTATGATGGAAATTTTTAGTGCTTTTAGTTTTTCCTATTGACAGCATCAAACTTAAGAACCAGTTGCAATACCATTGTAACCTGCAATCAAAGATGATGACCATATTAACAGCTGACATTTTCTGAGACTATTGTGACTGGCTCAAAGTCAGCAAAGACTTTCACACGTGGATTAACTTTATCCTCTTAACATCCTGGGGTGAGGATCTACTTTTCAAATGAAGAAACTGACACTAAGAGAAGTCCGAGAACTAGTGTAATCTAGACAATGGCACAGTCAGATTCAAACCCAGGCAAGCCCACCACAAAGCCTGAGATCTCACCAGCTATATTTTACAATTGGGCAGTCCACTGCAAAAGTGATCTGTTTTATATTTGTATAAATTTAAGGGTACATAGTGGTGAAGTCTGGGCTTTTAGTGTAGCCATCACCCAAATAGTGTACTTTGTACCCCTTAAGTAACTTCTCGTCCTTCCCACCCTTCCAAGTCTCCAATTTCTGTTGTTCCATGACTCTATGTCTCTGTGTACACATTATTCAGCTCTCATTTATAAGTGAGAAAATGACTGACTTTTGACTTTGTTTCTGGGTTATTTCACTTAAGATAATGATCTCCAGTTCCATCCATGGTGCTGTAAAAGACAGGATTTCATTCTCTTCTGTGGCTCAGTAGTATTTGATAGCATATCTATACCACATTTTCTTTATCCCGTCCTCCATTGATGGACACATGTTGTTTCCATGACTTTGCTATTTATTACTAGTGCTGTGATAAACATATGAGTGCAGGTGTCTTTTTGATATAACAGTCTCTTTTCCAGGGGTGGGATTGCTGGATTCAGTGGTTGATTTTTAGTTCTTTGAGAAATCTCCATACTGTTTTCCATAGAGGTTGTACTAATTTACCTTCACAGCAACAGTGTATAAGCATTCCCTTTTCTCTGCGTTCTCACCAACATCTGTTGCTTTTAAAATTTTTAATAAAAAAATGAAATATTTTGTAGAGTATATGCCTGATTGGATTCCTTCAATTTACCAACCGTAAATTTAATAGCAATCTTTGAACTCAGTGTACTACTCTGTATTGAGTTTTATTTTGTCCATCTTTGGAGGAAGAAACAGTGTCACAAATATTATTTGGCCTTTGTTTTCCAGCTTCCATTGTGATTCAGAAATGGTGGTGTCACATGAATCCGTGTTTGGAAGGAGAGGATTGTAAAGTGCTGCCAGATTACTCAGGTTGGTCCTGTAGCAGTGGCAATAAAGTCAAAACTACGAAGGCAAGTATAGACAAAATGCAACTACAATTTACAAGTTATCAACTGTGGGGCTTTCTCCCCTTGATTTTATTCTGCCATCAAGAACACATTATTATGTGTTAATAAACCTGCTTGGGCAGTGCTACCTTACGGATTTGGCCTTTTTGAAAAGCGCATTTCCCGGCATCATTCTGTGTGTCAGATTTTATAGAACAGTGATTTGGTGGGAGAATTCATTATTTTAGGCAGGGCTACTAAATTCATTTCAGCTTCTTCACAAGCCCGATTTAAAGTAAAGGTTTCAGAGTCGACAGGCCAATGTATCAAAACACCATGACAAGAATCCACATCCAGATGATTTACTCAAGTAGAAATACCTATTGCTTTAAAGGAGATTTAATGGTTGGAGATTCTTATTCAAGACTTAGAAGCCAACGCTTTTCTCCCCAAGTGGTCGTCTTTTCAATTCTCACTGTTGCTGAAGAACACCATTGTCTACCCAGTCCTCCAGCCAGAAACCTACCTTCTTCCTATGTTCAGTTGGTTACATTGTCCTTAGGATTTTTACTACCCAACTTTTCCATGATTCTTCAACACTGTGCTTACTCCTCTTGTCCAATCTGCCATCTCATATGGAGATGAATCTAGACTGCTAGACTGCTGCCTTCCAGTCTGGTCCCTACACAGTGACTACAATAATTTTGTAAAATGCACATCCTCTAAGCTAGTCCACCTCAAAATATTCCACTGGCACCCTCTGGTGATTGGTCCACTAGCCTCTGCCTGGTCCTTAATGTGTAACATGGCCAAACCACCTCCGCTTCCTTCTTGCTGCTCTAAACATCCTGGCCTTTTGTCAGTCCCTCTTACCCTGGTCCTTTGGCATGGGCTGTTCCCTCTTCATAGAATATGTTTCCCTCCTTTCTTTTCTGGCTAATCATCATTTTTTCGGGGACTTCTTTCCTGATTGAATTCAGGCTCCCTGTATCTCTGAGCATTTATTATGGTTACATTTTACATAGATTGCTATCCATATTTTGCTTAATACCTAGAGCTTTCTGTCTGGTGGGAGAGCTTTGATGTTGGGCCCTGGCTTTGTTTTTGCTTTCCCTGCTAGTCCCAGAGCCAGATGAATGCCTTGGTAACTATTTCTTGAATGAAAAATGACATGACCAAGGTCATTCTAAGATCATTAGAGCTGGACATACTGGAATGGAGTGAGTCTTTGGTTCTCATTGCTATTGAGCTTTGATCCCTTAGGAAGTACATACAGTGAATGGCTTCTTGCCTTTCTTATGTCGTCCCCTTTATGAATACTTTGAATGAGAACTCTTAAGTGTTTAGTAATTCATCTTCAGCCATGGAGGTCAAAAACAGGCCAGTTCTCCTTCTAAGTGTGAACTTGAACTTATACATTAAGATTTTGTAAAATATATTAAAATATAAAGATATTAAGTCTAAAACAAAATAGAAAATATGATTCTACAATACATTTTAAATGGGAACTTTAGCTGATATTATACCCCAGATTATCAATGGAATAGTTGTCGGTTGATTCTCTAGGTAAAACCAGACCATTTTCAACGTGAATTGCGGTTGTCAACTAACTTATCCTTGTTAGTGATACTGAGATGACTGGGATAACGATCTGATATCTGCTTTTATGTCCAGAGCAGCAGAAGTCCATGGAGTCATTTACTGGTGGTGCAAGGAGGTCAACACTCGTATCATTCTAAGCCATTCCCAATAAATTTCCATGCTATATAGACTCAGCGTGCTTGCTAAGCAAACCCTGCCTTAAGATAATTTCCCTATCTTTCCCTTGTCCCATTTCAGCTATTTTTTCCTAATTCCTTCCTAAGTGAAAATCTTGGAGTAGCCCACGAATTAGGGTATTACATCCATCAGTGTATTTCTTGTAGGCTAAGGAATAATATTTTGGAAGATTATATTTGTATTGATTTTTATATATAAATATAAAACAAGATCATGAGCAAAAGCCAACTGTAGTTCTCTTGGTAGAACGGCTTTCTATTTATGTGTAGTTAGAAAAGGCATTTGCAGGAAGCAAACCTTTAGGGGCATTTTGGCTCTGTGCTGGGAATGTAAGTTTGCTGTAGCTAAATCCTCAATGGTAGTGACATTTCATTTAGCACTTCGAAAAGTTGTAGAAAGATAATACAGTTCCCCAAGCCATCATGATACTTGGGCTGCTTTTTTAGTGATATGTCACTTGAGAATAATCTTGAAGTCATAAAACTTTGTTTCCTTTATTAATCTAAGTCAGTGTGACTTGAACTGCATAAAACATTTTATGTCTTTTATGGATCTTATGCACATAGAGTAAATTCATTTGTGGATCTGTGACTAGCTTCCAGTAGTATCTTTTTCTTAAAATTGTTACTGACCTTACACCACAGGTAAGACAGAGGTCCTAGAAAAGCAGAGCAATTGTCTCCCTAGAGGACGTATTAACTAAACTGTATAACAATAATAGTTTCCATTTTCTTTAAATAGTTCATGCACAGCAGCATCAAAACACAGAAAAGCTAAAGGTAAGATGGTCTCCAGTAAGTCAGCTATGTCAGAATTTTATTTTCCATTTAAATGCAAATATGAAAATAGTTGGCAGTTAACTTGAATATTAATAGCTTTAGATGAAGATATGAAAAGAGAGAGGATAATTCCCTAACTAGTTATCTTTTCCAGGTATAAAATATTGGCACTGAGTTTACTCTGCCGACAGTTTTCAGTGTCTCTAGAGGGGATGCAGCTACTGCTTCTTTTGGGAAAATATGACTCTCTCTGTGGACCTGCCTTAATTTTTTTTTTTCTTAATTGAAATCTGGGTTTTGCTGCATTCGGTGAGCTAAAGAGTTTTTTACTATCTGGGGTTGCCATTTTAAGCCTTCTAACAAGGGTATGATATCTTCTTAGCAACGAAGCCAAGCATTTGCCGTATCTTGTTTGTGAGCAGAAGCAAATCACTTTGAATCTTAAGACATTTTAGACTTTTTAATGTTCTTATTTTTGAATCCTCTACTAAGGGTGAAAAGCTATGTCTTTAGAGTAGCAGTTCTCAACCAGAGACAATTTTGCCCCTGAGTAGACATTTGGCAATGTCTCGGATATTTCTGGTCATCACACATTGTGAGGATGCTACTGGCATCTTGTGGGTAGAGGCCAGGGATGCTACTAAACATCCTACAAAGCACAGACAGCTTCTACAACAATTATTTGACCCCAAATGTCAATAGTATGAAGGTTGAAAAGCTGCTTTAAAGAATAGTATATTTTTTTCAGTAGCTCTTTGCAAACTTCCTACTTGATTCTTTTACTTCATTTTGTTTTTCAAAGTTTCTATTGTCTAAATATTTCCAATATTTCATATTGGAAAATTTGTACAGAATGGAAGCAACAGTTTTGTCTTCAGTATCTTCCTCAAATGGCTCTCTAATCTGCCTGTCCCTTAGGCCATCACCATGGGTCATTGTCAATATAATAATAATTTAATGCTATCATGGGAACGTGTAAAAAACACAGTTTTGAACTCTACCTCTAGGATATTCTGGTGTAGTAAGTCTGGGATAGGGCTTAGAAAACCACGCTTTTAAAAAAGTTGTTCTTAGGGTGATTGTGATCAACAGGCAGTATGAGGGAACCATTAGTCTAACTGAGCTCTCTACCTGTTCTCACCTTTAATTGGCTTATACCTTGCTTTCTCTGCATCAAAGGTAAGCTCCCTGCCCAGGTTCCCTCCCTGTTGAGAGAACATCAATGGATCCCCATTGGAAACTGATGCAAAATACAGATTATAAGCATCTTAAATGGGCCTTCACTGCCAATCATTGTACAGGCCATGTATTTCCCCATACCATTGCTGCCTCCTTTTTCCACTTGCCCTTCTAAAATTCCACTTGTCTTTTAATGTCCAGCTCAGATGACTCCTTTACCCTCAAGTTTTGTCTTCCCTGATCTCTATAGTCAGACTTGAAATGCTCAGGGTACCCTGATGAATGGGAATAGAGCTAATATTGGCATCTTAGTAGCCTTGTATCCGTCAAAATTCAGAAGTAGCAATGAATCTTCCACATGTAATCAGTACAATAATAATTTTAAAGGAAAATAAGTCTGAGAGCATTTTATCATCCAACTTCAGTGAAGTTGTCCAAAATGAGCTGGGCATAGGGAATAAGTTGCCTCAAAGAAGATGCTTTTGACAATTACATCCCGGATGTAGACTGATAGATCCAGAAAGAGCTAACATCACAATAGCCACCATTCCCTGAGTACAAACCATGTGTCAACCACTGGGCTGTGTCATTCAAGTCACATATTTTATTTACTCTTTGACGGGGGCAGGTACTATTATCTCTATTTTGCAGATGAAGAAACTAAGGCAAAGGGAGACAATCTCTACCCCATCACAGAACATGGCCAACTCCATCATTCAGTTGCTCAAGCCAAAGATCTTGGAATTGTCCTTGATTCCTCTTTCTCTTACATCTTTGTTCTATTTGTCACAACTCTTTAAGTTGACAGTTCAGTCTTGCCATGCATTCCTCATCTCTTCCTTGAACCTCAGAAAAAGGCCAAAGTCCTTGCATTTAACTCTTCCTCTCCTCCTTCAACCTTCCTTGACATCCTGTATAGAAGAGCGGCCCTCTACCCTCCCTGCCTCAGCCTTTCTTTCCTGTATCGTACTACCTTACTTTTCTCCATTGCCCATATTATTAATTTTACCTGTTTATCCAACCTCTTCCTCTGGAATAGGGATCAGCAAACTGTGGCTTACAGGCCAAATCCAGCCCTTGGCCTGCTTTTGTATGGGCCATGAGCTAAGACTGGGTTTTACATTTTTAAGTACTTGGAAAAAATCAAAAACAGAATATTTCAGAATGCATGAAGATTATATGAAATTCAGATTTTACCATCTATACATAAAGTCTGGAACAAAGCAATGCCCATTCATTTATTTATTGTCTATGGCTACTTTTGTGAATGAAATAAAGGCAGAGTTAAGTAGTTGCTATAGTGACTGTATGGCCTGCAGAGCTGAAAATATTTACCATATTGAGTCCTTTCCAGTAAAAGTTTTCCAGTCCCTGCACTAGAAGGTAAGCTCCATGGGGGCAGGGTTTTTGTTTAGTTTGCTGTAGTTACCCAGCACAAACAAAAGGGGAGTAATACTGTTGAGTACATAAAGGCCAGATGTCAGTTAATAGCAACGCTGAGGTTTGCATACATAGCTGATTGGGTCTAAAGCCTGGGTATGGTGACTATACTATCAAATAATTTGCTTTGAAAAAATATTTTTGTGGTGTAGGCATGTTAAAGTCTTATGCTTTTTTTTCCACCTGTGCTGGTATATTGACTAACAAACACGTAAAATTTCTTACATGAATAGAAACTGCTGTTCAATTTTCTTAGATCACAAGCAATGAGCCTGGATGTCTGAAAAATACAACCACTACCTTTTTAATGGATAATACAGCAGTTTTATAAAATAACCTATTTTCAAAAGTGAAAGTTAACTGCATAAAAAATAACATAAAAAAGGCAACATTTTTATCTTGACATGCACTGATTTTAATCAACCATTTATTTGAAAAAATTCTAGTGCCATTAACAAAGCATGCTCAGCATGCATGAACTGATGGGCGATGAGTGTACCTAATCAGATGGGATTTTTATAACCTCACAAATACAAAGCCAGACTGCATAATACCCTCTTATGGAAGTCTTTGTGCATGTATTCTTTATATTTCTTGCTTTTAGGCTGCAAAGCAGAATTTGAACTGTTGATTTGGTGAGGTCGGTTATAGGTAAATGTACAAACTGATAAAGTATTCACAGTCAGGACCTTATTGGTCTCGGGGGCAGGAATGGTTATTTCGGTGGGTATAGAGTGTTGAATGTTCCCTTATTTTGATTTGTTTTAGGTAACGCGGTAGCGAAGAGAGAGGTGTGCTTCAATCCTGGAGGGGCAGCAGGAGGCGGAGCTCTTTTGCTTGGATTCCCATCATGGCCCCTTTGCAGAAAATTGTCTAGGATTTCAGCAACTTCATATTTGTATATGTGAGCTGTGAGAGGTGGCATTCACTTAACTGGCCCAGCCCTCTCTGCTTCGTGATTTTATTTCATTGAATTATAACCACAAGCCACCACCCATTTGACATCCTCTCTGGATTCCCAAGGAGCATACCTCCAAAATCCGAGAAGAGCAAATCAGAGTCTTCAAAATGGATCACCACTAAGGGCATGTTCATTCTTCACTTTCTTTCTGCTTTTACAAAAGAACTTGGATGTATGTTCCAAAGGGTCCTCATTCTGTTCCTCTTTTGAACTTTTCCTTTTGTCCTTGTATTAAAGTGGTTTTAAAGGGGTCTAAAAAGATTTTGGCAAAACATATTTGCAGATGTAGATTAGCTGGTGAAGAAAATTACTGCTAGAGATCAACTGATTAACTGGTAAAGAACGTTTATTTTATAACCCTTGAAGAATAGAAGGACATAGTTGGATTATTGTGTGTGCATTGTATTTTTACTTCTATTTTTTTTTTGCTTTCCATTTTCCAGTTAGCAGAGATAAAATGAGAGCGTTTTAACTTCAATGTACCATTTTACTGAGTGCTAAGGAAGCATATCAATTCCAATATTTTATAACCAAAGCTCTATCAGAACATATTTATAAAACTTGTTGGAATTTTTACGGCTTTTGTGTAGTCATGTAGGTAAATCATTTAAAATATAAAACAATCTCAATTTAGATCAAGGGTTATTTCTTAGATCAAATTTATGCCAATTATATGAAAAGATTTTAACTCCGAGACAGGAGTCTTTCAGTGCTGAATTTTTAGACTGTAAATGAGTTCTTCTTAACTTAGCTGTTTCCCTACTTCTGTGACTTCTGTGTTAGCCATCTTATTTCTTTAAAATCTGAGTCCTGATTGGCTTAATGATTTTGCAGCAGACATGTCTCCACATATTCTCAAATGCTGTCATGCGGAAACGTATGAAACAGATGAAGAATGACTGACCCAGATTTTAGATGTATAATGTTGTTAAAGTACATACTACTGTAAAAATATGGGATGAATTTTATATATTAAGAAATGCCAAAAACATAGTTTCTGCACCAAGTTAATTATCCCTGTCCTTTCACATTTATAGGGGGAAAATAAATACTTTAATGTTGTTTATAGCCTAACAGTTATTTGATTTTATTCTTGCAGAGGGAATGGAAAGGAATGGAAAGATTTGTTGGCGTAATTTTTGAATATTTGTTATGATCATATGAATAAGTAAAAAAATTCATCCTGCTGATGGCATACATGTTTTTGTGATTATTATATGCCTTAAGACTTTGTGTTAACATCCTACCTAGGCTTACACATTTTAAACGTGAAAAACTCCTTTTAAAAATAACACTTAACTTTAGGGATGTTGAACTATATGGCAAAGTTGGCACATACATTTGGGTAGCTTAGTTTCTTCTCCCAAACCTATGTAGCATTAAGCTTAGGCACACTCATGATGTTTTACGCATACTTTGCTCCCTTTAGTATTGAGTTAAATATATATATATATATTTAACTATGTATTTAAATATATATATGGAAATTTTATGGTACATGAAACAGTGGCTTGACAGTACTTCACCTTAAGGTACATCTCTGGTGAGTAAACCACTTCCAGGGAATCAGTGGTCCATTTGGGAAAATGGCAGGCCTCAAAGCTGCCATTTCATCCATTGTTGTTTCAAAGTGTACTTTTTTACTTCAAAAGTAAGGCCTGAAATGGGGCTTGCTTTGAGAAGTATTTTAATGTTATCATTCCCATTCCTTTCCTGTAGGGAAATAGGTATGAGAATGTTTGGTATTTTTGCAGAATTTAAAACAAACAAACATACCAGGACAGTTTTGAGGCTGTTGGTCACAGCATGTTAGGACTCTGACTGGCACATGTAGTCCCAACACCTGAGAAACCTTTGCCGCTTGTATCTGTGTGGACACAGCCAAAGTCTCCGTAAAGGAACAGTACCTAGATTTTTCTCTCTCTCCCTCATGTCCGGATGTGCTGCTCCAAACCATGTACCCCTTTGCCTTCATTTCCACATTGGAAAGGTGGAACTCTGTTAATAAATTACATTTAAGGAGGCTCTACAAGACTGTTCAGAGTTATTGGCAAAATTCTCTATCCCTCTACAAACCTATTTTTCTACTCAATTTGGGAGACCTTTATGAGTATTTCCATTTCATAGAGGAGAATTTAAGACCTACAAGATATTAGACCGACCCAAACTCACACAGGGAGTTATTACTGGAAATTATACAATGAGGGTCATGATAAGATAGAGAAAATTCTAGATTTATTTTTGTCTGAGAGTACTTTTAAAATACTATTCTGTATTCTAGGTGTCCGGGTGATGGGCTAGCCTTAAATCTGTAGCCAGATTCTGTTTGCATCCAGCACCTGCGCTCTTTGCCACTATCCCAACGTCAACAAAGTGATGAAGAATATCATCATGTTGCTACCCATTTTTAAAAAAATGGATGCCTTCCTTACACCTTATACAAAAATTAATTAATTCAAGATGGATTAAAGACTTACATGTTAGATCTAAAACCATAAAAACCCTAGAAGAAAACCTAGGCAATACCATTCAGGACATAGGCATGGGCAAGGACTTCATGTCTAAAACACCAAAGCAATGGCAACAAAAGCCAAAATTGACAAATGGGATCTCATTAAACTAAAGAGCTTCTGCACAGCAAAAGAAACTACCATCAGAGTGAACAGGCAACTTACTTACAGAATGGGAGAAAATTTTTGTAATCTACTCATCTGACAAAGGGCTAATATCCAGAATCTACAAAGAACTCAAGCAAATTTACAAGAAACAAACAACCCACCCCATCAACAAGTGGGCAAAGCATATGAACAGACACTTCTCAAACGAAGACATTTATGCAGCCAAAACACACATGAAAAAATGCTCATCATCACTGGCCATCAGAGAAATGCAAATCAAAACCATAATGAGATACCATCTCACACCAGTTAGAATGGCAATCATTAAAAAGTCAGGAAACAACAGGTGCTGGAGAGGATGTGGAGAAATAGGAACACTTTGACACTGTTGGTGGGACTGTAAACTAGTTCAACCATTGTGGAAGTCAGTGTGGCGATTCCTCAGGGATCTAGATCTGGAAATACCATTTGACCCAGCCATCCCATTACTGGGTATATACCCAAAGGAGTATAAATCATGCTGCTATAAAGACACATGCACACGTATGTTTATTGCATCACTATTCACAACAGCAAAGACTTGGAACCAACCCAAATGTCCAACAATGATAGACTGGATTAAGAAAATGTGTCACATATATACCATGGAATACTATGCAGCCATAAAAAAGGATGCATTCATGTCCTTTGTAGGGACATGGATGAAGCTGGAAACCATCATTCTCAGCAAACTATCGCAAGGACAAAAAACCAAACACCGCATGTTCTCACTCATAGGTGGGAATTGAACAATGAGAACACTTGGACACAGGAAGGGGAACATCACACCCCGGGGCCTGTTGTGGGGTGGGGAGAGGGGGGAGGGAAAGCATTCAGAGATATTCCTAATGTAAATGATGAGTTAATGGGTGCAGCACACCAACATGGCACATGTATACATATGTAACAAACCTGCACATTGTGCACATGTACCCTAAAACAAAGTATAATTTAAAAAAACTTAAAATTTTAAAATTGGGTAAAATAATCATAACAGAATTTCTGCTTGAGTTTAAAAGAATATTTGTATTTTAAAAGATTTATTTAAAGGAAACCTGGCCAGGAACAACACTAAAAATATTAAACTGCTCTGTAGTTGGTCTTGGACTATAAGCTGCCTGTAAGTTACATATACCACTGTGCTCATTGGCAGATCACCAGCCCCTCCTCATGCCAGAGGCTACCTGAGAGTGTAACTGAGCAGTCTAGCTTGAAAATGCACTTTTAAACTTCTTTCCCCTCCTTTCTTTCCAGTCTCAAGATGTAACCCCAAAATAAACTGTAGAAACTTTTCCTTAGTCTTAAAATATAGCCTCAAAACATACTTTGAAACTCCATTCCCTTCCCTTTCCCACTATGCACTCCTTCTTTCCCCCATGCACATTTATCTAACTGTATGCTTTTATCTAATTATGTGCTTACTTAGAAGTTCCAGGGGCTAATGTTGAGACAGACCAAGCATGGAGACCCAGCTGCAAAATTCCAGACATTACCTCAAGGGTGGTTAGTCCACACCCCAGCCGCTTTAAGATGACAGCCGCCCATGCTCCTGGTAGACAATAGTTCTAGATAGCCACCAGAAGAAGACACGTGGACCTTGTATTCAGCACCATTCCCCCATGCCTCCCATTCCAAGTTCCCTCTTTAAGCCCTTCTCCCCAGCCGAAAGTTTGAAGTGGTTCCGGAAAGGGTGAGCTGGCTGTTTTCCCCACGGCTAGCTCTGGAAATAGAATCACTTTCCTTTCACTACACTTCATCCTTGTTACTGGTTTTATAAGTGGTGAACAGCTAAGCCTGCACTTGATTACAAGAGCAGATACAATCTAGCATATGTTATGTGGATTTCCAAGGTTGCTTAAACAAGCAGATGTGGCAATATTGAACAGCCTATGTTATCTCACATCGACACTATTGGATGCAGAGGAGAAGCTGCCCCTTTTATGGGTCTATATATACTCCCTCGTCCACCACCATCACTACTTGGCCAGCTACTTTCATTTCAATTTTTGCAAGAACTTGTTGTTGTGTATACAAGGTTGAGCATTGACTCCTGCAAGTGGCAATGGAAACACCATACCAAAAATTCCTATTTCACAGATAAACTGGAAAATGCTTCTGTACAAAATTCTTTGTGCATTATTAGGGACACACTGACCAAGGATAAATCCAATGCTAGTCTGTTGACTAACTTCACCATTTAGTGAAGCAGTCTAGCCTGAACAAACTGGCATAGTATCTGCATATAACCTACGCACATCCTCCCATAAACTTTAAGTCATCCCTAGGTTACTTATACTACCGAATACAATGCACATCCTATATAAATTGTCATCATACTGTATTTAGGGAATACTGACAGGAAAAAAGGTTTGGACATGTTCAGTATAGACACAACCATCTTTCTTTCCCCCCAAGTATTTTTGATCCACAGTTCGTTGAATTTACAAGTGCCCATGGACTGTAATCAGCTCTTAATAAAGTTGTATATCATTTATGAATAACTTGTAGTCCAATTAGTCATTTCATGCCAAAAGAAAAACCAAAAAGCCTTGTCTGAAAACTGGGGCGTGAGGTTTAAGTGCGTGCAGCTGATAGAAAATTGTGAACAGGTAAGACTAGATCGTTTCATGTTTTTTCTTTGTTTCCAAGTCAGAAATTTGAGCAAGTAAAGAAGGGACAAACTCAAACACTCGAGAAGCATTGCTTCCTGTTGCCCTTAGCTGTCGATTTGGCAGAATGTTGAAAAACTCTTGTGCTTTCTTCATGGACAAGTAAATGCCTTGGCCTTTAATAACTATCTGGTGGACATCAGAGCACCACTGGAAAGAAAGATGCAGAACAGCGTTATCCCGATTTGATCTGAAACATGAGATGACAGACAGACACACACACAGACACACACACACATTCCTTCAGGTTCATCTTGTAAAAAACTCAAGCCCCATTCAGCAGCCATATGAGGGGAAACAATCATTTCAAGTTATAAAGTAATCTTGTAAACAGAAACTTAGAACAAAAGAGCCCAGTAAATAATTGATGAACAGTTATTGAAGCATGTTGGGCATCTTTGTAGTATTGATTTTTGGCTATGAAGAAAGCAGGGCTCTGCAAGCTCATACTTTCATCTCTCCTATTCAGTACTATCAATATTCATAGCCCACTTACATGTTAGGAATGTAAAAGTATGCACGTTTTATGTTGTTCATTTGGGCCCTTGCTCTCTGTGGATGAGGTCTCTGACTCATTCCTTAATTATCAGCTTTGATTCTCTTAATGAGAAGTTATCAAAATAGTTCAGGACACTGAATTATTAATTGAATAACTATAATTAATGATCAAGAAATGGACACAAGCAAATAAACTTTGGTCTTTTACTTCCAAGTCTGAAATACTATTCTCAGAAGTTCAGTTGGGTCTCTGAACTTCTCTGCCTTCTCTTTGAATTGCCTCTTCACCATTGCTTTGTTACATGTATTAAGTTCAGTGCTCAGTGTTTTATAGGCCATTCACAGACAGCATAGAAAATAAAATCATGACCTTGCTATTTTAGCATTGCAATAACTGAAAAAGAAAACATAAAAAATAATCCATAGTTTCTCACACACAAGTCAATAGAGTGGAATGCTTAGGTCAGCTCAGTGGGGGCATGGGTTGAAGTAGGAATCAGGACAATACTTTGGAATATTTAAATATTTATGAGTGCTATGTAACTGACAGAGGACCGAAACTGATTCTGAGTGTCACAGCAAAGAAACTAAGGTAAAAACACTAGGTTTCAGCTTGAGAAAAAGCTAGCGACAACTCTTGAAACTGTCAAAGTCAGAAAAACTGGTATTTGATGCTGCCATATGCTATTTCAATCAATCACTGTCTTTCCTGATTCACTACTAGAGCACAGACAAGGAGTAGGAACCGAGCAGGGAATCTGTGAAAGATGCTGTGTCTGATGTTCCCAAGGGAAATGGATTTTGCCTGTGGAAAGTCAATGCAGATGGCTCTGATTTGGCCATGTATGCATTTGGCTTAGGTCAGAGTGAGCGAAGTAGTGAGGGATTTGCATGGGTTTTTGGAGGGCTCTTATTTTACAAAAAAGATTAGGAAAAAGTAATCTTGAAGACCTTTCTCATGTGTTACTCCATTCCTCTTCTTTAAAAAGATCTATGTTGGTTTTTCTCTTCCCTTTTGACATCTCAAACACAAAAAGGGGACAGAAGAGAGTAGGGAACGATTCGGGTTCAGAACAGGGCTTGGAAGGAAGATCTGCCCAATAGCTAATGTGTAAAAATTGATAGATTTGACTACATAAAAAACAAAACTTTGTACATGACACAATCACATAAATCAAACTAAACTCAAACTGGGAATAGTATTAATAGCCTATATGGCAGACAAAATACCGATATTCATATATGGAAAGCTTTTACACATCAGTAAGGAAAAGATGAACATCTCAATAGAAAAGTGAACAGGAGAGAGGCCGAGATGGCTGATTAGAAGCAGCTGCAATCTACGGCGCTCACAAAACAGTGAGTGAATTCTGCACCTGAGGTATCTAGGTTCTCACATTGGGACTGACTAGGAGGATGGCTCAACCCATGGAGAGTGAGGAAAAGCAGGGTAGGGTGATGGTCCACCCATAAGTGGCAAAGAGCCAGGGGAACCCCCACCCCCAGCCAAATGAGGTGGTTAGTAACTGCGTGACCCTTCCTTGGAAACCATGCTTTTCCTATGGATCTTTGCAGCCAGTGGATCAGGAGATCCTTTCATAAGCCTACATCACCAGGGCCTTGGGTCCAAAGCACAGAGCTATGCAGAGTCTTGATGGAGTGGCTGCCTACCTGCTCACTGGGGCATTTAGGGAAACCCGGGAGTTTTGCATACTCCAGCCCCAGGAATTCCAGCAAGGCAGGAGATCCTGTGCATTTGCCTAGGCAAGGGGCTGAATCCAGGGAACCAAGCAGCCTCATTCTGTGGGCCCCCACCCATGGCACCTCATAAGACTCACTGGCTTGGAATTCCAGCTGGCCAGCAGTGGCAGGCTGGAAATGGCCTGAGATGGATGGAGTTCCCAGGGGGAGAGGCAGCTGCCATATCTGCTGTTCCAGTTGGCTGCTGTAGCCTGCCAGTACTAGCGACCAGGAGGAATTCCCCACAACACAGCACAGCTACTGTGTCTGATCATGGCCAGTCTGCTTCTTTAAGTGGGACACCAATCCATCTCTCCTCACTGGGAGGGGTGTCCTGGTGGGAATTTCAACAACTGCAGCCAGGGTTCTAGGGACAGAACTCTCATCATTCCCTGGTGCTGCGGCTCCCAGGGGAGAGGGGCATCCACTATGTCTGTGGTTAGCAGACTTAATCTTTCTATGCTCCTATCTCTGAGGAGGCCGAGTGGTCAGTGTAAGGCACCTGCTCTGCCAAGGAGCAGCCAGATTGCTTCTTTAAGTGAGTCTCTGATCCCATTTCTCCTATCTGGGTGAGACATCCTAACGGGGTCTCCACACACCTCCTACAGGAATGTTCTGGCTGGCATCAGGTCGGTGCCCCCCCGGGATGGTGCTCCCAGAGGAAGGAATGGTCTACCATCTTTGCTGTTTTGCAGCCTTCACTGGTGATACCTCCAGGTATGGGAGGAACAAGGCAACTATGGTCTGGAGTGAACGCCCAGCAAACTGCAGCAGCCCTACAGAAGAGTGACTTGACTGTTAAAACAAACAAACAACAACATTAACAAAAAAGACCCCACAAAACCCCATTTGAAGTTCAGCAACCTCGAAGATCAAAGGTAGATAAGCCCACAAAGATGAGAAAGAATGCAAAAATGCTGAAAACTCAAAAAGCCAGACTGCCTCTTCTCCAAATGACCGCAACACCTCTCCAGCAAGGGAACTGAACTGGGCTGAGGCCGCTGAAATGGATGATTGACAAGTAGGCTTAACGAGGTAGGTAATAATAAACTTCACTGAGCTAAAGGAGCATGTTGTAGCCCAATGCAAAGAAGCTAAGAATCATGGTAAAACATTACAGGAGCCAATAATCAGAATAGCCAGTTTAGGGAGAAGCATAAATGACCTGATGGAGCTGAAAAACACAATATGAGAACTTCACAATGCAACCACAACTATTAACAGCTGAAGAGACCAAGTGGAGGAAAGAATCTCAGAGCTTGAAGACTATCTTTCTGGAATAAGACAGGCAGAGAAGAATAGAGAAAAAAGAATGAAAAGGAATTACAAAACCTCAAATAAATATGGGATTATGTAAAAAGACTGAACCTATGACTGACTGGGCTACCTGAAAGAGATGGGGAGAATGGGGCCAAGTTGGAAAACATACTTCAGTATATCATCCAAGAGAACTTCCCCAACCTGGCAAGACAGACCAACATTGAAATTCAGGAAATCCAGAGAACTCCAGTAAGATACTCAGTGAGAAGATCAATCCTAAGGCACATAATCTTCAGATTATCTAAGGTCAAAATGAAGGAAAAAATGTTAAGGGCAGCCAGAGAGAAAGGTCAGGTCAACTACAAAGGGAAACCCATCAGACTAACAGTGGACCTCCCAGCAGAAACCCTACAAGTCAGATGAGATTGGGGGTCAATATTCAACATTCTTAAAGAAAAGGATTTCCAACCCAGAATTTAATATCCAGCCAAACTAACCTTCACAAGTGAAGGAGAAGATCCTTTTCTGACAAGCAAATCCTAAGGGAATATATTACCAGCAGGCCTGCCTTACAAGAGCTCCCGAAGGAAGCACTAAATATGCAAAGAAAAAACCATTACCAGCCACTAAAAAAGCAGACTAAAGTACACAGACCAGTAACACTATGAAGCAACCACATAAACAAGCATGCAAAATAACCAGCTAGCATCATGATGGCAGGATCAAATTCGCACATAACATTATGAACCTTAAATATAAATGGACTAAATGCCCCAATTAAAAGACACAGAATGGCAAGCTGGATAGTGTCAAGCCCCATTGGTATGCTGTCTTCAAGAGACTCATCTCACATGCAGACACACATAGGCCCAAAATAAAGGGATGGAGGAAAATTCACCAAAGAAATGGAAAACAGAAAAAAGCAGGAGTTACAATTCTAGTTTCTAATAAAACAGACTTTAAACCAACAAAAATCAAAAAAGACAAGAAAGGGCATTATTATAATGGTACAGCATTTAATTCAACAAGAGCAGCTAACTATGCTAAATACGTATGCACCCAATACAGGAGCAACCAGATTCATAAAACAAGTTCTCAGAGACCTTTAAAGAGACTTAGACTCCCACACAATAATAGTGGCAGACTTTGACACCTCACTGAAAATGTTAGATTGAGAAAAGAAAATGAACAGATATTCACAGGACCTGAACTCAGCTCTGGATCAAGCAGACCTGATCGATATCTACAGAACTCTCCACCCCCAGACAACAGAATATACATTCTTCTCATCACCACACGGCACTTACTCTAAAATTGATCACATAATCGTAAGTAAAACACTCCTCAGCAAATGCAAAAGAACTGAAATCATAACAAACAGTCTCTCAGACCACAAAGCACAATCAACTTAAAACCCAAGATTAAGAAACTCACTCAAAACCACACGATTACGTGGAACTTGAACAACCTGCTCCTGAATAACTCCTGGGTAAATAATAAAATTAAGGCAGAAATCCAGAAGTTATTTGGAGTCAATGAGAACAAAGAGACAATGTACCATTCTTTTTGGGATGCAGCTAAAGCGGTGTTAAGAGTGAAATTTATAGCACTAAATGCACACATCAAAAAGCTAGAACGATCTCAAATTGACACCCTAACATCACAACTAAAAGAACGGGAGAACCAAGAGCAAGCAAACTCCAAAGCTAGCAGAAGACAAGAAATAAGCAAGATCAGAGTGGAAATGAAGGAGATAGGGACATGAAAAACCCTTCAAAAAACCAATGAATCCAGGAGCTGGTTTTTTGAAAAAATAAAATAGACTTCTAGCTAGATTAATAAAAAAGAAAAGAGGGAAGAATCAAAGTGACTCAATCAGAAATGATAAGAAGGATATCACTATTGACCCCACAGAAATACAAACAACCATCAGAGAATACTGTAAACATGTCTATGCACATAAACTAAAAAATCTAGAAGACACGGATACATTCCTGGACACCTACACCCTCTCAAGACTGAACCAGAAAGGAATAGAATCCCTAAATAGACCAGTAAAAAGTTCTGAAATTGAGGCAGTAATAAATAGCCTACCAACCAAAAAACAGCCTAGGACCAGAGAGATTTACAGCTGAATTCTACCAGAGGTACAAAGAAGAGCTAGTACCATTCCTCCTGAAAGTATTCTACAAAATTGAAAAGGAGGGACCCCTCCCTAACTCATTTTATGAGGCCAGCATTATCCTGAGACCAAAACCTGGCAGAGATACAACAACAAAAAAATACTTCAGGCCAGTATCCCTGATAAACATCAATGCAAAAATCATCAATAAAATTTTGCAAACCAAATCTAGCAGTCCACCAAAAAGCTTATCCACTACAATCAAGGTGGCTTCATCCCTGGGATGCAAGGTTGGTTCAACATATGCAAATCAATAAATGTGATTCATCATACAAACAGAACTAAGGGCAAAAATGACATAATTATCTCAATAGATGCAGAAAAGGCCTTTGACAAAATTCAACATCCCTTTATGTTAAAAACTCTCAATAAACTAGGTATTGAGGGAACATACCTCAAAATAGTAAACCCATATATGACAAACCCATGGCCGATATCATACTGAATGAACAAACCTGGAAGCATTTCCCTTGAGAACCAGCACAAGACAAGGATGCCCTCTCTCACCACTTCTATTCAACGTAGTATTGGAAGTTCTGGCCAGGGCAATCAGGAAAGAGAAAGAAATAATGGGTATTCAAATAGGAAGAGAGGAAGTCAAAATGTCTCTGTTCGCAAATGACATGATCCTCTATCTAGAAAACCCCATCATCTCAACCCAAAAGATTCTTAAGCTGATAAGCAACTTCAACAAAGTCTTGGTATACAAAATCAATGTGCAAAAAATTGCTAGCCTTCCTATATACCAACAACAGGCAAGCAGAGTGCCAAATCATGAAGGAACTCCCATTCATAATTGCCACAAAAAGAATAAAATACCTAGGAATACAACTAAAAAGGGAAGTGAAGGACCTCTTCAAGGAGAACTACAAACCACTCTCAAAGAAATCAAAGAGAACACAAACAAAAGGAAAAACATTCCATGCTCATGGATAGGAAGAATCAATATTGTGAATATGGTCATATTGCCCAAAGTAATTTATAGATTCAATGCTATTCCCGTTAAACTACCATTGACATTTGTCACAGAATTAGAAGAAACTATTTTAAAATCCTAAGGAAAAAAAAAGCTGGAGGCATCCTGCTACCCAATTTCAAACTATACTACAAGGCTACAGTAACCAAAACAGCATGGTGCTGGTACAAAAATAGACACATAGACCAGTGGAACAGAATAGAGAACTCAGAAATAAGACTGCACACCTACAACCATCTCATCTTTGACAAACCTGACAAAAACATGCAATGGGGAAATAATTCCCTATTTAATAAATGGTGCTGGGAGAACTGACTAGCCATATGCAGAAAATTGAAAGTGGACCCCTTCCTTACACCTTATGCAAAAGTTAACTCAAGATGGATTAAAGACTTAAATGTAAAACCCAAAACTATAAAAACCCTAGAAGAAAATCTAGGCAATAACAGTCAGGACATAGGCACAGGCAAAGATTTCATGATGAAAACATGAAAGGCAATCGCAACAAAAGAAAAAATTGACAAATGGGATCTAATTAAACTAAAGAGTTTTGCACAGCAAAAGAAACTGTCAGAGTTAACAGACGACCTACAGAATGGGAAAAAATTTTGCAACCTATTCATTTGAAAAATGTCTAATATCCCAAGTCTACAAGAAACTTAAAAGAAAAAAACAACCTCATTAAACAGCGGGCAAAGGACATGAACAGACACTTCTCAAAAGAAGACTTCATGCAGGCAACAAACATATGAAAAAAAGCTCAATATCACTGATCATTAGAGAAATGGAAATCAAAACCACATTGAGATACCATCTCACACCATTCAGCATGGCAATTATTAAAAAGTCAAGAAACAACAGATGCTGGTGAGGTTGTAGAGAAAAAGGAACACTTTTACACTGTTGGTGGGAGTGTAAATTAGTTCAATCATTGTGAAAGACAGTGTGGCAATTCCTCAAAGACTTAGAGGCAGAAATACCATTTGACCCAGCAATCCTATTACTGGTTACATAACCAAAGGAATATAAATCATTCTATTATAAAGATACACACATGCATATGTTCATTGCAGCACTATTCACAATAGCAAAGACATGAAATCAACCCAAATGCTTATCAATGATAGACTGAATAAAGAAAAGCGGTGCATATACACCATGGAATACTATACAGCCATAAAAAGGAATGAGATCATGTCCTTTGCAGAGACATGGATGGAGCTGGAAGGTCTTATCCTCAGGAAACAAACACAGAAACAGAAAATCAAATACTGCATGTTCTCATGTATAAGTGGTAGCTGAACAATGAGAACACATGGACACATGGAAGGGGGAACGACACACACTGGGGCCTGTTGGGGGGTGGGGCAGTGGGAAAGAGTCCATTAGGAAGAATAGTGAATGGATGCTGGGCTTAATACCTAGGTGATGGGTTGATCTGTACAGCAAACCACCATGGCACATGTTTACTTATGTAACAAACCTGCACATCCTGCCCATGTGTTCCAGAACTTAAAAGTTGAAGAAAGAAGAGTGAACAAATGGTATTAATAATACACAGAAGAAACAGAAAAAGGCTAGAGGCTTGCAGTTCTTGATGAGTAATCCAGACTGAACAGTCTTTCATGTATCAGCTTGGCCAGTATTAAACAGAAAGATAATATCTAGCAAGAATTACAGGGGTACAGTGTTACATCACACGTATTACGTATCAAGAGCTATAACAGTGCATTACCTCTTGACTTCAAGATTTCTACCTGCAGGAATTTATCTCAAGGAGCTAAGAGGCCAAGTGGTATGTACAAGAATATGAATCAGTATTGTTCATAAGACCAAAGAATCAGAAATCCTTAATAGCCATCCCAAAGGAACTGGTTGTACTTCCAGTTCTAGGCAAAGTGAATTCTATTTTACTCCTTCTGCTAATCACAACCAAGGTCCCTGGATGAAATACATAAGTTACCCAGCAGAGTACTCTAAAAGGTGGAGGAAAAGCAGACTGCCTTGGGTTGTTGGAACTGAATGAGGCCCTGGGTTTTGTTTTCTTTTCTCTTTTTTTCTTATCTCCTATATATCTCAGCTTGGGCACTAGAGAAACCTGAAACTCAGCAGTATCAGTAGATGCAGACAAAAAAGTACCCCCAAGAAAACCCTGTTTTCTCTTGCCCAAAGAACTGAGAAAAGTGCAACATAATAGTCCAGAAGCCTTTAATGAACATCTATCTGTTCTTGAGGTAAACACCATGAAAAAAACTACACCTACCCTCCGCCACAACAGGTGTTGCAGCAGTAGCACTTGTGGGTGGAACCCTTTCTTTCTTCCATCTCTTTGCTCTGCATGTGAGGCTGTATCCTTCCTACGTAGAGCCTGTAGGTCAACTCTGACTTCCACCTTCCTGTTACTCACCTCCCATGACACCACAGATATGAGGAAGCACCCTTGCTCTCTGGAGCTGGTGGGCAGAATTGTAAATCCATCTCCTCTGCGGAACAAGATGACTCCCCATCCCCAGCTGTGTCAGTGCATGGAACTCTGTCTTCTATCCCCTGCAGTAATGAGTGCCCCTGCCTTCCCCACTCTAGCCATTGCTAGAGACGATAGGGTATACTCCTGTCATCTAGGTTGGTACACAAGTGTCACTAACCTCAACAGCAGAACTGCAGACTTAACTACATTGACATTTGAATCATGAGCCACAAAAGTGAGCTGGACGTGCATTTTGAACTTACATGGTTGACGAGCTGCCAAAATAGCTTTACATAGGAATCAGTCTGACAACATAATATTCAAAATATCTAGAATACAGCCCAAAATTACTCATTATATTAAGAAATAGGACAATCCAAAATCATATAAAAATGTGATTGACAGATGCCAAACTGAGATGACACAGATGTTGGGGTGTTTAGATAAAAATTTTAAAACAGCTATCATAAAAATGCTCCAGGAAGCAATTACAAATGCTCTTGAAACAAATGTAAAAATAGACTGCGCAATAAAATAAAAATACAAAGAACCAAATGAAATTTTTGAAATGAAAAATACAATAAATAAATACAAAATGAAAAACCTCACTGGATGGGTTTAATAGCAGAAACGAGATGAAATAGGAAGGAATCCATGAATTTAAAGATAGACCAATAGAAAACATCCAGTCTGAACAATTGAGGAAAAAAAAAATAGATGGAAATAAGATGAACTGAGCCTCTGGGACTTGTGAGACAGTAACACAAGATCTAACATTCATGTCCTTTGAGTCCCACAAGAAGAAATAGAATATGAACTTGGAAAAAAAGTGGCCTCAAACTTCCCAAATTTAGCAACAAGCAGAAACCTACCATTTGAAGAGCGCATGTAAGTAAGTTTTCATGTCTCTGGGGGTAAATGCCTCAAAGTGCAATCATTGGCTTGTATGGTAAATGTATCTTTAACGTGATAAAATGAGTTGCCAAACTTTTTCAGAGTTGTTATACCATTCTACATTCCCACCTGCAATGTGTGAGAGATCCAGTTACTCTGCATCCTGACCAGAATTGTACAATCAATTCTTGTTATGTTTTATAATGTTGCCACAAATACTATATTAATGAATACTGAATCAAACCTCCTAGGGGAAATACAGGGTAAGTTTCCTACCAGGCTCTGGTCAGAATATTTTCAACCAATCAATACATAACCTTGTTTTATGTGTGTTTTTGTTTAAAGCACCTTATTTCATACATTATTGTTGATTCATTAGCATTGTACTCATGGCCAATAGCACTGTAACTCACGTCTGAACAAAGCTTGTCTAACATAGACTGTTTTTTTTTTTTTTTTTTTTCCTCTAAGCCTGTTTGTTATTCAAACTAGCCAATACTAAACTATTTACCCTGGCTTGCCTTGCTGTTGAAGAAATCCCAATGAAAGCTCTGGTCTTGTTTTTTTTCTCATTCCTGCTTCTGTTTCCTGACCAAAGCTTGATGCTCCCACTGTGGCCTTGCGTGGCATGGTATGCTCTCTTCTCTTGGGAAATGTAAGTAATCAATTCTTCCAATGGCATTAACGTCCTCATGTCAGGCATCTCTGTAAATTACAGTCTCTCTGGTACAAACAAAACAGGTTTAATTTCCTTGTTTAAACTGTCTCTCTTTGAAACAGGTTCACCAGTATATTTAATCTCCAACTGAACTCCCTTGAGATACTCCCTTGGCTTACCTGGTCATCGTAGCTTGGACTGAAGTATTTCTCTTGAGGAGGAAGAACAACCCAGAGAGCTAGAAATGCCATTCTGTTTGACTGTCAAAACTCTCTGAGATTATAACTCACTCTTTCCACTTGATCTCTCATATGTAAGTCTTACCAACCCAGAGATTCCATGTATCAGAATGTGTGGAAAGAGATTTGTGTATTCATCAGAATTTATCTATTACCTTTTCCTCTGTTCTCCCACATTCCAGGTTTCAGTGTAAGCCTGAGACATCTTTGACTTCACTGTGCAGAAATCATGAGAGAGAGAAAACCAATGTTTACTGAGCACCCACTATAAACAAGGCACAACACAATATTTCACCAGTATTTCCCAGATGAAAATCTGAGTCTTAGAAAAATTCAAAAGCCATGCTGAAGACACAGATAGTAAGTGTTAGTTAGAGTTGGAATTCCTACCTCTTGTCATGTTTCTACTTTGTCTCTCTCAGAGATTTGCAATTTGAGAGTAAATGTTAGTAAATAGTAATGTCAGCAACCACAATTCATTTTCAAGGCCTTACAGATTGAACAAAAAACCCCAGAGAAGGCATTGTAAAAATAAAGCCTTATCAGGCTAGTGATAGCAGAAGTCAAAAGGAGATTTAGACTCTAATGCTATAATAAAATTTGTAATTACACAAGACTGTCCAGAACTGGGAATATGAGTTCTTAGAAAGTAAACAGATTTAAATGAGAATTACTTAACTAAAAATTTGATAAGACACTAATTGATTTCAGCAGTGAGACACTGTATAAAGTACAGTCAGCAAGACTGCTAAAATGAGGAAGTATGTGTCTTGGAGTTTAATGGAACATTATCCCAATTGCCAAGACATCCTCTCAGCAGAAAATAGGAGGTAATAGGATGCTATTAGATAGAAGAAGGTTGTTTTTTTTATGGCTAAAAGGAGGGGCAAGCAGCCCCTGGTGGACTACTTCTTCTGGTTTTGGCTATGCATGTGATAACTATTTTCTGATCTGACTTCCAAACACAGGATTTTGTTGGTTGGTCCAAAGTTTCCCTGGGTTACAGCCTCATGTCTCTTAATACTGGACCACTATGCAATGGTCCAGAGATGCAATGACAAAATCAAAGGCTGAGAGGAAAAAAAGGAGTATCTTCCATTTGATCTCCTAAGGAGGCTTGAAACCATATGGATTTTTCAATAAATGTCTTCATTCTACTTTCTTACAACCTTTCTCTGACAAAGGAGAACTCCCTTTAAGTTTCCATCTGAAAAGGTCTGTCAGAAATATAGTAAGAATTGTGCTATCATGAGCATTATCAAATCAGTTCTAATGACTGTATTTTGAATAAAATATAGATATTAAAAGGACAAATTATAAAACCAAGCTCATTTTATGGCATCCCTTTGGGAGAACCCTAGGGCATATTGATTTACTGAATCAAAGTAAAGCCTTTGTTGTTAAAAGTGCCTAATGATATAATTAGACATTTGATCATTTGCAATATTAGAGCTGTTTTAGTCTTGCAATGAACAAGTGGAAGCAATATCAACTCTTTAGTTCACATTAAAAAATAGGAAGGGCCAGGAAACAAGAAAGTTTCTCTTTGTTTCCTTTTGTTTTCTTCTGCTCTTTGGGATATCTGTGATTTGGTGCAGATCAATTGCTAGAGATGCCTTTATAAATCAGATGTATTCCACAGGTAAATTGATCCAGTCATTCAGAATATATCTGTGCTCATCTAATGGGAGGTTAAGATACTACAGGGCATCAGGTTCCATTTTCCTGTTTTCATCCTCCAACTGTATCTGAACTATCATTGCCTAGATAGCCCCAAGACACTGAAAGAAACATACATTTTGTCTATTAGAATCTGAGGTATTTTGAAGGGTAGGCAGATTATCCTCAGGAAAGTTGACTCTTTAAATAATAGACTTGTTAACAAAATAGCATATTTAAAATCTATTCCCAACAGGATGAATGGTTTTCCCTTGGATTTAACTTTTTATTTTGAAATAATTTTGGGAAGTTACAAAGATAGTACAGAGAGATAGATCTCTGTACCTTTCACTCAGCTAACTGGTTACATCCAACGTAACAGTAGCATAATATCAAAACCAGGAATTTGGCCTCGATACAATACGAGTATACAGTTTTACATACAGAACTGTTCCATTACTACAAAATTCTCCCTTATGTTAAGCCCTTTACAGTCACACCGCCATCCCTGCCACCCACCATTGCTAACCAACCCTTAACAACCATTACTCTCTTTTGCATCTCCCTAAAAAACTCAGCAAAATGCCCTGAGATCCGTCTAAGTGGCAAATGTCAATAGTTCATTCCTCTTGATTGCTAAGTAGCATTCCATGGTATGTATGTGCCACAGAGTTTTTGCTTAGCCATTTACCTACTGAGGCACATTTTCATTGCTTCCAGTTTTGGCTATTATAAGTAAGGTTGCTGTGAACAATCATGTCCAGGTTTTGTGCAAACATGGTTTTCATTTCTCTGGGATAAATGCCCAGAAGTACAACTGCTGCGACATCTAAGTGTATTTTCAGTTTGTTTGTTTGTGTTTTTAGTGGCCAAGCTTTTTGAGAGTGGCTGGTCCATTTTTCATTCCGCTAGCAAAGTATATGTGATCTGCTTTCTCCACATCCTTACAAGTCCTTTATCAGTGTATGTTTTTTATTTTGAGTTATGAGAGCTCTTTATATATTCTAGTTATGAATCATTTGTGAGCTATGTGGTTTGCATTTTTTCCCCAGACACGTCTTATCTTTACTGATCTTTCACAGAGCAAAAGTTTTAAATTTTGATGAGGTCTAATTTATCTATGTTTTTCTTTGATAGATTATGCTTTTTGTGTCATGGCTAACAACTTTTCATCAAGCCTCTGGTCCTGAAGACATTCTCCCGTTTTATTCCTGTACATTTTATAGTTTTACATTTAAATCTATTTGTATAATATGTCAGGTTTAAGTTGAAGTTCATTTTTTGCCTATGGATGTCCAATTGCTCCAATACCATCTGTTGAAAACACTACCCTTCCTTCGTTGAATTGCTTTTATTCCATGGTCAAAAATCAGTTTGCCATGCTTGTCTGTGGCTCTGAGTTCTCTATTCTGTTCCATTTATCTATGTGTCTACCCCTCTATCAAACATGCAGACATGATTACTATATAATAAATATTGAAATTGATAGTGATTCCTTCATTTTTTAAGAATTATTTTTGTGATTCTATTTTGCCTTTCCAAATAAGTTTTAAAATAGTTTTGCCTATGTCTACAAAAATTATTGCTAGGATTTTGATATAAATTGTTAAACCTTATTTAGGTTGAGTAATCCTAGAATAATTTTAAGACAATTAATGTTTACTAAATTGTATTTTCTAATCCATGATCATGGAATATTTCTCCATTTATTTAGATATCTGATTGCTTTCACCCAGCATTGTGTAGTTTTCAGCATACATAGGTTGGATAGATTTATACCTGAGTATTTAATATTTTTGGAGTAATTTTGAGTGGTATCTTATTTTTAATTTTTATGTGCTCACTGGTAGTGTACAGACATACAATTGATTTTGTATGTTTAGCATGTACCTTGAGACTTTATTGAACTCATTTATAAGTTCTAGGAGGTTGCTTTTTATAGGTTCCTTGGGATTTTCTATATATGAAGTAGGAAAAAAGCAGTTTTATTTCTTCCTTTCTGATATGTGTGCCTTTTCTTTTCCTTGTTGCACTGGCTAAAACTTTTAGTTCTATTTTAAATAAGGCTGGTGAGAGCAGTCATTCTTGCCTTGTTTCTGATTTAGGGGGAAAGCACTTAATCTTTTACCATTACGTTTAATGTGAGCTGTAGGGTTTTTTTATAGGTGCTTTTTATCACATTGAAAAAGTCCACCTCTATTTCTATTCTTCTGAGTATTTTTAGTTAGAATAGGTGTTGAATGTTGTCAAGTGCTTTTTCCTGCAATAATTAAATGATCTTGTCATGTTTCTTCTTTAACCTGTTAATGGGATGACTCATATTATTGATATTTGAATATTCTAAGAACCTTGCATCCCTGGCATAAAGTCATTTTGTCATGACGTATATTTCTTTTTATATTTTACTGATTTTTTTTTTTGAGACACAGTCTCCCTCTGTTACTCAGTCTGGGGTGCAGTGGCACGATCTCAGCTCACTGCAACCTCCACCTCCTGGGTTCAGGTGATTCTCCTGCCCCAGCCTCCCAAGTATCTGGGATTACAGGTGTGTACCACCACGCCCAGCTATTTTTTTTTTTTTCAAGTAGAGATGGGGTTTCACCATGTTGGCCAGGCTGGTCTTGAACTCCTGACCTCAAATGATTCACCCACCTCAGCCTCCCAAAGTGCTGGGATTACAGGCGTGATCTGTAATATAGGTACACTTGGCCTATATTACTGAATTCTGTTTGTAAATATTTTGTTAAGGACTTTGTGTGTATACTGGTGTGTAGTTTCCCTTTTTTGTATTGTCTTAGTCTGGTTTGTTATTAAAGAATGCTAGCTTTATAGAATGAATTGAAAAGTCTTCCCTTCTATGCTGCTTTCTGGAGAGATTGTTTAGAGTTGGTGTTAATTTTTCTTTAAACAATTCTTTTGGTAGTCTTCTCTAGTGAAACCATGTGGGCCTAGAGATTTCCCTGTTTATGACCATTGGTGTTCCTAGGTTGCCAGTTTCTTCAGCACCCAGAAAGCAGCACCCAGAAAGCACCCCTGGGTTTGCTGAGGCAGAAAGCAAACCCAGGGAATTCATTATCAAGTTGTTCCCTGGATCCTGAACTTCCTTGCTAGTCTGCCTTCTTCTGCCTCTCAGACTTTTATCATATTTGTTTAGAGTTTTTATTTGTACTTATTGGGAGAAATAAGGAAAAGTACATATGTTCCATCTTCCCAGGAGTGGAAGTTTTCCACAGGATTTTAATATGTTGCCTAGTGAGTAGCCAAGAAGAAAAATGTTTAGGAGAAAGGGGAAAGGACATCAAATTCTTGAAATGGAATTCTTGGAAAAATGAACAGTGAGGGTTTTGGTTCTGATCAACAACCTACTTTTGTTTTGTTTTCCTTTCTACTGCGATGTAATTCCAATACGCAAAATTTATTCTTTTAAAATACACCATTCAGTGTGTTTTTTAAAAATATATTCAGAAGTTTCTGTAACCACCACCACTATCTAATTACGGAACATTTTGGTCATTCTAGGATGAAACCCCATGCCCACTTAGAGTCATGCCACATTCCCCACTAATATACTTTCTCACTAATATACTTTCTGCCTCTATAGGTTTGCCTATTCTGAACAATTAGTATAAGTGGGATCATACAATATGTGGTCCTTTGTGTTAAGTTTCTTTCACTTAGCAATATTTTCTAGGTTCATCCATGTTGCAGAATGTATTAGCACTTCATTCTTTTTATGGCTGATTTATTAGTATATTCCATTGTATGGCTATACCAGATTTTGTTTATCCACCCATTAGTTGACCGACTTTTGGGTTGTTTCCAGTTTTTGACTATTATAAATGATGCTGCTATGAATGTGTATTCACACAAATTTTTGTGTGAACCTATGTTTTCAATTCTCTTGGGCATATACCTAATATTTGAATGGCTAAATCATATGCTAAATCTATTTTTAACTTTTTGAGAAATTGCCAGATGTTTTCCAAAATACCTGCACCATTTTACATTCTCACTAGCAATGTATTAGGGTTCCAATTTCTCCATATCCTCATTTTAAATTTTTAAAATCATATCTCTTCTAGTGAGTGTGAAGTGGTATCTCACTGATTTTATTTGCATTTCTCTAATGACTAAGGATGTAAGTACATTTTCATGTGTCTATTGGCCATTTGTATATTTTCTTTGGAGAAATGTCTATTCAAATAGTTTGTCTATTTTAAAATTTGGTTGTCTTTTTATTGTTGACATATAAGTGTTCTTTATATATTCTGGATATTAAAGTCTTATCAGATATGTGATTTGCAAATATTTTCTCCCATTTTGTGGGCTGTCTTTGCACTCTCTCAATATTGTCCTTTGATATGTAAAATTTTTAATTTTGGTAAAGTTCAACTTACCTATTTTTTGTTGTTGATGTTTGGCTTTAGGTGTCATATCTAAGAAACCACTGCCTAATTGAAGGTGATCAAAATTTACACCTTTTTTTTAGTTTTATTTTTGCTTGACACAAAATGCTATTGTACATATTTATGAAGCATAGTGTGATGTTTTGATACATGTATATATTGTGTAATGATCAAATCAGCATATTTAACATCTCTATCACCTCACCTCAAATATTTATCGGTTTTTTTTGTGTGTGGTAAAAACATGGAAAATCCTCTCTTCTAGCTAGTTTGAAATATGCAATATTAACTCTAGTCACTCTACTGTGCAATAGAAACCCAAAATTTATCTTCCTAATTAACTGTAACACTGTCCCTGTTAACCAATGCCTCCCTATGCTCCCCAAACCTTCCACTCCCAGTCTCTGGTAACCACCATTCTACTTTCTATTTCTATTAGATCAGTTTTTTTTAGATTCCATGTATGAGTAAGATCATATGGTATTTGACTTTCTGTGACTGGCTTACTTCACTTAACATAATGTCCTCTGGGTTGATTCATGTTGCTGCAAATTAAAGGATTTTATTCTTTTTTATCCTGAATGATATTTCACTACACACACACACACACACAAACACACATTTTTCTTATCCATTTATTTGTTGATGTACACTTAAGTTGATTCCATATCTTTGTTATTGTGAATAGTGCTGTAAGATAAGCATGGATGCTTAAAAAAAACAGTATGACTATTCCTTAAAATATTAAAAAGAAAACATATGATACGGCAGTCTCACTACTGGGTATATATTGAAAGGAAATCAGTATGTCAAATAGATATCTTCCAGAAAATTGAAGAGGAGGGAATTCTTCCAGATCCATTCTATGAGGCCAGCATTACTTGACACCCAAACCAGACAAGGACACAACAAAAAAGAAAATGTCAGGCCAATATCTCTGATGAACACAGATGCAAAAGTTCTTAATAAAATATGAGCAAATGAAATCAAGCAGCACATTAAAAAGATCATTCACCGTGGTCAAGTGGGATTTATCCCTGGAATGCAAGGATGGTTTGACATATGTAAATCCCTAAATGTGATTCACCACATAAACAGAATTAAAAACAAAAACCCCATGATCCCCTCAATGGATGCAGAAAAAGCATTTGATAAAATGCAACATCCCTTTATG
This sequence comes from Homo sapiens, assembly GCF_000001405.40. Lineage (NCBI taxonomy): Eukaryota > Metazoa > Chordata > Mammalia > Primates > Hominidae > Homo > Homo sapiens. Next base: position 68,709,481 of record NC_000003.12, on the reverse strand, counting down.
ATAAAAGCTCTCAAGAAGTTAGGTATAGAAGGAATATTAAATGCTATATATGACAGACCACTGCCAACATCATACTAAATGGGGAAAAGTTGAAAGCTTTTCCTCTAAGATCTGGAACAAGAAAAGGATGCCCACTCTTGCCATTTATATTTAACAGAGTACTGAAGCCCCAGTCAGAGCAGTTTCACAAGAGAAAGGAATAAAATACATTCAAATAGGAAAGGAGAAAGTCAAATGGTCTCTGTCTGTAAATGACATGATCTTAAATATAGAAACCCCAAAGACCTCACCAAAAACTCTAAGAACTGATAAAAAAAAAAATGCACTAAAGTTGCAGGATACAAAATCAACATACAAAATTTAGTAGCATTTCTCTATACCAACAATGAACTAGTGGAAAATGAAATGAGAAGAGCAGTGCCATTTACAATAGCTACAAAAAATAATAAAATACCTAGGAATTCTCCAAGGAGCAAGATTTCTATGAGGAAAACTATAAAATGCTGACAAAAGAAATTGAAGAGGACACAAAAAATGGAAAGACATCCCATGTTCATAAATGGGAAGAATATTGTGAAAATGACCATGCTACCAAAAGCAATCTAAAGACTCAATGCAATCTGATGAAAATACCAATTAGATTCTTCACAGAAATAGAAAAACAATCCTAAAATTTGTATGGCACCACAAAAGGTCCTTAATAGCCAAAGCAATCCTGAGCAAAAAGAACAAAGCTAGAGACATCACATAACAAACTTCAAAATATACTAAGGTAACCAAAACAGCATGGTACTTGCATAGAAATAGGCACATAGGCCAGTGGAACAGAATACAGAACTCAGAAATAAATCTACATATTTATAGCCCACTGATTGTTGACAGTGGCACCAAGAAAATTCATTCGGGAAATGACGGTCTCTTCAATAAATATTGCTGGGAAAACTGGATATCTATGTGCAGAAAAATTAAACTAGGCTCCTATCACTTACCATATACAAAAATCAACTCCAAATGGGTTAAAGACTTAAACATAGGACTTGAAACTGTGAAATTACTAGAAGAAAACAGGGGAAATGTTTCAGGATATTGGTGTGGGCAAAGATTTTATGGAGAATACCTCAAAACCACAGCAATAAAAGTAAAAATAGATAAATGAGATTATATCAAACCAAATAAGTTTGGTAAAGCCCTTTACCTTTTTACTTCTGTAAGTTTCATAGTAACAGTCCCTATTTCAATAAGTTGAGTCTTTTATTTTTTTGTTAAACCAAGTGTTTTTCAATGTTCTAGTTAATCTTTTCCAAGAACCAACTTTTGATTTCATTAAATGACTCTATATTTTTTCTATTTTCTATTTCACTTATTTTAGCTCTAATCATGATTCTTTCTTTGGTTGCACTGAGTTTAGCTTGATCTTTTTTTCTAGCATCTTGAGTTGTAACATTAAGTTTATTGGTTTGAGAACTTTAAAAAACTTATTGGTATTTGTTGCTATCAATTTCCCTTTGAGGACTACATTAGTTGTAGCCCATAAGTTTTGGTATGCTGTGTTTTCATTTCCTTCTTCTCAAAGTATTTTCTAATTTCCTTGTGATTTTTTTAACCTCTTGGTTAGTTAGAAGTATAGTGTTTAAGGTCCACATATTTGTGAATTCCCCAAATTTCCTTCTGTTAATTATATATATAGATGAGAGAGAGAGAGAGAGTATTGCTCTGTCACCAGGCTAAAGTTCAATGGCATGATCATGGCTCACTGCAGGCTCAATTTCCTGGGCTCAAGAAATTCTCCTACTTCGGGGGTAGCTGAGACCACAGGCACATACCACAATGACCAACTAATTATTTACTTTTATGTAGAGATGGGCTCTCCCTATGTTGCCCAGGCTGGACTGGAGCTCCTGGGCTCATGAGATTCTTCTGCCTTGGCGTCACGAAGTGCTGGGACTACAGGTGTGAGCCAATGTGCCTGGTGTTTAGCAATATTCTTAATGTATTTTGTATTTGTCTTTAAAAAGGTAATTTAAAAACTAATGTTCTAGATCAGGGGCCAGGAAAGTTAATTGGCAAAACACCAAATAATATTTTAGGCTTTGTGGGTCATATAGTCACTATCACAATGGCTGAACTCTCCACTTATAGTAAGAAAACAGCCATGGCTAGTGTGTAGACAATTGAGTGCGACAGTAAGCCAGTAAAACTTTATTTACAAAAATAGGCAGTGGCCTGGACCATATTTGCCAACCTCTGGTCCACATGAATGTTTTTTTTCAGTGTGATTTATTAAGAGAGTTGTTTTATCAATATTATCCTCTGTGCTCTTTTGGGATATTTCCTCTGCATAATTTCAGCAATGTAATTTGATTTTATAAACTTTATTCATATTACAGAGATTCAAAACTACCAATCCATGATGTGTTTATTTTCAAGAAATAATTCTTTTTTTAATGTCTTCAGTTCTGAAACACAGATATGAAAATACCTTCCCATTTTCTTTACGAGTCATGTGTGTGTTACTGGAAACTTTAATATTGACATTTGACATATAATGAAACAGACACAGCATAATATTCTCATCCTAAACACAATCTGATATACGGATTCAAATGAGTCACATCTGTGTTCATAGCAAGTCCCTGCAAATCAATTATAAAAGAGCATCCTAAGATACATCATATTTGGCTGGGAATACGTGAAACTATGTGTTAGAAAATATTTGGCAAGTACCAAGGCTTCAAGATTCCAAGAACACTCCTGAGATTTCAGAGGTCCAGGGCAGGGAAACTGTGGCCATTCCAACATACAGATGTGACAACAGAAAAAACTGAGCATTAATTGATTAGTGGCTGCTCAGTGGTATGAAGCAGTCTGTAGCAGAGTCTAAATGAATAAATAATCAAATCCAGGCTATAAAGTAATGGAATGATAGATTGCTCAGGAAGGTTCTGTTACCAAGACATCTTAGTAAGAGCTGCAAGAACACCTTTATGCCCTGGGAGGAGACAAGAGACATGGATGTAAGGTATTTATCACTATATTATTACCCTATGGCACGTTTCTTCTAAGAGCCTTGAATTGCTGCCACAAACTTCCCCAGTAAGGGAAAGCAGACGGGGAGGTTATCTCAGTTTAACAGACTCAGAAATGATGGCCCAGAGTGGCTTAGTGACACACTGGTGAGCTTGTTTTCTTCAGCTCTGGAGCCCTCTTGGGAGAAAATCTGGACAGCTTCCCAAGCTGCCTGCCTTCAGCTGTGTTACAGCAACAAGTACTTATCTAACTCTGGCTGTGACTGGTGAGGAAGATAAGAATAATAGCAGCTACTGTTGTTGCAAGCGTATTAGGTACCAGACTCTGTGTTAATGGTTTGACATATGTTATCTCATTTATTCCTCACAAATAACACTGTGCAGATGATTAAAATGATCTCCAATTTAAAGATGAAGAAACTGAGGCTGTGAATGGTTAAGGGACTCAACCATACTGAACCCTGTCTCTGATTCCAAAACCCTCTATAAATATTTCCTGTAGTTTCCTCAGTCAACACAATGGTTCTGGTCTGTCTGGCAGCTATACTTAGTGCCAAAAAATAGTTATGTCCCTCTGGCTCCCTGACCAGTCTTTTGTGAATCTGGGCAGCCTGAATTAGGCTCTCAGAACTGAATATATGCCCAAATTGAATTGTCAGAAAATGATAGATTGTGGCTCACACGAATCAACTGGTTCTTAAGCGCAAGAGTTGCCTACTTCTGGTTCATTCTTCCCTCGAGTACAGATAATAACTGTTGTGGAAGGTTCTAGGAGGTCAAATGCTATGTGAGCTGGGAAAGCCAAAAAAGCTGTGGCATGCAGAATTCTTTTTTTTTTGAGATGGGGTATTGGTCTGCTGCCCAGGTTGGAGTGCAGTGGCACAATCTCGGCTCACTGCACCCTCTGCCTCCCAGGTTCAAGCAAAGGCAGAATTCTTTTTTTTTCTCCAGCTTTTAAGTTCAGGGGTATATGTGCAGGGTGTGCAGGCAGGTTTGCTACAGAGGTAAACACGTACCATGGTGATTAGCTGCATAGATCATCCCATCATCTCGGTATTAAGCCCAGCATCCATTAGCCATTCTTCTTGATGCTCTTCTTCCTCCCACCAACCACCCTCTAACAGGCCCCAGTGTGTGTTGTTCCTCTACCTGTGTCCATATATTCTCACCATTCAGCTCCCACTTATCAGTGACAACATACTGTGTTTGATTTTCTGTCACTGTGTTAGTTTGCTGAGGATAACGGCTTCCATCTCCATCTATGTCCCTGCAAAGGACATGATCTCATTCCTTTTCATGGCTGCATAGTATTCCATGGTATATATGTACTACATTTCTTTATTTAATCTATCACTGATGGACTTCTAGGTTGATTCCGTGTCTTCACTATTGTGAATAGTGCTGCAATGAACATATGTGTGCATGGATCTTTACAATAGAATGATTTATGTTCCTTTGAGTATATACCCAATAATAGGATTCCTAGGTCAAATGATATTTCTGCCTCTAGGCCTTGGACGCACACTGTCTTTCACAATGGTTGAACTAATTTATACTCCCAGAAACAGCATAAAAGTATGTCTTTCTCCATAACCTTGCCAGCATCTGTTGCTTTGATTTTTTGAAAATGGCCACTCTGACTGGTGTGAGGTGGTATCTCATTGTGGTTTTGACTTGCATTTCTCTAATGATCAGTGATGTTGAGCTTTTTCTCATATGTTTGTTGGCTGCATGATCTGTCACTCAGGCTGGAATGCAGTGGCGTGATTTCAGCTCACTGCAACCTCCACCTCCCGGGTTCAAGTGATTCTCCTGCCTCAGCCTCCCAAGTAACTGGGACTACAGGTACCCACCACCACGCCCGGCTAATTTTTTTTTTTTGTATTTTTAGTAGAGACAGGGTTTCACTATGTTGGCCAGGCTGGTCTCAAACTCCTGACCTTATGATCCACCCACCTTTGCCTCCCAAAGTGCTGGGATTATAGTCATGAGCCACCAGGCCCGGCCGAACGTCTTCTTTTGACAAGTGTCTGTTCATGTCTTTTGCCTACTTTTTAATGGGGTTGTTTTTTTCTTGTAAATTTAAGTTCTTTATAGATGCTGAATATTAGACCTTTGTCAGATGGACAGGTTGCAAAAATGGTTTCCCATTCTGTAGGTTGTCTATTCACTCTGTTGATAGTTTATTTTGCTCTGCAGAAGCTCTTTAATAAGATCACATTTGTCAATTTTTGCTTTTGTTGCAATTGCTTTTGATGTCTTCATGAAATCCTTGCCTTTGCCTATGTCTCGAATGGCATTGGGTAGGCAGAATTCTAAGGTGGTCCCTGAATTTCCTGTCCCTTGGTGCTCAGGCTTTGTAATCCCCTCCCCTTGGACAGGAGCAGGACCTGTAAATACAATATCACTCCCATGATCAGGTTATATGGCAAAGGTGAGGGGATTTTGCAAATGTGATTAACGTCTCCATTCAGTTTTTTGTTTTTTTGAGAAAGGGTCTTGCTCTGTCACTCAGACGAGAGTGCAGTGGCATGATCTTGGCTGTGAGCTCAAGCAATCCTTCTGCCTCAGCCTCCTGAGTAGCAGGGACTAGAAGCACATACCACCATGCCTTGCTAATTTTTGTATTTTTTGTAGAGACAGGGTTTTACTGTTTTGCCCAGGCTGGTATTGAATTCCTGGACTCAGGCAATCTGTCCAGCTTGACCTCCAAAGTGCTGGGATTATAGGCACAAGCCACCGTGGCTGCCCTCAATTCAGTTTGTCTTGAGTTAGTCAAAAGGGAGATTATCCTAGGTGGGTCTGAATAATCAGATGAAAACCCTTAAAAGCAGATCAGCTTGTTCAGAAGAGACTGATTTTCTTGCCGATCTCAAAGAACTGTCATGCTGCAGGAGGGCTACACAGCAAGAAAGTGTGGGCGCTGAGAATGACCCCCAGCTGACACCTATTAAGAAAACCGGGACCTCAATCCCATAACCAAAAAGAACTGAATTCTGCCAACAACCACATGTGCTTGGAAGAAAACCCTGAGCTCCAGGGAAGTGTGCAGCTTGGCCAATGCCTGAATTGCAGCCTAGTGAGACCCTGAGCAGAGGACTTAGTGACACTGTACTGGGACTCCCCACCCATGGAAACTGTGAGGTCATAAATGGGTGTTGTTTTAAGCCACGAAGATTGTAGTAGTAGCAGCAATAGAATATAGGAGACTTGCCAGAGGAAAGCTTTCCCACTTCTCTCTTATCCTCTCCAAACCCTTGTCCAGGCAGCAGCTGGGGTGATTTTTCAACACTGTGCATGAAATCATGTTTCTCCTTGCATCAAACTTTCTAATGGCTTCCCTTTGATGGAAGCCATCTCTACACTCCCACCAGAGCTCACAGGGTTGCATATGACTTGGCCCTTGCTCTGCCTGCATTCACTGTGCCATTCTTCTCCCTAGGTCTACACTCCATCCAGCAGGGCCTTCCTTTACTACCCAGAAGATACCACCAGGTGCTTCCCAAATCTGGAGCCTTCACACATGCTTTTGTCTGGAATATCCTTTACCTCACTCTGTGCCACTTCATTCTCATTATTTAGATCACATTTTCATAGAAGTCTTTCCTAATTCCCTGTTTAAACTACAAGCCTTGATTTCCAAAAGAGTTTTTCTGCCTTAAAGGTTTGCTGTCATATATTTGTGTATTTTTAATGATCGTCTCCACCCTTCCTTCCCTATTAGACTCTAAGCTCCTTGAGGGCAGGATGCAGGTCTATTTTATTTCACACTTAATATGTAGAACCCTGAACAGGGGGGTGGTGTGTAATTCACTAAAGCTACTTACTGAGACTTTTTATTCTCCTTCTATGAGATCAAGGTAGGACTGCTCTACTTGACCCGTGGAAGCTCCATGTGGACACATGATTTACTTTCACCCATTGAATGTGAAAGGGCATGATGATTATTACTTCTGGGTAGAAGATTTTTAGCATCAGTATATAAATGTCCACGCTTCTCTCTCCCTGGCCTAGCAACACATGATGTTCTGAATCTGCCTTGTTCTGTATAGTAGCCAGTGGCCAATTTTTGATTGTTGTTATTTATACTAATTAAAATTAAATAAAGTAAAAATTCAGTTCCTCAGTCACATTAGCTGCATTTGAAATACTCAATTGCCACCTGTGACTAGTGGGTACCATTTCGGGCAGTGCAGATATAGGCCATTTCCATCATTACAGAAAGACCTATTGGCCAGAACTGCTGTGGATGCTGGAGGCTTGTGTTTCTAAGTAAGGAAGACATAGAACAGAGCCACCAGTTGCTTTAATAGGCGTATTATTTGAGTGTGAAATAACCTGTGTGTCAGCAACTTACATTTCAGATTTGTTTGCTACTGCAGCAAAATCCAGGCTATCCTCACTGTTGAATGTAGTCACTAAATAATTACTTGCTAAATACCTTAAGGATTAAATTTCATAAGGGAGATTTGCATGAAGGATGAGGAAGGAAGAGCTTTTAAGGGGGCTGAGCAACCTCAGCAAAGGCTTGGATCTGGGACATTAACAGGACCTCTGGGAGTCCTAGGGTTTATGTGAGGAAGCTTTAGACCTGAGAGAGGCCTGGAAGGAAGCAGGGAAGCCAGAGTTAAGAATCAGTGCACAGAGCATGAGGGGAAGGTCAGTGGTAGACCAAACCCACATATGACTCCTGAATCTCTTGAGCAGTTGTGATTTTCAGAGCCTACAACCTGAACTCATGTCTGATGCTGCTTTGCCCATTTAACTGCTATGATACGCTACCTCCCCAAATGGCGCATCTGTCAAATGGGGTATATTAGTCTATTCTCACACTGCTGTAAAGAAATACTGAGATTGGGTAATTGATGAATAAAAGAGGTTTAATTGGCTCATGGTTCTGCAGGCTGTACAGGTAGCATGGCTGGGAGGCCTCAGGAAACTTTCAATCATGGCAGAAGACAAAGGGGAAGCAGGCATGTCTTCACATGGCCAAAGCAGGAGGGAGAGAGACAAGGGGGAAGTGTTACACACTTTTAAACAACCAGATCTCGTGAGAACTCACTCACTGTTACTAGAACAGCAAGGGGGAAATCCACTTCCATGATCCAATCACCTCCCACCAGGCCACGCTTCCAATGCTGGGGATTACAATTCAACATGAGATTTTGGTGGGGACAAAAATAAGAACCATATCATTGAGATGACAAGCTTAGTTCAGAGCATTATTAATTTGCTAAGCAGAGCATACATGAAGAACCTGGAGGATGGTCAGTAGCCAGGAGGCTGTCCTTGTTGTCCCAGAATCGTGGGTAAGACCCACAGCCAAGGAAGAAACTGGAAATACACTATGTGCTTAGTCACAGTGAAAATGGCAGCCATTTCTGGCAATGCTTGCTTAAAGGTACCACTGAAGAAGGACTAGTCCCTTCTCTCTAACTTGACCTTGCCACCCTATTAATAAGATAAATGTGCAAGAAGAGCTATTATCTCTATTTCCCTCAGGGGCATGAGGTGAGAGGTACTCTCTCTCCCTGGAGTCTAGAGACAGTCCTCCAGGAAGCTTACTCGTAAAACTGGTGAGTGGTGCTACTACTCCCCTCATGCACCCCAGGTAGGGGAGAGGAGGTTGATTCCCTCTTAATGGTGATGAGATTTAGGACTGGGCATTAACATGGTAAAGAGGGAAAAACAATGACATTTAAAAGCAAACAGGATTGAATCTCAAAATCCAAAAGAAACCATTGGAATAAGTAGAAAGCACCTAAACCTCATGGAATTGGGCTAAAATACAAAGGGGGCTGTTCCTTGGCTGGGAAAGAGTGGGGGAGGCTTGACATGTGCTCCTTGAATGATATTATTAGGAAAATGTTTTTCTTGTTTCTATTCCTATAGCTTGGAACTTCTCCATGAGCCAGTTATCCTAAGGTGATGGCTGGGACATAAGCCCCTGATGACCTTCCCAGGTGCCACAGCTTATGAGATGTTTTAAGAATTGGCTCTTGAGTGCCCTTCAATTCCCTCTTTTGAGCTCCAAGTTGATGAAACATAAAGTAATCTTTAAAAGAAAGTATGGGGGATACAACTTGATATTCTTAGAGTATTTCTAGTTTTATAATTAATTCACGGATGAGAGAGCCATTATCTGATAGCATCCAGAAATGTGGAAATTATTCATTTCAGACAAGCAACCCTGGTCCTGTTATAGTTTTTGATTAAAATGAAAACTTACCAAGTTTTATTTCTCAAAATATGATAGCTTCACGGGCAATTGAAATCAGCTAGTTCCATTGTTGGGTTTCTAATTCCAGGGCTTATAATAATATTTTTTGGAGTCAAACATGACATAATGCTAGGACTCCTGGAGCTAGCAAAGATGACAAAGTATTTTTGCCACAGCAGGTACTCTGCAAAATCCTTTATTAAAAAGAGCTGCCATACACATGCTCAGAGTGTGATGGATTGTACAGAAATGAGGAGTGACATGCTATGAATTTACAACATTAATTTTTTTCCCCTAATTAAAGCAATGGGAATGGCCTCCAAACAGAATCTGGCTGGAGCTGGACAGGAATGATTGTATTCCCTAGCACTCCAGAGGATGGATTCTTGACCCAGTGTTCTTATAACAAGAGTGCTTGAATTAAACTATGAGCTGATGGCAAGAGGTAACTGACATTATTTAATTAAAAAGCCTGTCTACCCTGTTATACCTGACTTCTACTTCCACTTGATATGTGGACATTTTTCCTTTTTTAAAAAAGTGTGTAATTAGACTTGGTAATGTAGCTGTCCTGTTGACAGAGTAAACTCTCCTAACAGTAAGAGTGGCTGACTTCTAGACATCAGAAAGGTTCACGGAGTAATTCAAACTGTGATGATGTGTGCATTAGCAGCAATGAAGAAAATCTTGACAAACAATATCTACTAACAACTCTGACTGCCAGGGAAGGTGTGAATGACTTTGCTTTTTCTGCATGTTTCTTGCACCGAGGGAAATGAAGGCATACATATGTCTCCAGTAAGAGGTATTTAATGAGTCACAGTGATGGTACAGGAACAGACTAATATATTTTTCAAGGCTTTTGGAAGAGAAAGGGTGAGCGGCCATGTATTCGTGACAAGTGGATCACATCTGGAACAAAGAGGTATTCAGAAACAATAATGTGCCCCAAACAGTAGACTCTGTGGCTGCACCAGCCCATTTGTCCCCAGCTGTTTACTCATCTCCTAACTGTCAGTCAAGTCTTTCCCACAACTGATCCATACAGGACAATGGGAGTGTTTCTTTCATCCAGCAAATTTATAGCTTCCCTCCTTCTCCCAGAACTGAGGACATGACTAGGAAAATACACAAATTCCTCCACTTATTTCCATGGCCTCCTCCCACATTAGACTTTAATTTCTCAGTGTTCTTTAAATACCTCAGTTATTTCTCATCCCAATAAATTGGTTTTATTCTAATATTTTTCTCTATAGGGTGAGTAGCATCATTATTCACAACATGAACTTCAGAGCCTAGCAGCTCAATGACTTCCTAACTGAATGATCTTGGGCAAGTTCCATAATTCTCTTCTGCAAAAGGGAACATTAATGGTATCTATCATCAAAGAGTTGTTCTGAAGATGAATTGAAGTTATGTATATATGCCTAGAATACGGGGTGCACCCACTAAATGTTAGCTATGAATATTTACCATCATTATAATTATTATCAATGCACTAAGACCTGATATCACTTAAGCCCATTAAAAATTGCATTTGCAGAATGCTGGAATCGGTAATAAATTATAGAACCATAAGGGGGTCAAACTGTTTTAGCAAGAAGAGGGGAGCCCTCTTTATTATTAAATTCCTCTTGTCAACCGTCTTAGTGATGAATGATATCAGAAAGGCAGAGTTAAAAAATGAGAGGAAAGAAAAGTGGAAAAAGAAGGTGAAGAGGAGGAGAATTTCAGAATGCTGAGAATAAGAAAGAAGGGGTGAAGGTACATAATTCTAAAACTACATTCTTACCTTTTCCCCCCCGAAACCAGTGGTCTGACAGTCTTACCTCATGAGACCTCAGATCCCTGCTCACATGCCTTTGTAATCTTCTCCAAATACTTTCCTATCACTATGATTTAATTGTGTCCCTGCTGTACTAGAAATATCCTTCTTGCTATGAAAATCCCATCTACTTATTTGTATGTTCTCTTCAAACCACTGTGACTTCTTAGAGTCCACAGCCCAAAGACGGCAAACAGAGTTCACCTCAGGTACCATCTTCCATGGACTGGTTATGATCACTTGCTAAGCTATGTTAAAAAGATTATAAGTCCATGTCTGAGTTCAGTTACTTATGACTTTCCTCCTGCCTTGAGTTCACTCTTGTGCAAGATCATTTCACCTATTTCCCAAACTTTCTGAGGAATTCAATCACAAGAAGTTATATTGTGTTCTTCCTTCTATCAACAGTTCCACATGAATGCTTTGCATGCTGTAAATACTTGGTAATTACATATTGAATGACTGACATCCAGGAGTAGAAATTAAGGTATTTGAGTGAACAGAGACAGGCCCTATGACATCTCTTTCTTTCCTCTTGAAATTTGGCTCTCTGAACACCTACAATGTAAATCCTCATCAGCTCCTTTGAGCTTTTCAAAGGAAAATACTCATACATTTCTCATACCTGTAAAGGAAGATGTGTCTGGCACAGTCTGCAGAATTAGTCTCTGGAACACAGAATTACTCAATTTGTATTATTCAGTATCATTTTCTCTGTCCTGCAAACCACTGGGAATGGTAGGCCAAAACAGCAGGCCTACTGAAAGTAAACACATATCCACTCATCTCCACTGCAACTACATTGAAAAGGGTGTTCAAAGCCAGGGCACACAAGAGCTTAGACTTGGCAAAAATCACAGCTAGCTTGGAAAGAAAGTGACTACCCACAGTGGTGCCACTGAACTTTCCCTATTGACCACTGCTTCTCTCACTGGGTTCATGAAAAAGCCACAAAGAACCAACATGGCAGGGCATGCTGTCTGCAAGTCAGAATAACTATTGCAATTTTTGGGCTGCCTAGATATATGTGAGAGGGACAGCTTCTATGCTGGGGTACACAGAGTGAGGGGATGTATGTGTGTGTGCATGTGTGCCTGTGATGGTGCAGATGGGATTAGCTCAGTCAACTCAATTTTTCAGGACCATTGCTAATTTATTTAGTTAAAGCTAGAGAAGTATTGAGGTATTCACTTATCAATTAAGCAGGAGAGATGTTGCTTGGGTAGCTGTGACAAGGGCTAATATAGCTAGAGAAACATAAATGTCCACACCAAAGGATATGAAAGGGCTTTACATTCACCAGATTAGACCAAGGTTTCCCAATCTTGGCAATATTGACATTTTGGGCCAGATAATTCTCTGTTAGAGAAGGGAGCTGCCCTGTGTACTGTAGAATGTTGAGCAGCATCCCTGGCCTCTACCCACTATTGGCACCCACTCCTAGTTGTAACTACCAAATTGTCTCCGTATATTGCCAAATGTTCCCTGGAGGAAAATTCACTCTTTATTGAAAAGTATTGGACCAGACCTTTCTTTTAGTTTCATGAAGTTGAGAGAGACATTAAATCAACACAGAATCCCTTGGCGATATAGTTTCACAAATTATACACATGTACCTTATGTTTTATCACTCAGCACTGCCTTAAGAGAAATTTGTGTGTCCCAATCAGCAATTGTGTTAAAAGTTTCTTCAACATATTAAATAGTTTTAAAGAACACATATTTTTAATTTGAAACATATTAGCCTACATTAATCAGCATATTTTATGCAGATAGAATTATATATCCAAAGACAAACTATAATCATACATAAATCATGGCAAAGCAGGGAGTATAATTAAATTAGAAATGAATCTACAAAGAAAATACAAGCACAAAAACATATAGAATAAGTATGTCCCTTGCTGCATCCTTTTTGGTATTGCTATAAATTTGGGGAAAAAAGAAATATGTAGAGTGGGAGTTGGATATACATTTTGCTCGTCAAAATACACTAGCACAAATAGATTTATGAGCAGGTATAGTTCACTGCTATCATCACTAATCTGGATTTACAAACATCTTGGCTTCCCAATGAGAAGGTGAAGGAAAACAAATAAAAAACCTCATTGGTATTAATTGAATGACAAAACAATGGGAAAGATACACTGTATTACAAGTGTTGACTAAAAATCTTCATGCCATTCATTCATAGGCATTCCTTCTATTTAAGGTTGGCTACTACTCATTAACTTATTAGATAGACATGGTGTGAAGAAAGGGAAACCAAGGACAAGTGACTTTTTTTTTTGAGATGGAGTCTCACTCTGTCACCCAGGCTGGGGTGCAGTGCCATGATCTCAGCTCATGGCAACCTCTGCCTCCCGGGTTCAAGTGATTCTCCTACCTCAGCCTCTGAAGTAGCTGGGACTACAGGTGCCCACCACCAGGCCTGGCTAATTTTTGTATTTTTAGTAGAGATGGGGTTTAACCAAATTGGCCAGACTATTCTTGAACTCCTGACCTCAGGTGATCAGCTGGCCTCCGCCTCCCAAAGTGCTAGGATTACAGGCATGAGCCATCATGCCCAGCCAACAAATGACTTTGGGCAAACTTTCCAATTCAATATTTTTTCCAGCACAAAGAGAAGCATTTAATCAAATTGCTTTTGCCAAGCAAATTGACTATTAACTTATCAGATCCAAGGCTTGATTGAATAAAGGCAGTTTTAAGTGTAGTTCTTATCACTAGGAAAAAGAGTTAGAAACACATAAAGTCACCTCAGCATTATACTTAGATTGGATAATTTAACTAAGCAGTATTTTCATGAAGTTCAGTCATTATCATTTCCCATTTTAAAAGCAAAGAAATTTTAAAATCAAACTTATTTTTAAACTCCTGACAGCTCTCTTTTGCTCACTGTTTACATCTTTTAGTTTAAGGGAAAGGCTTCCTACTTCATTTGATAAAATTTGGCATCTTTTATTGTTAGTGTATTTTGTATTTTGCTTGAAAACAGGCATCTTCAAAAGAAGAAAGTCATCTCTGAACTGAATTGGCATTGTTTACACTTCTATTGTGAAAGACATTCCTTTGTTTGCTGAAATACCTTCTGTGTCTCCATTCTAAGAATCACCACGTGAAAATACTGATGGAATCTGCTCTCTATATAAAATGTAGCCAGCTGATGCAAATAAACTCCTAATATACTTATGAAAACACGAAGCATTTTATTTTGTGGACTGATATTAACGTCTTCTATGAATCTACACATGTAATCAAATGACTAGAGTTAAAAGCAAAAGCCAATCCTCCAGACTCAGCCCAGAGAATACTGCCTCTAGAAGCTACCAGGAGCAGCCAGCCCCTCTTTCCTATTTGCTACAGTATTTTGAACATAGTCCCTGTTAGCATTCAGCCTGCTGTATTAAGATGATTTATTTTCATGTCTTTCTCCCCTAGCAGACTGAACTACCGGAGAGGAATGAACACTTCTTATTCATTGGACTAACTTTCAAAGATTGTCCTTTCATGATACTGAGCATATTTACAATAACTTATCTAGTGCCTGCCTTCCCTGCTGGACTGTTAGTAGGTGGCAAACACCGATAATAACGTACATGGAACTGAAGATGTGCTAGGCCTTGTTCAAAATGTGTTGATAAAATCCTTTTTATTACTTACAACTTCATATGAAGTAACTACGACTATTATTGGTGCAAATGTAATTGCAGCTTCTTTCATTACTTTCAATGACAAAAACTGCAATTATTTTTGTACCAACCTAATATAATCTTTATATTGTCACTGAGAAACTCAGTAACTGAGAGGTTAAGTAACCTGCCTGAAGTAATGGAGGTGCTAAGTCAAGAGCAAGGATTTGAACCCAGACAGTCTGGTCAGAGGCAATTATGCTAAATCATTATGTTATACTACCTATAGACTATCAGGGCCCTCAACAATATTTGGTAAATGGATAAGAGGAGGAAGAGAAAAAAACGAAGAAATGAGGAAAGAAGCAAATGAACAAGGAACACATAGTCATCAAATTTTTGCTGAATAACTGAGGAGTAGAATCTAATTTTTACAGCAAGAAAAACTAAGTATTGGCCGGCACGGTGGCTCATGCCTGTAATCCCAGAACTTTGGCAGGCTGAGATGGGCAGATCATTTGAGGCCAGGAGTTTGAGACCAGCCTGGTCAACATGGTGAAACCTCATCTCTGCTTTTTTTTTTTTTTTTAAAAAAAAAGCAAAACAAAAATTATCTGGGGGTGGAGGTGCATACCTGCAATCCCAGCTACTAGGGAGGCTGAAGCATGAGAATCAGTTGAAGCAAGAGAATCAACTTTTTGTCTCAACAATAACAACAACAACAACAACAAAGAAAAACTAAGTGTCTCATACACAGACACACACGCGTACACACATACATACACACACACAAAGTTTCTAGATGCTACAATCTATAGTATCCCTAAATGATTTAAGTTGAATAGCTATTAAAATAGTAATCTTGAAGAATTATTTGTGGTATGCACAAAGTGCCGGCGCTAATGTTGACTGAAAAAAGAATATAAAATAGCATATATTAGCACTATCTAATAGAAATATTATGAGAGACACAGACATGAGTCACATATGTAATTTTTTTTTTTTTTTTTGAGACAGAGTCTCGCTGTCGCCCAGGTTGTAACACAGTGGCGTGATCTCCGCTCACTGCAAGCTCCGCTTCCCAGGTTCACGCCATTCTCCTGCCTCAGCCTCCCGAGTAGCTGGGATTACAGGCGCCTACCACCACGCCCAGCTAATTCTTTGTATTTTTAGTAGAGATGGGGTTACACTGTGTTAGCCAGGATGGTCTTGATCTCCTGACCTCGTGATCTGCCAACCTTGGCCTGCCAAAGTGCTGGGATTACAGGAGTGAGTCACCGTGCCTGGCCCACATATGTAATTTTAAACGTGTTAGAAGCCACATTTAGAGTTAATAGGTGATGTTAATTTTAATAATTTATTTTGTTTAACCCAACAGAGCCAAAATTTTATTTCAGTAATCAACATAAAAATTATGAAGTATTTTACAGTTTTTAATAATAAATCTTATAAATCTAGAGTATATCTTCCTCTCATAGCACATCTCAAAAAAGACTATATTTTAAAAGCTCAACAGCTATATGTGGCTAGCAGCCACCATCTTGGACAGTGCAGCTACATAATATTTCTTTTAAACAAAGTCACTTGGTTAGCCCTTCTGTCTATACCTATTTACATGGAAAACTGTTGGCAGAGAATACGGCAACTTATTCATTGCAGTTATCTTTAGGTTGAAGAGCTATAGGTACCTTTTCTTTTTTTTTTTTTAAGACAGAGTCTCACTCTGTGGAGTGAGTGCAGTGAGTGCAGGCTGGAGTGCAGTGACGCAATCTCAGCTCATTGCAACATCCGCCTCCTGGGTTCAAGTGATTCTCTTGCCTCAGACTCGTGAGTAGCTGGGATTACAGGCACCTGCCACCATGCCCAGAAAATTTTGTATTTTTAGTAGAGACAGGGTTTTCCCATGTTGGCCAGGCTGGTCTCGAACTCCTGACCTCAAGTGATCTGCCCACCTTGGCCTCCCAAGGTGCTTGGATTGCAGGCATGAACCACCGTGCCTCTCTCTTCATTCTTTAAAAACTATGTTCAAGGGTTATTACTTTTGGAATCATAAAAACAAAATATTACAGTCTCTACTTACAGTCTCTCAAGAAATACAAATATTATTAAAAGGAGTAAAATTAATATGTAAGACATGGGAGTGAATTCAACATCGTATTCTTCTATGTTCTGAAACTAGCACAATGGTCAACGTTCTGGTGGAATATGAGAAGGGAATGAAAAAGACACCAGTGGCTTTGAGACAATGGCCCCACAAAATGGAAATGCTACTAGGGACTACAGCTTTTGTAATGGGAAGCTAGCTTTTACATACAAATCCTCCCATGGAAAAACAAGAAGTGCTAGATAAATGATCAAATAAGTCTTCTTAAAAACAACAAACAGAATAGTAAGACATTAGTAAGCCAAAAATGGAAGAAAAACTGAAAAGGCAGAGAATTAAACAGGGAATAGAAGCTATGCTCTGAGGGTATTTGCTGGTCTTTTCAAGTTTAACTTTAAAAGGCTCTCAGGGAGAAGTCAGAGCCCACGGAAACATACACATTGGAGATTCTGATAGGAGACTCTCCATGGACAGTCTAGAACTCTAAAGGCCTCCATCACTAGGGAAAGTGTAAAGTGAAGATGAAATAAAACCCCAAATAAGTAGAATGAAGAGAGTAATTAAGATAAAAGGGGACACCAATTATGTGGAAAACCAGCAAACAATAGAGAAGAAGCAATGAAATCAAAGACTGTTCTTTGAATGAAATAATAAAATTGATAAATCTCTAGTCAGACTGATGCTGATGAAAGAAAGCATGAATTACCCATAGCAGGAATTACAAATCCTACATTATTAAATGAATAGCGATGCAATGTTATAAACAATTTTATTTCAATAGACTTGTTAACATAGAAGAAATGGACAAATACTTTGAAAGATGCAGACTACCAAAACTAACTTAACATGAAATATACAACTTGAAATAGTTCTCTATTAGAGACATTCTATAAACATACTGCAGGCCCAGTTTTATTGTTTAGTGTTATCATGAAATTAATGAAGAAATAATACCAACCCTATAAAGACTCCATTGAAGATAAAGGAATAACGAACCCTTCCCACCCTGAGTCCAGTACCAGCGTAATAATAAAACCAGAAAAAGACCTTAAAAGAAAACTAGAGTTGAATACTCTTTAAAAGACACAAAAATCTTCAACAAAATATTATTAAATCTAGACATACGTAAAAAATATTTTGACCAATATTATAAGAGACACAGACATGAGTCACATATATAATTTTAAATGTGCAATAAGCCACATTTAGAGTTTAATAGGTGATGTTAACTTTAATAATTTTGTTTAACCCAATAGAGCCAAAATTTTATTTCAGTAATTAATGTAAAAATTATGAGGTATTTTACATTTTTTAATAATAAATCTTATAAATCTAGAGTATATCTTCCTCTTATAGCACATCTCAAAAAAGACTGTATTTTAAAGGCTCAATAGCTATATGTGGCTAGCAGCCACCGTCTTGGATTGACCCAAGGAACTCAAGATTGGTTTAACCCCAGGAACTGAAGATTGGTTTAACATTTAAAAATCAATTAATGTAAATTGTTGTATTACTAGTATAAAGAAGAATGGTCATCTTGATGCATGGAAAAATATATCTGGACATGATGTGATGCCCATCGATTATAAAAACTCTTAGCAAGCCAGCTAGTGAAGAAAATTCCTTCAACCTGGTAAAGGGAATTATGGGAAAAAAAAAGCTCTTAAATAACAACTGGGTCAAAGAAGAGATCACAGGGGAAATTAGAAAATACTTAGAGATGAATTTAAATGAAACACAATAAACCAAAGCTAACAGGATGCAGCAAAAGCAACACCAAGAGGGGTGTTTAGAGCTGCGAATGTATACTTTAAAAAAGATCTCAAATCAATAAACTGTACACCTTAGGAACTAGAAAAAGAAGAGCAAAGTAGACCTAAAGGTAGCAAAAGGAAAAAAAATAGAAAGATTAGAGTGGACATAAACTAGAGAAGAGAAAAACAACAGAAAAATCAAGGAAACAAAGTGTTAGTTATCTGAAAAGATCAACAAAATTTAAAAACCTTTAACTAGACTGACAGAAAAAGAGAAAAATCTTAGAATTACTAAAATCAGAAATGAAAGTAGAGGCATTCTAACTGATTTTACAGAAATAAAAAGGATTAGGCTAGCCTGGGCAACATAGCAAGACTCTACCTTTAATTTTTTTTTTTTTAATTAGCTTGGCATGGTGTCATGTGCCAATAGTCCCAGCTACTTGAAAGTCTGAGGTGGGTGGATGCTCGAGCCCAGGAGTTTGATGCTACAGTGAGCTCTGGTTGCACCACTGCACTCCACCTGCAGTGACAGAGTGAGACTCTTTTTTTAAAAAAAGGATGAAAAGAGAATACAATGAACAATTTTACACCAAAAAACTAAATAATCTAGATGAGACGAGCATATTCCTAGAAAGACACAAACTACCAAAACTGACTAATAAAAAAATAGAAAATCTGAATAGATATGTAACCTTTAAAATAACTGAATAAAAATCTTCTCAGCAAAGAAAAACCCAAGACTGGATGGCTTCACTGTTGACTTCTACCAACAATTAACAAAGAACTAATGCCAATCTTTCTTAAATTCTCCCCCACAAAAAGTGGAAGAGGAGGAAACACTTTCCAGTACTTTTTGTGAGGCCAGAAATACCCTGATATCAATACGGCACAAAAATACTACAAGAAGAAAAAAACTCTACAGACTAATATCCCTTAATATCTCTTAATGTAAAAATCCTCAAAAATACTAGCAACCTGAATTCAGCAGGATGTCAAGAGTGAGATTCATTTCTGGGATACATGGACAATTCAGCATACAAAAAATGATAAATGTAATACGTCACATGAACAGAAGGAAGAAAAAAATAACAGGCCGGGTGCAGTGGCTCACGCCTGTAATCCCAGCACTTTGGGAGGCTGAGGCGGGTGGATCACGAGGTCAGGAGATCGAGACCATCCTGGCTAACATGGTGAAACCCCATCTCTACTAAAAAATACAAAAAAAAAATTAGCCGGGCATGGTGGCGGGTGCCTGTAGTCCCAGCTACTCGGGAGGCTGAGGCAGAAGAATGGCGTGAACCTGGGGGGCGGAGCTTGCAGTGAGCCAAGATTGCACCACTGCACTCCAGCCTGGGCAACAGAGTGAGATTCTGTTAAAAAAAACAAAGCAAAAAACAGAATCATCTCCATTAACAGAAAAATCATTTGACAAAATTTAACACCCTTTCATGATAAAAATACTCAATACACTAGAAATAGAAGGGAACTTCCTCAATATGATAAGGGCTATATATGAAAAAATCACACCTAACATTATACTCCATGTTGAAAGCATGAAAATTTTTCCTCTAAGATAAGGAGGAAGAGAAGGGTCGCTTTCACCACTTCTATTCAATATAGTACAAGAAGTTTAGTCAGAGCAATTAGATAAAAGGGCATACATATTGAAAAGGAAATAGTAAAATTATCTCTGCTTTCAGATGACATGATTTTATCCATAGGAAACCCTAAGGATTCCACAAAAACTTTTAGAACCATTAAATGAATTCAGCAACGTTGCAGGGTACAAAATCAATTCACACAAATAAGTTGCATTTCTATACACTAGCAATGAACAATCCAAATAAGAAACTAAGAAAACAATTTTTTTACAGTAGCATCAAAAAGAATAAAATACTTAGGAATAAGTTAACTGTGGAGACAAAAGACCTGTACACTGACAATTATAAACTGCTAGAAAAACTAAAGATGACATAATCAGGTGGAAAGACATTCTATGTTTATGATTTGGAAGAATATTGTTAAGATGACAATATTACCCAAAGAAATCTACCAATTCGATGCAAGTCTTATCAAAATCACAATGGAGTTTTTTACAGAAAAGAAAAAAACAATGCATCCTAAAATTCATATGTAATCTCTAGAAACTCCCAATGACCAAAACAATCTTGAAAAAGAACAGAGTTGGAGACATCATACTCCCTGATATTAAACTATACCACAAAAGTATACTAACCGAAACAGTGTGGTATTGGCATAAGGCACAGACTAAAGGGAAAAAACAGCCCAGCAATAAACCCTCATAATTATGGCTCATTGATTTGATTTATTTTTTTTTTTTTGAGACGGAGTCTCTATCACCCAGGCTGGAGTGCAGTGGTGCGATCTCAGCTCACTGCAACTTCTGCCTCCCAGGTTCAAGTGATTCTCCTGCCTCAGCCTCACAAGTAGATGTGGTTTTGCCATGTTGGCCAGGCTGGTCTCGAACTCCTGGTCTCAAGTGATCCACCTGCCTTGGCTTCCCCAAAGTGCTGGGATTACAGGTATGAGCCACCATGCCCAGCCCAGGACTTGTCTTTTCAACAAACAATACTGGGAAAACTGGATATCTGCTTGCAAAATAATGAAGTTGGACTTTTATGCCATATACAAAAATGAACTCAAAAGGAATCAAATAGCTACAACTATAAAACTCTTAGAAGAATACACAGCAGAAAATCTTCATCACATTAGATTCGGCACTGATTTTTAAAAACGTGACACCAAAAGCACAAATAGATAAATAGCAACAAAAAAGCAAATAAATAAATAGGACTTCATCAAAATGTAATGCTTCTGTGCATCAAAGAACACCAACAAGAATGTGAAAAGGGAATTCAAAGAATGGGAGAAAATACTTGGAAATATTACCTGGTAAGTGATTAATATCCAGACTATTCTATGACTCAAAAACCACACAATTAAAAAAATGAGCAGAAGACTTCAATAGGTACCTCTCCAAATAATCTATACAAATAACTAATAAGACATAATATGTTCAACATTACTGATCATTAGGGAATGTCAAAATCAAAATCACAGTGACATATCACTTCACGCTCATTATGAAGGCTATTATAAAAAACTGGAAAATGAGTATTGGTGAGATATAGGGAAACTGGAACCCATGAGCATTGCTGTTGAGAGTGTAAAATGGTGCCACTGCTTAGTGGCAGTTTGGTTTCCACAAAACCTTAAATAAAGAATTACCATTCTATTCCCATACAATTACCATATGATCCAGCAATTCTACTCCAGGTATATACACAAAAGAAATGAAAGCAGGAACTCGAACAGATATTTGTACATAAATGTTCATAGCAGGATTATTCACAATAGCCAAAAGGTGGTACCAACTCAAATGTCCATCAACAGATGAATGGATAAACAAAATGTGGTATATCTATACAATGGAACAGTATTCAGCCATAACAAGAAAACAAATTCTGGTATGTGCTACTACATGAATGAACCTTGAAATTATCATGTTCAGTGAAATAAGCTAAACACAAAAGGACAAATATTGTATGATTCCACTTATTTGAGACACTTACAACAGGCAAATCCAAAGACACAAAAGTTAGAGTTTACCAGGGTCTGGGGGGAGGGACAGATGGGGAATTATTATTTGATGGGTACAGAGTTTATGTTTGGGATAGTAAAAAAGTTCTGGATAGAGATAGTGGTAATGGTTATACAATATTGTGACTATATCTAATGCCACTGGTCTGTACACATAGTTAGAGGTAACTTTTATATTAAATATGTATTTTACATGACAAAAATAAATTTAAAAATACTAGCACAAACATAATAAAGATAAAAAACTAAATGCTCACAGAAGGATGTCCAGTATTAAAAATGGTACTGGAGGTCCTAGCCAGGGGAAAAAAGCCATAAATCCTTTTTGGAGACCTGATGTACGGTGTGAATGACAATAGTTAATAAAAACTTATTAAATCTGTGAGGCTGGCAAGATGGCTGAATAGGAACAGCTCCAGTCTGCAGCTCCCAGCATGATCAATGCAGAAGGTGGGTAATTTCTGCATTTCCAACTGAGGTACCTGGCTCATCTCACTGGTACTCGTTAGACAGTGGGTACAGCAGCCCAGGGAGGGTGAGCAGAAGCAGGGTGCGGCGTTGCCTCACCCGGGAAATGTAAGGGGTTGGGGAACTCCTTCTGCTAGCCAAGGGAAGTTGCGAGGGACTGTGCTGTGAGGAACAGTGCATTCTGGCCCAGATACTATGCTTTTCCCATGGTCTTCACAACCCACATACCAGGAGATTCCCTCGGGTGCCTACACCCTGGGTTTCAAGCACAAAAGTGAGCAGTCATTTGGGCCGACACCGAGCTAACTGCAGGATTTTTTTTTTCATACCCCAGTGGCACCTGGAATGCCAGTGAGACAGAACCACTCACTCCCCCGGAAAGGGGGCTGAAGCCAAGGAGCCAAGTGGTCTAGCTCAGTGGCTCTTACCCGCACAGAGCCCAGCAAGCTATGATCCACTGCTGTGAAATTCTCACTGCCAGTACAGCAGTCTGAAGTTTACCTGGGATGCTGGAGCTTGTTGTGGGGAGGGGTGTCCACCATTACTGAGGCTTGAGTTAAGTGGTTTTTCCCTCACAGTGTAAACAAACTGGCCTGGATGTTCAAACTGGGCGGAGCCCACCACAGCTAGGCAAAGCCGCTGTAGTCAGACTGCCTCTCTAGATTCTTCCTCTCTGGGCAGGCCATCCCTGAAAGAAAGGCAGCAGCCCCAGTCAGGTGCTTATAGGTAAAACTCCCATCTCCCTGGGACAGGGCA
Source organism: Homo sapiens (assembly GCF_000001405.40). Classification (NCBI taxonomy): domain Eukaryota; kingdom Metazoa; phylum Chordata; class Mammalia; order Primates; family Hominidae; genus Homo; species Homo sapiens. The sequence continues at coordinate 68,686,072 of NC_000003.12, read as the reverse complement.
ACTGGGGGAAAGGATGGTGGTGGGCACAGCTTCAGCAGACTTAAATGCTCCTGCCTGCTGACTCTGAAGAGGACAGTGGATCCCCCAGCACAGTGCTTGAGCTCTGCTAAGGGACAGACAGCCTCCTCAAGTGGGTACCCGACCCCCATGCTTCCTGACAGGGAGAAACATCCCAGCAGGGGTTGACAGACACCTCATACGGGAGAGTTCTGGCTGGCATCTGGCAGGTGCCCCTCTGGGACAAAGCTTCCAGAGGAAGGAACAGTCAGCAATCTTTGCTGTTCTGCAGCCTCTGCTGGGGATACCCAGGCAAAAAGGGTCTGGAGGGTCCTCCAGCAAGCTCCAGCAAACCTGCAGCAGAGGGGTCTGACTATTAGAAGGAAAACTACCAAACAGAAAGCAATATCATTATCATCAACAAAAAGGACACCCACACAAAAACCCCATCTGGAGGACACCAACATCAAAGACCAAATGTAGATAAATCCATGAAGATGAAAAAAAAAAAAAAAGAAAAAAGAAAACAGTGCAAAAAGGCTGAAAATTCCAAAAACCAGAACGCTTCTTCTCCTCCAAAGGATCACAACTCATCGCCAGCAAGGTAACAAAACTGGATGGAGAATAAGTTTGACAAACTGACAGAAGTAGGCTTCAGAAGGTGGATAATAACAACAAACTCCTCTGAGCTAAAGGAGAATGTTTTAACCCAATGTAAGGAAGCTAAGAACCTTGAAAAAAGGCTAGAGGCATTGCTCACTAGAATAATCAGTTTAAAGGAGAACATAAATGACCCGATGGAGCTGAAAAACACAGCATAAGTATTTCGTGAGGCATACACAAGTATCAATAGCTGAATTGATCAAGCAGAGGAAAGGATATCAGAGATCAAAGATCAACTTACAGAAATAAAGTGTGAAGACAATATTAGAGAAAAAAGAATGAAAAGGAAGGAACAAAGCCTCTAAGAAATATGGGACTATGTGAAAAGACCAAATACACATTTGATTGGTGTACCAGAAAATGACAAGGAGAATAGAATCAAGTTGGAAAACACTCTTCAGGATATTATCCAGGAGAACTTCCCTAACCTAGCAAGGCGGGCCAACATTCAAATTCAGGAAATACAGAAACCACCACAAAGATACTCCTTGAGAAGAGCAACCCCAAGACACATAATCATCAGATTCACCAAGGTCAAAATGAAGGAAAAAATGTTAAGGGCAGCCAGAGAGAAAGGTCGGATTACCCACAAAGGGAAGGCCATCAGACTAACAGCAGGTATCTCTGCAGAAAACCTACAAGCCAGAGGAGAGTGAAGGCCAATATTCAACATTCTTAAAGAAAAGAATTTTCAACCCAGGATTTCATATCTAGCCAAACTGAGATTCATAAGTGAAGGAGAAATAAAGTCCTTTACAGACAAGCAAATGCTGAGGGATTTTGTCACCACTAGGACTGCCTTACGAGAGCTCCTGAAGGAAGCACTAAATATGGAAAGGAAAAACCAGTACCAGCCACTGCAAAACATATCAAATTGTAAAGACCATCAACACTATGAAGAAATTGCATCAACTAATGGGCAAAATAACTAGCTAGCATCCTAATGACAGGATCAAATTCACACATCATAGTATTAACCCTAAATATAAATGGACTAAATGCTCAAAGTCTGAGGATACAAAATTAATGTGCAAAAATTGCAAGCATTTCTATATACCAATAACAGACAGACAGAGAGCCAAATCATGAGTGAACTCCCATTCACAATTGCTACAAAGAAAATAAAATACCTAGGAATACAAGTTATAAGGGATGTGAAGGACCTCTTCAAGGAAAACTACAAACCACTGCCCAAGGAAATAAGAGAGGACACAAACAAATGGAAAAACATTCCATGCTCATGGATAGGAAGAATCAATATCATGAAAATCATCATACTGCCAAAAGTAATTTATAGATTCATCACTATCCCCATCAAGCTGCCATTGACTTTCCTCACAGAATTAGAAAAAACAACTTTAAATTTCATATGGAACCAAAACAGAGCCCATACAGCCAAGACAATCCTAAGCAAAAAGAACAAAGCTGGAGGCATCTTGCTACCTGACTTCAAACTATACTACAAGGCTACAGTAACCAAAAACAGCATGGTACTGGTACCAAAACAGATATGTAGGCTAATGGAACAGAACAGAGGCCTCAGAAATAACACATATCTACAACCTTCTGATCTTTGAGAAACCTGACAAAAACAAGCAATGGGGAAAGGATTCCCTATTTAATAAATGGTGTTGGGAAAACTGGCTAGCCATATGCAGAAAACTGAAACTGGACCCCTTCCTTACACCTTATACAAAAATTAACTCAAGATAGATTAAAGACTGAAACATAAGACTTAAGCCTTAATAACCCTAGAAGAAATCCGAGGCAATCATTCAGGACATAGGCATGGGCAAAGACTTCATGACTAAAACACCAAAAGCAATGGCAACAAAAGCGAAAATTGACAAATTGGATGTAACGAAACTAAAGAGCTTCTGCATAGCAAAAGAAACTATCATCATAGTGAACAAGCAACCTACAGAATGGGAGAAAATTTTTACAATCTATCCATCTGTCAAAAGGCTAATATCCAGAATCTACAAGGAACTTAAACAAATTTACCAGAAAAAAAAAAGCCTCATCGAAAAGTGGGCAACAGATATAAACAGACACTTCTCAAAAGACACTGGCCAACAAACATATATAAAAAGAAAGCTCATCATCACTGGTCATTAGAGAAATACAAATCAAAACCACAATGAGATACCATCTCACACCAGTTAGAATGGCCATGATTAAAAGGTCAGGAAACAACAGATGCTGGAGAGGCTGTGGAGAAATGGGAATGCTTTTAAACTGTCGGTGGGAGTGTAAATTAGTTCAACCATTGTGGAAGACAGTGTGGTGATTCCTCAAGGATCTAGAACCAGAAATATCATTTGACCCAGCAATTCCGTTACTGGGTATATACCCAAATAATTATAAATCATTCTACTGTAAAGACACATGCACATGTATGTTTATTGCAACACTGTTCACAATAGCAAAGACTTAGAAACAACCCAAATGCCCATCAATGATAGACTGGATAAAGAAAATGTGGCACATATACACCATGGGATACTATGCAGCCATAAAAAGGATGATTTTGCATCCTTTGCAGGGACTTGGATGAAGCTGGAAACCATCATTCTCAGCAAACTAACACAAGAACAGAAAACCAAACACCACATGTTCTCACTCATAGGTGGGAGTTGAACAATGAGAAGAGATGGATGCACAGAGGGGAACATCACACACCAGAGCCTGTCAGTGGGTAGGGAGCTAGGGGAGGGATAGCATTAGGAGAAATACCTAATGTAGATGACAGGTTGATGGGTGCAGCAAACCACTATGGCATGTGTATACCTATGTAACAACTCTGTACGTTCTGCACATGTATCTGAGAACTTAAAGTTTAATTTAAAAAATGTATTCAATCTTTGTAATTTGCTGAGAATAATTTTTAAGTATTCTTACTGCCAAAAAAGAGATGATTGTGAGGTGATTAATATTTTGATAGCTTAATTTTGTTAATCATTTATCAAGGTATATGTATATCAAAATATTATGTTGCAAACCTTAAATACACACTATTTTTATTTGTCAATTATACCTCAATAAATGTGGAAAAAAATAACATTCTAAAATAAGTGGTAAATTTCTTTTTGAAAAAATATAAGACCTTATAGGAAAAGTGAGAAAATAGTGAGATGATGCCAAGAAAATTGCCAAATATTTTCAATGGTGGGAAAGCAGCAGAAGACAGGAGCACAGCTGATATTTGACCAAGTAGAGAGTTTCACCAAACACTGACAAGTGTATATATTCCATTCTCAGTTGCCCGTGAAATGGCCCATGCTTTGTGATAATGATAACATTTTAAGAAAATTCACAGCAAGTTATGTAGAAAAGAAATCAAAACCAGCGCGAATCAAATTCTTATTGCCAGTAATTAGAGGTTGAGTAACCCACACATTGAGATAAGTTGGGGAGGTCTTTGGGCTGCATACAAAGAACTTGAGTTTACAGAGAGGTTATATTAAGTCTGTGTAACTGAGTATTGCTGGTTATTTCACATATGTTTCCCCCGCACTGGCTCAATTACAACCGGAGATAAAATGTTAAGTAGCCGTAAAGACATTCTGTTATATTCCTACAAACAACCATCACTGCAAGAAAGCATTTGGATGGAGAATGAGAAGAGTCACTGTCTTGGTGGTCTGTAGAGACCTGCCCCTTGAGTCTGCACAGAGAAAAATAGGGGTACTATACTCAAAGAGACAATAGAAAATTTCCTAAAAGTCCCTGAAGCAGAAGCAGTACAAGACACATTTAAGGGTAACATAGTAAAAGTTTAACCTATTGGAAACGAAATCTTCTAATGAATCTTGAAACCTTCTAATGAACCTTAGGTCAAAGAGTCATCATTTACAGGTAACATGAGAAGTACAGCCATTTCAACAGTGAAATCACAGACCTTTGGAAAGTATTGTTAATGAGACTTGTACTTAAAGTGTATAGTATGCAGGAATAGAAATCTTCGAAAGAAAAAAAAATCCTGGTCTTCAACAGTTCCACTGAAAAGGAAAAAAATAGCAACAAATAAACATTCCGTTCAGTAATATAAAAAGAATAAAACAACTGACAAGGAGTTTGAAAGAATTAAGATTAAAGAATTAATTGAAAATAAAAAATGGAGATTTGAGAGAAAACTGTGAGAGCTGGATATATGTAAAAGGACAAAAAAATAGATTTTTGCTAGTTTGAATTACAAAAAAGACAAGACAACTTTGGAATGAGAAGGAACTTATTGGTATATCTGGAAAAGATTTTTAAACTATAAAAAATGCTGTATAAAGCTCATGTCTATTTAAAAATCTAAATTAAAGAAATGATTGAGATAAATATTTAAAATAGATTCATGATCAGCATATTCACAAAGTAAGTTGAAAATGGTAGAACAGATCTATGCCCTACAAAGGAGCAGGAGAAAAATATTATGTTGCTGAGTCTACAAAACTAATATGTTTTAGAGCATGTGTGAGGATGATGCTATCCAGTAATTTTGTTTTTCTCCCACTTCATATGTTGAAGTCCTAATCTTCAGTGTGAGTGTATTTGGAGACAGGATCTTTCAGAGGTAATTAAGATTAAATGAAGTCCTAAGGGTATGGCCCGAATCCAGTAGGATTAGTGACTTTAAATAAGAGACAGAGGGCTGTCTTTTTCTTGCTGCCACATGAAGATACAATAAGGAAGCAGCCATCTACAAGCTGGGAAGAAAGCCTTCTCCAGAAATGGAATCAGCCTGCACCTAGACCTTGGACTTCCCAGCCTCCAGATGTGTGAGAAATAAATTTGTTGTTTAAGCCACCCAGTCTGTGGCAGTTTGTTATGGCAACCTGAGCTAACCAATTACAGATGGAAACCTTCCCAATTTATTTTTATCAAAGTAACAAAACTAATTCCAAAACCTATAAATAGTACTGAAAAATTACGGACCAGTCTCCTAACAGTTTAAAAATCCAAAAGAAAATATTGAATGAATTCAGCAAAGTATTCAAAGAATTAACTTTTGCTACAATTAACATTGTAGTTTTACACTAAAGCAGGATCAGAATAGTTGAACACTTGTAGTTTTATTAATCTCATATGTATATAAATAGGCTAAAAGAAGGGTCAAAAAACTTTTTTCTGTAAAAGGCCAATGAATATGTTAGGCCCTGTGCAAAAGCAATCTCTGTTGTAAGTACTCACTTCTTTCATTGTGGCCCCAAAGTAGTGTTAGGTAATATGTAAATAAATGGGTGAGGCTGTGTTTCAGTATAACATTATTAAAACAAGAGTGGGTTTTGCTAACCTCTGGGAAAAGGAAGAAAAAAAAGATTTTATATATCTAGAGGCTAGAAAGGGATTTGATTGAATTCCACATATAGTACTTTAAATAGAATTCTCAGTAAAACAATGAATAAAATCAATCTTATGAGCATAGATAATCTTTTATAAGGAAACATGAGAAATGCAGCTTTTACAGTCAGGAAAAAAGTTACTGATGCCTAGTATTTTATTGCTATTATTCAATGTTGCACTAGATGTCTTAGTCAATGCAACAACACAAAAAATAAATGACAGTCTAGCAGAAAAGATAACTTCTATACAATAAATTTTTTTCTATCCTAAAATGCAAGAAAATCAACTTAAAAATTATTAGAACAGATGCAGATTTGCATTGTGTGGTTAGATAAAAGATAAATATACAGAAAGATCAATAGTGTTCTTTATTAAAACTGAAGAAGACTCCCAAATAATATTATTCTCTGGAACAGTGACACATCCTGCTAAGTGATTAGGCCCTGCTGAAGGGAAACATGGCTGTTGTGAGCCACTGTTAGGGATAGGAGTTGATGGCATCATTAGAGTGGGATATATAAGGAAGTAACTATTGAGTCTCACTGAAGAATGTAAAGAAGTCATGAATCAAGGGAAATCTATCTGGTCCCCCCGGATGAAAAAGTTGGTCATTGTCTGAATAGTTAATCTCCAACAAAATCAGAAAAGCATGAATTTTAACTAGAAGTCATTCACTCATTTGCCAAATAAGTAGTCTAGCCACCCTTCTAAGGGCTTGGTTTCACTAAAGAATAAAATGCAAAGATTCTTGTCCTTGTAACTTCTTTCTGGCCCTTATTGAGATTACATTCTAGCCAGGCAAGATAGGCCATAAGCTATAAGCCTAATTACATATTTTAGAAGGTGGTTAAAGAGGCCTAAAAGCAAGAGAAGGAAGATCAAAAGTTTAGTAGCAGTCAATTTTAAAAAGCGGGGTTAGGTGTGCCCTTACTGATGAGGAGGTGACATTTAAGCAAAAGCCCAGAGGTCCAACAGGAATCCTATAAGGCTATCTGGGGGAGAAACATCTCAGGTCGAAGTTAGTGCCAAAGCTCTAAGACATGGATAAGAATTAGAAGGAATACAGGTAAGAGCAAGGAGCCAGCCTGACTGGAGTGGAATGAACATGTGAGGGGGTAAAAAGTAAGACGTGATGTCTGACAGGTACAGGAAGAGGTCATGTAGATCCAGCATTCGTTGTGTGAATCTATAGTAAAATGCTAATTATTAAATAGTACAATGTTAATATTACTGGAATAGGTTTCTTCAATTATATAATAATTGAACCTGCTATGTAGCACGGCAATAAAAGAGCCTCAATAAAATAGAAAAAGTCATTTAGAAGAGCTAAATATTTGATAATTCATATAAGATAGGTTTGGTGTTCCAAATTTAGAATAGCCATCTTTGCAGGGAGGGGGGTTGGTAAGGGAGGGAAATGATCTAGTTGAATCATACCATGGAAGAAGAGGCAGGAGATTTGGAGTGCAAGATGGACTTGGCCTGTTATTGCTAGCTTTGAATACAGAGGAAGCAGGCCCCGGCAGGAGTCAGAAGGCTGGAATCAGTCTTCGTGTTGTCACTGGTTGGTCCTGTGAAAGTTATGTAGCCTCTCCGGGCCCTGATTTCCTCAGTCCCTGTCACTGTTCCCTTTCCAGAGTGCCACTGAACACATATCAGTGCACAATAGTGAATAAGATCCTAGGGTTGTGGGGTCCAAACTTTAGTTCAAATCCTGACTTGACTAGAGAGTAGCTGTGAGACCATGATATTTATCTAACCTCTGCTTTTCATAGTTCCCGTGTGCAAAGAGGACCACAACCCCTATTATAAAGGCATGAATGGAATAGATATATAATACATATCATGTAGTTTGATACTTAGGTGCTCAGTAACTTTGTCCCCTTTTCTTTATGAGAAGTAAAATATTCTTGAAATAGGAGAACAATAGTAATAAAAGTTTACTTATTTGTGTTCTAGGCACTTTTTATTACCTACAACTTCATAAGATCAGTGTCATTATTCCCGTGTTACTGATCAGAAAACTGAGGCTGTAAGGGATACAAAACTTGCTCAAATAGTAAATAGACTATTTAGTAAATAGAATAAGTTTAATAGTAAATAGAATAAGTCTAACTTATTCCAGAGCTCAACTTTTAATTGCTACCATTTAATGCCTTAATAATTACCCATGTATGTAAGACATTTTGCATACATTACATATTGTACCTAAAAATGACCCTGTTAAGATAAAGTCTCAATTTTCCTTTTTGATCTTAAATTGAGGCAAATAGTTTGCTGGCACATAAAGCTGTTTCCTTAGAGAATTAGAACAATTATAAGCTTCTCAGGAGTCAGTAAATGGTGACGTCTGTCAAAAAGTGAAATATTACAAAGGCAGTTGCTATTAATTTTTAAATAACTGCTGGAGCCTACTCCTGACAGCAAGAAGCTCCGTATATATATTCTGCCTAATTTGATGGGGATGAACTTCAAAAAACAGATTAAAATCTTTTTAGTTTTTTACCTAAAAGATAATTAGCTTGAAATATAACAGATGAGAATAAATCACAAATACTGTTATTTCAAAGACATTTCCTTCCACTTAATCCTGACTTGCTTGATGCCTTGATTCATAAAAAGTAATATTCCTTCTGTATGTAAGTTTTGCATTTTGTTCAGAAATACCATTCTTGTATTTTAGCCCCTAGATGGTAATTTCCAAGATTTCAGCTCCTCTCATTTGACGGCTATTCACAAATTGCTTGAAATCTCATGAGTATAAACAACAAATAAAGAAATATGGTAAAACTGAGAAATATCAGAAGGTCAAAGATAAAGTGAGGACATTTTTCTTTACAAGCCTGAAAGAAGTAGTTTGTTCAATTCTCCTTGCTGCATTGAAAGATCAAGAGTCATTCCTAAGTCCTTTTCCTGTGGCTTGCTTGTATCAGCTGGAGCTCTCACTAGCCTGGAAGGGACTTCAAGAAGACATATATGCCTGCCTGATAGTTTCAAGCAAGGTTTTACCCAATATAGCAACACAGGCATCTGGGCAGTGCTTGTAAAACTGAAATAAACATTTGTCGATCAAACCCAAAGTTTGCCCTAAAGGACTACGTTTTTTAGTATTATTTCATTTCTAGCAAAACCTCTACCTTCGGATCATGTCTAGAGGCCTAAACAAGGGCCAAGTCAATTTTCTTTTGTAACTTTGGCCGACATGCCTCATGCATCATGTCTTCTCCTAAGTTGTTTACCCCAAGTTACCATTTATTTTAACCATCTAAAAAATTACTCCTAATGCTACTCAGTATTTGGTTCTACTGATCAATACCAAAAACGAAATTCCAAATGGAATAATTTTCTTATTTTGTCATTCCAATTGGATCCACCAGCCACAGGAGACAAAGTGTTAGTACTTGGGTGCCAGAGTAGACAAGAAAGGGAAAGAACCTGTATTTGCTTTGGAAAATTATTCATCCTTTTACACATCATGGACTCTGGCTGCATATCTCTTAATGAAATGTTTCTAAATCTAACCAAACTGCCAGAAAGAAATTTGTAATAAAACCTGGCATTTTGTATCACTTTCTATTTTCTTTTTTTCACCTCATTACTATGACAAAAAGTATATTAGTCTCTGAACATTTCATCAGTTCCAAGAACTGTAGCTGTAGGCACTTCATAAAATGGAAATGGGTGACTTGGTTGGGTTCTTTATTGCATGAGTACCACACCCATAATTGTTTAGTTTGCATTGCATTTGCACACTCAAATCTTATACATGGTGTACCAGGCGGGGCTGGGAAGCTCGGTTGGTGACAGCAGAAGTTGTTGTCTTAAAACTGTTTGAGAGGTGATTTAGTGATTCGGGTTGTGCAATAGGTAAAAAACTAAAACATAGTAAAATATTGAATTATTCTAAAATAATACCTTACATATCCTCTTCCAGTGTCACTGGTATTTGTATTCTATGGTTCTGGAACCATTTGAGCAACCAGAGCCAATTCTCCAAAACTGACCCCACAAAACAACTGACTGGGGCAGACACAAAATCCACGTGTTCCGTAGGGAGCAAGTCTCCTCTGCTTCTCAAGCAGTCTAGGAAGGTTCATTGTTGGGCCACATGTGACAGTGATGGAGAATTTTGTCAGAGGGGGAGTTCTGAGCAGCTGGGATCTTCATCATGGCAGATGAGAACAGGATCGATATGCCAGTAATAAATCTTCTATCACTGAAGAAATTGGTGATCTGTTCTGCTATTTTTTGCTGTGACAAACTCTCAAAAGGGGGAAAATCCACGTTAATAAAAGGACTTTTTAAATACTAGGATTGGACTAATACATTTAAGGGAAGAGGGCCAGGGTCCACCTGGGACTCATGTTTAGATAGACATCAGCCCACTGTTTATCTTAGTGTTGAGAAAAATTGATTTTTTTTTTTCATAGATTCTGTGTTGCTTCCCCGACCCATGCCATTCAATAGTCAGGCCACAATCCTGGCTGACTGAGCCTTTGGTAGACCCCAGAGACACACCAGGAAATACGAAGCCATGGTACTCTAAGGGATTACATCTAGATGGAAAAGGAAAACCCTATTCTCAGAAACAATTAGTGAACAATTACGTTTTATGAATATTTTAAGAGATCGTTGCATTGTGGGGTAGCCAAAGAAATTTCACATAGTGGAAGGATTAAGCTTTAATGCTAAATTGAATTTAAATAGCACTTTATCTATTTGAATATTTGGCTGGATATGTTGTAATTTATATGGTTTCTCTTACCTCCTGAAAAAGTGAGCCTCAAACTCTCTGAGTGTTAGGATCACCTGGGGAATGCATTAGAGGAACAGTTTTGGATGCTCTCTCATACACACATGTGCCTTCAGACATTCAGAACTGAGCCTTTCCTTAGGTTATATCCTTTTTAGAACAGAGTCAGGTATAGTTTGTAAATTGTAGCAATTTCTCCTTTTGTGAACATTTAGAAATATTAATTTATCTCCACTTCTAACAAATGAATTGGAAATCTAACTAGGATTCAAATAAAGAGCCCGACTCGAGGCTGGCCACCTTGGGCTGCTGGCACAGGGCTGGGGAGGGGTCTCTGGGTGGGTACCTGCTGAGAACAAGAGGAGATAGGATAACTGTGGACAGCGGGATCTGGAAGAGATGAAAGGGACAGAGAAATTTGGCAGGTTTCCCATTATGTTGGGAAGTGTGGATACTGCAGTTTCTGTGGGCTTTGGGTCCTGATTCTGCCACATCCCAACCATGTGAACCTGCGCAAGTTCCTCAGCCCCTGTAAGTGGTAGGTCTTCAGCTAACTTGGATATCAGTGCTGCTTATCTGAACTGGTATTAATATGAGCAATATGAGCAATATTTATTTACTCAAGAGGGTTGTTGTGTGTGTTAAATAATTTAACATCTGTGAAACTTGGTAGAATAAAAGTCAATTAAATATTCTTTGTGCATTTAGTTTATTTTAAAATTTTCAAATATTCCATATCATTGTTTATATTGTCTTATTAAAATGGCCTATATGGTATGTCATAAATATGTTGCATTTTTAATAGTTCAGACTTTTTAAATTTTAACATGAAGAAAAATGGAGTGCAATCTCTTGGGCCTTATCCTGAGAGATTTTTAGCTCAGGAGCTGTGGGGTGGGCCCCAGGAATCTGCATCTTTGAAGCACTCCTGGGGATTGTATTATAGATAATACCTGAGCTACCTTTTGAAAAATAGTATATATACTCAGAGTTCCTTATTGCGAAGAGAAATATTCTGTATATTCTGTATATATATGTGGGGAAATCACACATTTATGGGTGCTCAGTAAATGTGTGATAAATGAAGGAATGAACAGTTAAATGAAAAGGAAGACTAATTCTATATTTCTCACCTTCAGTACTGTTAACATGTTGAGCCGAATAATTCTTTATTGTGGGAGCTGTCCTGAGCATGGTAGGGTGTGTAGGAGCATCCCTGATTTCCACCCACCAGATGCCAATGGTACCCTCTCATTGAACCAGTCTCATAGGTTGATGCAACAGCATAAGAGAAGACCCCTAGCACTGTGTGGGGCACATAACATGCATTAAATAAACATTCGCACCATCGTGTAAATCATGGCTATTTCTTAAGACCATTTTGGATGTTGAATTTTTAAAATGACCTTCAGATGAATTGAAGGAAGCACAGACTAGATAGAGCATTCCAACAGAAAGGGTTGCTTGCTGGTTCTGCAGGCCTTCTTGTAAGGTTAGATAATTATTTTCTCTTTCAGAATATCTGAATATGAACATAGGAAAAAAATTAATTTGATTTTGAGCATCCTTAGCAGATGTCTGGCCCTTAATTTGAAAAAAATGTTATGGGTTGTAATTTATCAGTGTGATTCCCGTTAATCCTGTAGGGAGTCAATGAATAAATCCATACACAAGATTTGAAGATGTAACCTTGGATAGGATCCACTTGTTATATTCATGAGAATTGTGATTGCCTACACATAGACACATTTCTCTTCTCCCTCTCCATTAAAATTTTAAAGCCACACACTTAGCAAAAGGAACTCATTTTGTCAAGAAAGCAAGTAGAAAAAAGAAATTAAAAACGTGACTGTGATAAACATTATATTTACTTCAGTATTTAAACATTTGGCCTCTCCTATAGCTTTAACCAAACAACTGAGTTTCCCTGGGGTCAGAGGCAAATGAGGCTGTGGTGTGAACTAGAAGTAGATGACTTTGTGCTTTCTTGCATCGCAGGAAACAATGAGGATTAGTATCCTCATAGAAGCACACAAGGATGTGTACATCTCAGACTGAATTCTGCCTTTTACCTGGGGTTCAAAATAATGAATTAGGAGCTTTAGTAAGATAGGTAAAATAAAGGAAATACTCATCTTGCCTTCCTTCTGCCTGAATTCTACCATGTCAGCAGCTATCGCTGTAACAGCTATGGCAACTGCAACACCAACAACACCACAAAACAGTGCCTATTTCTACTAGAAGAACTGCTACTACCACTACCAGAGTCCTCTCCTGGCCTCTTCTCTACAACTGCTCTTACAATGCAATAACAACTACCATTGCTACCACATAGCCACAATGGTAATAGCTACAATGACAACAATAACACTACTACTAATACTATGCTACTTTTTTACTAATTCTGGAAAATAACTGTGTTGAGAACTTACCGTTTCATGGATTTCACCACCATCGTCTCACATAGGTATTATGACCCCATTTTGACTAATTAGTTTGACTCAGGTGCTCATAGAACGCAGTTTTAGGGTCCCAGAAGGCCCAGTCAAGGTGTAACTCTGGATCTCCTGTTCAATGATGTGGGGGCTTTACATTGTCTCCCAGGTGGCCATACAACCTTGGGCAGGCAACTTCACCTTCCCGGAACTTAGCCATTATGCTTATAGAATGCAGAGGATGGATTAGATAATTCATAAATAGGTCCCTCTATTCCTTCTCTGACTGACTGTATCACCATATTATGTGAGCTGAGAGCACTGCGGCATCACAGTGACCTATAACTGAATGTTCATTTTGTCCTCCGGGTTCCCATGGGGATGGCTGCCTAGAGCTGTGGTCTAGCCAACAGGCAATAATTGAATTTGTCCTCTCCTGGCCAACAGAACAACATTAAGATCAGGATCCCTAGCATCTACATCAGGAGCAGCGATGGAGTAGAACATTCTTATTTGAACTTTGCCTTCTTTGTGGTTCAAAAAATGATGACCATGGAAACCCCTTAAGTTAGACATCGTTCAAAAGCATATTAACTCAAGAGAAAGACTGAGGGAGGATTAGGAAGTGGGAAGAACAAGTTCAGGCCTTTCTGTAAATAAGAGAATTGTGAATGACAACAACATGCATAGTTTTGTTATTGATAATAGCAAAAAAGTGAACGTCACATATATGCCCATGAGAAGGGGGCTGGTTAAATAAATTATGAAACCCTTCTACAACATGACACCAAGCAGCCATTAAAAATGATTCCATATTTGATACAGAATGATACCCATTTAAGTAAATGACAAAATAAAATTGTTATATAGCATAATCCCATTCCTCCTCAAATTCTCAACATTTCAAACTCTACAAGTACAAGCAAACTTTAAAAAATATACAAAAATATCAGTCATAGGTACTTCTTGGCAGTGGGATTAAATACAGTTTTTGTCTGTATAAATTGTTGATCATAAGTAGAAAAATATAAAGCTATTTCTAATTAGGGAAAATTTACTTGTAGGGGGTTACAAGTATATTCTAGTGATATAGCCCGTCTTTGAAATGATTTTCCTCTCATCTCAACTTTGCAAATTGTCTGTAAATTTACATGCCACATTGGAAAATCAGGCCTCTTCTTGTTAGAAACCCAAATCGCTTATCTGGATCAGCCGTGTTATTTGGAAGCTTTGATTCTAAACAACCTGTGGCTTCTTATGAAAGCTAAATCCTCCCAGATGGAAATGGGATAATACTGGCATGTGCAAAAGGATGCTCCATGAGTTCTGACACCACCTCCTGTGAACATTGCTAGAACAAGGGCCAAACTTCAAAGACAACTATTTTGAAGGAAACAATACTTATTTAGACATATGCATTATAAGGTGTGAACTAAGAAAAGTACTTTTTAAAAAGCACATAAGTGAACACACAGAATGGCAGCCCTCTTTTTAGCATAATTTTATGCTAAAATTATATACAATTTTCAAATTAAGTCCTTTCAACCTCTAGTCTTGCCTCTCAGATTCAGTTTCATTTGCTAATCGATTTTCCTCCATCAGTTTTTGCTTTGTGCACAGTGCATTCTGGGCTCATTTTTTTTTCCTAGAGGCCTGGAGGTATTTTAATAGGCTGTGTCAACAAATGAGCTTAATTGATCCTGTTGGGCCTTCATTTATGCAAGGATGGTGAGGAGCGGATGGCTCAGTGCTCTTCTGAAAATTATAGTTTTGGAAAAATGCATTTCCATCTGATTTTATTTGCTGAAGGAAATATTCACTTCTGTGTTATTCAACATATATTAGTCACTATATTACAAGCATCCCCACTTTATTTTTTTGAGATACTCTGTCACCCCGGCTGGAGTGCAGTGGTGTGATTTTGGCTCACTGCAACCTCTGCCTCCCAGGCTCAAGCGATCCTCCCACCTCAACCTCCTCAGTAGCCAGGACCACAGGCACGCACTACCATACCTGGCTAATTTCTTATATTTTTGGTAGAGACAGGGTTTTGCCATGTTGGGTTGGTCTCAAACTCCTGAGCTCAAGTGATCTGCCTGCCTCAGCCTCCCAAAGTGCTGGGATTACAGGTGTGAGCCACTGGGCCCAGCCTATCTCAACTTTAAAGGACACGTTTTCCCAACTCTGCTGGTATGAACGCTAGACCACCATTTGGTAATTTATGGTAGCTGTTCTTCAAAGAGGTTCAATGGCTATCAAAGACCTTCTCGCAGTCTTCCCCCAAGAAAACCTTTGTGGGGTGAGAGTGAGAAGTAAAAGACCTATTTACCAGAGGACTATGATGGACCATGTAACGAACAATGCTTGGGCTCTAGCCCAAGAGCCATATCAAACTCGGGTCAAACATTTTTCTCGAGTGCCTCTCAATTCTCCCAGCCTACGTTTGTCCTCCCCACTATTCTCTTAGGCTGACCAAGACTCAGTGATTTAGCATCCTTCCTGTCTGTCTGTCCTAAACACATTCCTTAAAACAACTTCCAGTGCTGGCAACTTCATTCTGCTGGTAGTCTCCCAACACACACACTGCAGAAATGCTTTGATCACATCATTTTCCTATCCTCTGACCCACCTTCTGGTGTTCAGCCGTGCTGCTTGGCATTATTAACACATCGGTTCAGTCTCCCACATGCTTCCTGACACCTCCTCCCTTCTCAAAATGCTAACATCTCCTTCTGCTCATCATTCTTTGATGACTTTGCTGTTTCCTTCAGAGACAATTAAAGCAATAACAAGAGAACTTCCACAAACTCCCATCTCCACAACCACTTACCTTTCAGCAGGTGTGTCTATATGCTGTGTCTTCCTTCTTGTCACCATAGGGGAACCAGCCACATTTCTCCCCAAAGGCAACACTTTCCCTTACGTACAAAAGCCCAACCTCTCTGCTCAAAAACACTGCTCCTGCAGTTAATTCCCTGCTTTCTTTCCCCTACTTCATCAATTCTGGCTCCTCTACTAGATTGTTCCCAGCTGTGTAGAACACGTTGCACTCTCTGCCACCTTTAAACAATCTTCCTTGATTCCATTGCTCCCTCCAGCTAAAGCTTCCTTTATCTGCTCTGCTTTTACAAACCTCCTCTAAGAATGATCTATGCTAATGGTCTCCACATTCTCCCCGAACTTATTCAACAAGTTTTTTCAGGTGTTCCTCCAGACTCCACTGAAACTACTTCCAGCAATGTCACCAACGAATTCCTTGTTGCCAATTCTAATAATCACCTAACTGGTCTCTTTTTTCTCATTTCCTCCCATTGAGTATTCTAAATACAGCAACCAGACATCAGTTAAATCATGTCGTGCCTCTGCTCAAAACTCTTTCCTGGCTCCTCATTGTATGAAGTCCTGATAATTTTAGATAATATTTTGCATGATGTGGCCCTCATTACCTCTCAGCTCTCAACTCATCTTCCTCTTCCTCTTGCTCACTCTACCTCACTCAGTCATGTCATCTTCTTGCTACTCCTTGAATAAGTTAGGCGGACATCCACCTCAGGGCCTTTTCATGGGCTATTTTCTCTCTGACATGCTCTTCCCCCAGTTAACATGCATGGCACACTTCCTCAAATCCTCCATGTATCTGCTCATATGTGACTCCATCATTGAGGTTAACTCCGTCTACTCTATTTACAAATTTACTTTATTCCTGCTCTTGGCAATCCCTTCTTCCAATTAGCTTTGTCACTTATTTGTTACTTATTTATTATGTTTCTTGTCTGTCTTCTCCTCCAGTATGAAAGCTCTTTGAAAGATGTGATTTTGTGTACCAGCTTTGAGGACTACTCTTGGCATAGTACACACTCAGTAAATCACGTCTTGAATGAAGGAACTAGTGATAAAATGACCAGTAGTACTTTTTGAAGCTTGGTTTCAAAAGACTTACAAAAATGCATATTTTTTGGCTTCACATATGACTACTTAATTATAGTCTCTGGAATTGGGCCCTGAGAATCTAATTTATTCTTATGCACAAGGATTCCTTGTAGTAGCAATCCGAGCGACAGAATACTGAAAGGCTATTTTGTAGTAAAACAATAATAGATAAGACGCTCAAATAACTAGGCCAATGGTTTTGAAACTAGGGCTATTTTACTCCCCAGGTGACATTTGGCAATGTCTGGAGACATTTTTGATTGTTCACACTTGGGGAGAGTGGGGGTGGAAAGGGTGTGCTGCCGGCATCTGGTGGGTAGGATGCTGCCAAACAACCTACAATGCATGGCACATCTCCCAAGAATAAAGATTTGTCTGGCCCTAAATGCCAATAGTGGTGAAGTTGAGAACTTTGGACTAGGCTCATTTTCTGTCCTGGACAGCTTCTGATCCCTAGCTCCAAACAAGAAGCTTGTCAAAGATTTACAGAGGGAGATCAAAAGGTAATAAGGCAAAGAGAACATTGTTTTAGGAGTTATGATGCGACTTCCAGCCTCAGCCCTGCTTTTAATTATTATCTGGATTATATCACTTATTTATTCTATTTAATTTTATGACCTTAATTGTTATATCACTTATTCATTCTATTTATGAACTTAATTTTGTCCCCTAAGGTGCATAAGTTGAAGCCATAACCTGTAATAGGACTGTATTTGAAGATGGGGCCTTGAAGGAGGTAATTAAAGTTAAATGAGGTCATAAGGGTGGGGTCCTAGCTGATAGGACTGTTTTCCTTATAAGAAAGAGGAAGAGACCTCAAGAGTGTGTGCACACAGGAAAGAGGCCATATGAGGACACAATGAGAAGGGAGCCATCTGCAAACCAGGAACAGAGACCTCCCTAGAAACCAAGCCCCCTGTCACCTTGATCTTCTTGCCTCAAACTGTGGGAAAGTAAATTTCCGTCGCTTAAGCCACCAGTCTGTAGTATTTTGTTATGGCAGCTTAAGCAGACCAACACATATTGCAAATGGGCTTTGCTGTTCATGCTGCCCTTTATTTTTATGACAGCATCTTGCTTTTCCTTTGGAGAAGACCTTATCTCTTGCATCGCGCACTGTAGTTCAGGTAGGTTGATCTCACTTTCCGGCTCTAATGACAGACCTATGAGCTAGGTTTGGCCAATCAGAGTGCCTTGGTCTTTTCACCCCAGTGACTGAAACTAAGCCTGTAGAAATTATGGGATTTTATTGGATTTACTGGAGAAGAAGATCTTCCTTTCTCCTGGCTTAATGTTTGGAAAATGTGATCCTGTAGCTGCCAGGCATCTTTACTGGCTACAGGAAGCTGCCTGAGAGTGAAGCCAACACTAAGGAAAACAGAACTAAGTGGTGGAGAGAAACTCTGTCCCAGTGATGTTCAAATCTTTAGGTCTAACTTTGCATGGGGGCAGATGGGAGGGAGGAGCTGGAATTTTCATTCATAAAAGTCAACAAATTCTTATTTCCTTAAGTCTGTTTGAGTGGATTGTAAAACTTCCAACAAACTATGTCCTGTTTCAGATTTCCTTGAATATAACACAAGGAGCTGGATTTGCCTTATAGCTAAGAATTTGTAGTATGCACAAAATGGTCTCAAAGAGCCAATTTTTTACTTCTGATAATAACCAATAATGATGAAAACATGCACAAGTTAAACCTTTGCCCCTAAAGAAATGTTGCCTGTGAATCGAGTTTGAGGAATACAGTGTGGATCAGAATCCATTCTAGAGTTCCTCCCTTTGGTAAAAGTTAAATTAGAAACAGCAGGGACCTCATCACATTTGGGAGAAACTGAAGTTCTGGTGGTGAGGCAGGCCAACTCTGGCCTAGGGGAAGAAGAGAAGGAGAGGAAGAAGTACAACTGTAAATTAGTTTTTAATGTGTGCAGGCCACTTGGCTTTGCCGGTAAGGAATCATGTATTACATAGATTCCATGACGCACCCAATGTGGAAATGGGGTGTATCATTCCTAGGAGGAGATAGTCATAATTCAGAGCTATTAACAAAAATAATAGGGCTGAGGCCCCGAGGAGCTTTTCTTAGAATGCAGGCACACATTCCACCTAACCCAATTTATGCAATGTCATGAGTCAGAACAGATCCCCATCAAGTCTGTCATGCTTGTCATAACATAGCATTTGAATAGAAGACATCCCTTCCCAAGAGAAATTCCTGCTAAGGAACTGTGTTATTTAATGGGGTTTAAAGATATCCTTTTAAGTTTCAGGGCCTGTTTGTATGAAATTTACATGAGAACAAGCAACTGTTGGCTGAGCTCCATTTAAAGAGAAACAAGCTTTCTCCAGGCAAGGATTCAGAGGGGTAGGCTCTGTGGCTATAATTAGCTAATGATAGCAATGGAGCATAGAAGAGAAAGAAGGTAGGGGGTGGGCTTTGGTTTGAATTTGGAATCACAAATACGCTTTTCTTTTAAGCTGCCATCTGTGAATCTGAGTTACCTCCAAAATAACCCTGTGGCTATTAATGACAATGTTTCTCATCCATAGTGTCACTGCTCTGGCTGAGCTAATTGGACCAGAGGTGGACCCCTGGCTCAACACTGGCCATCACATTCTCTTGGGATTTGAAAATGGGGCACAGAGACATTCTAGTTGGTTTATGGTTGCCATTGGTTGTTTTTTCTTGAACTTGGGACATGTACATTTCAAGAGACATAGGCTGATAGGACAGGACTGTCCCGGTCCTACATTTTTATTTAGCTTGGAGGAAGGAAGAGATAGCTTTGAATCCTTTGGAGGAAGCCTTGGGAAAAACAGCAAGTGATTTAGAAAAAAAGGATCCGGTGAAGTCTATTGTTTCTAGACACATGGCAGACTCCTTAACAGGTTATTAATTTCAAAACTAGGTGGTGTTAAGAAAGAATATAGCTCATTATCTAATCCACTTTATGTTTTTATTTCAAAAGTAGCATTCCAAACTCTCTGAGCTCCTACAGGTTTAACAGTGACAGAGTAATAATGTTGCTGGAATTATTTAAGCAGAAAATTATTAAGGCATTGAGAATATTGGAATAAAAACGAAACCAAAGTGCTTTTCCCATTATCTCAACAATCAACACAGAAGACTTCTGTGACCAGATGTGGGGGCTTTTTTTTTCCCTACACACCAAGCAAGCAAGGAAGCAATTTTGCAGGAGACACTAGCTGGGTGTTCTCTAATTCAATTCAATTCTGACACTATCTCCAGGTAGACAGTGTCAGAATATCACAAGTTGAGGACTTAGTCCCCAAGACTGCCCTGCACTTCTGATGCCAATCACAAGCTCCAGGTTATTTAACCTGTGCTTCTGACCAACTGCCTATAAATCAAGGTTCTTTCCTCGGGCTTAATTTCCTAGAGCAGCTCACAGAATTCCGGGAAACAGTTAAACTTACTGGTTTATTATAAAGGGTATTGCAAAGGATACAGATGAGGAGTGCATATGAGGGAGGAGGTGCTGAGCTTTCAGGTCCCCCCTGAGCTTACCACCCTCAAGCAGCCTCCATGTGTTAAGCCATCCAGAAGCTCTCTGAACCTAGTCCTTTTGGGCTTTCAAGGAGACTTCATTACATAGGCATGATTGATTAAACCATTGCCCGTTAGTGATCAACTTAACCTTTGGGCCCCGTTCCCTTCCCCCTAATCTTGCCTTGGTCTTTTGGTGACCAGCTCCCATCCTAAAGCTACCTAGGGGACTGCAACCCATCAGTCAAAATATTAGCATACAAAAAAAACACATCAGTTTGAAGACTCCAAAAATTGTACGAGTTGTATGCCAGGAAATGGGGACAAAGACTAAATATGTTTTACAATATTACAGGCATCTTGGTCTTACCCATCTTTAAATTATTTCCTTCTTCATTGCAGACATTTTCAAATAATGGTTACACACTCATGGAATATTTTTTAATTGAAATGTAGAGAAATTAACAAAAGATATACCCAAGTAAGACATACTGCCAAAATGGCTCTGTGAGAAGATCTCCTCACAGAAAAGTAGATATACAAAAAGGCAAGATTGGTGTGTCAATCATGTATCCAAATATATTACTAATTCCTAAATATCTGCACTGATCTCGATGCCATGGATTAGGTTAGTATCCAAGTGATTCATTATTCCTATGAATATGTTTTCCAAAGTTTATTTTGCAGTTAACTAGCAAAAGAAAGTCACAGTTTTCCACATCAGGAAAAAATTTGTGAATAAAATGAAACCTCTCATTAGTGACATTCCTTTCTAAATGCTGTGTTGCCACAAATCATGACAACAGATCATTCGGACCCTACACTTATACTTCAACCTCCCTTGCTTTCTTTTCCTGCCTACTGTTTCTCTTTTACTTCTCTGATTAGAAAAAACTGGTCCAGTGCTATTTTAGTAAAAGTGCTGGCTGAGCCTTTTGGAAGAGAAAATGGCTAGGGTAAAAGGGAGAGAGTGAGTTAGCTCTGAATGTTTCATGTTTGGGGGACTTCAAGCAGCAAGTTAACAGCTGGAACTTTTGCAGCTGGATAAAATTAGATTCTCCCTGAATTCCTCACTCAGTATCACAAGAAATGGGGAAGGATTATCCCTGTCTATTATGAAGGTATGGCTTAGTTCTAATAGTTTCAGGAGGACTGAGGCATTGTTTCTTGTTTGGCTGACAGTGAAACAACTTTATAGTTAGCTCCAAGACAATGGCTGTGATCAGACTCCTAGGTGTATGCAAATGACGGTGGCAGCGTGGCCTTCTGTACACCTACCAAGCAAATTAGTCCTGGGATGGTTCAGATGGCATTTGACAGCAGCTACAGAATCTCTGGCTGGGAAATCTAATTCATACACACAGGTAATTTCACCCCAAGGCAATTTTCAGAAAGACTTAAGGGAGGGTATGTTTATTAGGAGTCTGTCTGTAGGGAGTAAGAGACACCTAATTATTCTGGCTTAAACATAAAGGGATTTATGACTCACATCCCTAAGAAGTCAAGGGACCTACTAGCTTCAGGAATAGCTGAATCCAGGGGAATTGTTGTACTGTCTCTCTCCATCTCTTACCTCTGCTTTCTTCTGCAGTGACTTTTAGTTTCATACAGGCCTTCTCATCCTGGTGGTCTCTGAGAGCTCTGGGATTATACTACATGTGCAACCACAAATCCCAGCAGAAAGTGAGCTTCTCCCTCCCCAGTAGTTCTAACTATTGCTGAGATTTCTGAGATGGATTCACTTCGGTCTGGGGCGGGTATTGGTTAAGAAATTCATTGGCCAGACCCAAGGAAGTATTCTCTCCTGGAGTCAGGTGTGTATGTATGTATGAGATGGGGTATCAATGGCCCCCACTGCATAGAAAAGAGGTGATTTCTCAAAGGAGAACCAAGATGCTCTTACTAGAAGAATGAGGGCTGGAAGGGGGGTTTACAAAACCAGTGTTTGTAGATATTTACCACAAGGAGACACCTGCAAGGACTAGTCTTCATACTTGAGTACGTAAGGGCTGGTGATTTATCTAGATGGGGCATAAATGTTCACATGTCTTCATTTACGCTCACGGACTAGTTAAACCTGGAACGTTCAGATTTGACTTATTTTAAACTGACCAGGGTGAGGTTAGATGGGAGGGGACTTGGGAATAGGAGGGGAACTGACTTCCCTTTACACCTAGTACTTTCATATATGTCATATATGTATGATTGATTCTTTTCTTATATTATTTCAAGGCAGGTATTATTATTGCCATTTTAATATGGAAACAAACAAAAAATAAAACAACAAAGAAACCTGTCTATGGTCACATAGCTAGTAAGAATCTAGCTCCTGTCTTCAACCTATCACATTATTTTCATGTTTATATAACTCAAAAAACTGATTTTATATAGAGGTCTTGTGTTTGTGGTGCTGATGAGGGAGGTCACTCCCTGATGCTCAAATGTGTTAGTATCTTTCTACCTTTTGATATAATTTCTGTGGTTTGGTTGCTCATCTGTTAGTTTGTGTTGCTATAAGAGCATACCATAGACAGGGTGGCTTTAAGCCACACACATTTATGTCTCACAGTTCTGGAGACTGGGAAGTCCAAGGTCAAGGTACCAGCATGGTTGGGGTCTGGGTGAGGGCTCTCTTCCTGGTTTGCAGATAGCCACCTTCTTACTATGTCTTTGAATGGCAGAGAGTGAGTGCGCTCTGTCTGGTCTGTTCCTTCTCTTACAAGAACACTAATCCCATCATGGAGGACCTGCCCTCATGATCTCATTTAAATTTAATTACCTCCCAAAGGTCCCACCTTCAAATAACACACTGGGGGTTAGGGTAGCAAGATATGAATTTTGGGGCATACAAACATTCAGTCCATAACATCATCCTAGCCTTCCATCCTAGATAATCTTAACTCATGGTCATTTATTCTCTTATCCTTTCCCCAGTTCTGCCTGCCTTCCTGCCTGCAATGTCTCTCTTTGCCAAACCTATTCATGCCAAAATAAGAGTTTGTTTTGGAAAGTGAGCTGGAATCTCTCTCTCTTTCTCATTCTTTTGAAAGTAGGCATCCTTTAGCTGGCACATTAACTCAGAGAAGGAAAAACTTGGCTTATAGAGGCTGCTTTTGCGCCTATGCCCAATAACACCCATATCTTGGAACCAGGGAAGGCACAGAACTCATCCTTCCCTTCTACCCATGCTTCACTGCATTTCATTCTAAAACATCTTGCAATTTTTGATGCAGTAATAATTATGAATAGGATCCCCAGTTAAATTATCCAAATAAGGAAGGGGGGCAGGAAGCTATCCCACTCAATTTGATATAATGTTTTATTTGGTATCTACTCAGAGTAACAGGCATGAGGTGCTAGCTGGCTGGGCTGAGCAGATTAATAACTTGCCTTGGGTTATCAGCTGAGTTTCATCCAGAAATAAATCCTGTCTGATCTCTTGGTATAAGCCATGAGATTATTCCATCTAGTCTTGAGGCAAGGATTTTTTGCCTCATAATTGAGCAGCAAAATGACACTGACTAAAGCATATTTTGTGTGTCTCAGGGTTTGGCTAATTTATGAATTAGGATCGTGGGAGAAAGATGGCTTGCTCACTGTCATCAGAAATTTTATAATCAAGGAGGATATGATCATACTGGAGCAATAGTTCTCATCCTGGGAGCAGTTTTGCTGCCCTTCCTTCAAATAGGGCACATTTGGCAATATCTGGAGACAATTTTGGTTATCACAGCTGTTGGGGGTGGGGGAGGTGCTCCTGGCATCTAGTGGGCAGAGGCCAGAAGTGCTGCTGAATATCCTACAATGCACAGAACAGCCCCACGATAAAGAATGATCTGACCCAAAATGTTAATAGTGCTGAGGCTGAAAGACCTTAAAGTAAATCACAAGTAGCCAAAGGTAATACTCAGACTTCTAAGCAGGTAGAATATTTTCTTAGACTCATATAAGAAATATTTCTCTCTTTGGCGGAAGCTGCTGCTCAGGAACTTAGTCCTTGTGTTAGCTTCCTATTGCTACTATGACAAATGACTGCAAACTAGATGGCTTAAACAATACAAATTTATTATCTTACATTTCCAGAGGTGAGAAGTGTCACTACATCCCTTCTCTGAACTCTAGGGGAACATCTGTTACCCACCATTCTCAGCTTCTAGAAAGCTGAGGAATCTAGTTGCCTGCATTTCTTGGCTTGTAGATCTCTTCCATTTTTTCAGAGGAGCCATTTCATCACTCACCTCTGTTTCCATCACATCTCCTTCTCCGACTCTCTAGAACAGGAGTCCCCAATCCCCAGGCCATGGACTGGTACTGGTTCATGGTTTGTTAGGAACCAGGCCACATAGCAGGAGATGAGGGGTGGGTGAGGGAGTGAAGCATCATTTCTATTTACAGTCACTCCCCGTTGCTTGCATTGCCACCTGAACTCTGCCTCCTGTCATATCAGTGGTGGCATTAGATTCTCAGAGGAGCGTGAACCCTATTGTGAACTGTGTATGTGATGGATCTAGGTTTTGTGCTCCTTATGAGAATCTAATGCCTGATGATTTGTCGCTGTCTCCCGTCACCCCTAGATGGGACCCTGTAGTTGCAGGAAAACAAGCTCAGGGCTCCCATTCATTCTATATTATGGTGAGTTCTATAACTATTTCATTATATATTATAGTTTAATAACAATAGAAATAAAGTACACAATACAGGTAATGTGTTTGAATCATCCCCAAACCATCCTCCTACCCAGGCCCATGGAAAAATTGCCTTCCATGAAACTGGTCCCTGGTGCCAAAAAGGTTGAGGACTGCTGCTCTAGAACATGACTACCTCTCTCTTACAAGGATCCTTGTGATGACATTGGGCCCACTCAAATAATTCAGGATGTGCTTAACAGAATCACACTTGCAAAATCTCCTTTGCCATCTAAGGATAACATATTTACAGGTTTCAGGGGTTAGAACATGAACATCTTTGGGGAACCATTATTTTCCCTACCAGAGTGCCCTTTCCCTGCTAGAAGAATTTATAGCCTATCCCTGTTTTCTGAGATACTTTCTCCCCAAACTCCTTTATATTACTAGAACTCTGTGACCAAAGAAAAATAAAAATCAGCTCTGGAAAATCAAAATAAAATAACATCCCCAATCTCAAAGAAAGATAGTTCTCTTAAAAAAGCTCCTGGCCACTTGGTCAAGTTTCTAAGCTAATTCCATGTAAAGGTGAATACAATAATTATAATAATCTCAAGATTCCAAGAAGACCGGAGAGTTGAGCTATTTTGGTGGGCTTTCATTATTTTTTCTTTCTGTATATGGATTAGAACTCAATGGGGTCTTGCTTTAAGAATATGAATCTGTAATCTGTATTCCCTCAATCCTGCTCAGTCAAAATTTCTAGGAATACAGCTACCATTGTGGTCTAGATCCTTGTCAACATCCAGCTTTGTTCTTCATAGTCCCCCAAAATGCTGATGCTGAACTTGAAGGTCACTATAACAGATTCTCTGTGAGAGATGTGTTTATTGCATTATTTGAGCACCTACATGGTTACCATTGTGTTTTGGAGGGTAAAGTGGATACCAGAAACTACCAGACACTCTACCAGGGTTCAATGAACTTAAAATGCATTTGGCTCCACCTAAGTGATTTGGGAACTAGAAGAAAAAAATTCAAGCCAATTGAGTGAACATCTACGGAGCATGTACTTTGTACCAGGTTGGCATAAAACACTACCATATAAAGATAAATATGCAAACACTTCGACTTAGTACCTAGGAGGGATTTGCCATACTCTACCTTTTTATACGTATTTCCATAATAGCAAGACTTCAATTTGTTCCCACCTCTAAAAAACTTACATCCCTACCTATAGGTGACATTGTAGAAAGAAAATAAAAGTTATTTCTTCATAACTGAGCTGTATTTTTTCACTTGTGTTTTTAGAGTGTCATCATGACATAATGAAAAGCACATTGGCTTTCCAGTACACAGACCTCAGTATGAACCCCAGTTTAGCCCCCTTCCCAAGAAATAGGAACCCTGGGCAAATTGCTTGCTATCTCCTTGGTTCAGTTTCCTCATTTGTAAAATGAGATTAATAAGAGTCCAACTAAATCACTTTACCAAGAACCAGAAAAAAACGTAAGGGCTTTATACAGGTGCAGCGGATGGGCGGTACGTGATCTGAGTTCAGACCGGAGCAGTCCAGGTCAGTTTCTATCTGTTCTACATTTCTCCCAGTACGAAAGGACAAGAGAAATGGGGCCCACTTCACAAAGTGCCCCTCCCCCATAAATGATATTATCTCAATCTAACACTGTACCCACATCCACCCGATAGCTTATTTAGCTGACCTTACTTTAGGATAGGGTGCGACAGGTGGCACGGAGAATTTTGGATTCTCAGGGGTAGAGGATTAATGTAAGGTTTGGCTTGGTATGTACCATGGACGCTCAAGCAATTATAGTACTATGTAATATTCATGGTGGCTAGCAGTAATGCATGATATACATAAAATCGTCATGGGGGGGATTGGCTGATGAGTGGCAGTCATGATCATCACCCTCCTCCAGTGACCTGGTTACCAAACATGCTGCTCCGAGTTGGAAGTACCGTTTCAGATGGGATGCATGCTTATCATTTATAGCTCCTTCGCCTCCGTCATGGGCTTGGAAAGAGCTTAATATGAGGACTAATTAAAGTTGATAACACTGTTCAGTTCGTATTTGGAATAATTTTTTCAATGCCTTTAAATGTAACTCACTTGTCATATAATTGGATGTTATAAAAGCCTCCATTTTTTAAAAAAATTACCCAGTTGAGTATCTTCTGCAAGATGCTGACTCTATAGTTTTTAAAACCTATTACTATTACAGCTTTTCACTTTGGAAAGAATCCCTCATTTTCATAGAGCACATAGGGCTGGCCAGACAGCCAATTGTGAGCTTTTAAAACTCTCCATACAGGCTGGGCGTGGTGGCTCACACCTGTAATCCCTGCACTTTGGGAGACTGAGGCAGGCGGATCACGAGGTCAGGAAATCGAGACCATCCTGGCTAACACAGTGAAACCCTGTGTCTACTAAAAATACAAAAATTAGCTGGGTGTGGTGGTGGGTGCCTGTAGTCCCAGCTACTCGGGAGGCTGAGGCAGGAGAATGGTGTGAACCCGGGAGGCGGAGCTTGCAGTGAGCTGAGATCACGCTACTGCACTCCAGCCTGGGTGACAGAGCAGGATTCCCTCTCTGAAAAGAATAAAAAACAAAAAACAACAACAACAAAAAAAACAAAACTCTCCATTCATATAGCTCCCATTTGGAATCATTTTTCTGAGAGGAAGAAATGATATCAATGTTTTTGATCTATCCTATGATTCTAGAAAATTTGAACACTGACATCATTCTTTTATGTGATTTTGAGTTGGTGGGCAATTGAGAGGTTGGGACATGGTATCGGAGATGACTGAGTATGAATCCCAGCTCTGTCACTTACTTGCTTTCTCAGGAGACTTAACTTGTTGTGCCTCAGTTTATTCATCTGCAAAATGGGGATTATAATAGAACCTCCCTAATAAAGATGTTGTGAGATTTGACAGAATACTTAGTATACTGCCTGTTGCATATATTATTATTGCCATCATTAATATTAGCAATATTATTTATTCTCATACTACTGTACTTCACTGATTTATGGTTGGAATAAATTTAGCTGTTATATGTAAAGTGCTTAGCATAAAGTCTGGCACAAAGTAAGTTCTTAGTAAATGGCAAATATTATTCATTATGATTCATATTTAAGGGTTTTATAAACATTAACTCATTTAATAATTATAATAATTCTATGTGTTGATTCCATTACTTTATTTTATAAATGGATAAACTAAAGCACTGAAGGACCAGAAAAAAAAATATAAGGGCTTTTATACAGGCGCAGTGGGTGGATGGGTGACTGATGAGTGGGTGGGTGATGAGTGGGTGGCTGATGAGTGATGATCATAATCATCACCTCTCCCAGTGCCCAGGTTACCAGATGTGCTGCTCCCAAGCATAAGTATTAATTTTCAGACAGGTTGCACATTTATCCTTTACGGCCCTTTCACCTCCCTCATGGGCTGGGAAAGAGCTTAAGGGCTAAATATCTTGCACAAATCACACAGGTATTAAGTGGCAAAGCTGGGGTTTGAACCCAAGAGCCATTTTATATCATTTGGCTATAAGATTCTGTTCCTGGACCAAACTGAGGGTTGGGCTGCTATTTCTTGTGGCCCAGTAATGAGATGCTGATGAACGGAGGAGGAAGAGAGTTTTTATTTCTGTAACCGGTTACAGGGAGAAGGCCTGGAAATTATCACCAGACCAACTCAAAATTATGAAGTTGTCCAGAGCTTATATACCTTCTAAGCTATACATCTACATGTAAGTGTGCATTTATCTAAAGACGTAAGTGATTAACTTCTTTTAATCTATAACTAAGGTCTGAGTCCTGAAGACCTTTTCCTCTGGAGCCTCAGTAAGTTTGCTTACTCTAAATAGGTCCAGGTGCTGGGGTAATTATCCTTATCTTGTCTCCTGCTAAATCATAGAGGTTTGGGGAGTTCCTTCAGACCCCCAATAAACTTGTTTGTGGAGGCCTGGGGAGTTTCTTCAGACCCACAATAAAACTTGTTTACTCCTAAATGGGTCCTGTTAAGAATTCCTTCGTTATTTTGTCGTGCTTTAAGGCCCAGGAAAGGCCTAGGCAAAACTCTTGGTGGGCTTTTGTTACATTCCAGCCTTTGTATAAGGGCACTGGCTTTCAATATTTAACTTAACCACTCAGTCAGTACTGAAACAGTTGTTATAGAGCCCTGCATGAGTGAGACCTGGCCTGCCACAATTCTACTCCATTTAACTTCTATCACAAAAGTGCCACTGGTGTGTCACTCAAGTCATGGCCATGCTGAAAGACCAGTGACATTATCTAGAGCAAGGCCAGATAATTGAGACTGCAAAAATATTGCCAGACTTTGTATGGTGGTTCTCCTTCCAAGGTAGCATACCACCCACCTGGATGCCTGAGAAAAGGTAGGAAGTCAAATTTTTTTATTAAATGGCTAAGTGGGAACAGTCAAAAATTAAGCATGGTTGGAAATGAGTGAGACAGCCACTGATTCTAGAAGAGCTGTTCTTTATTAAGAATTACTAAACCTTTTCATTGTTCTGATGGTGATTAAAACAATTTAGCAACAGCAGTATCACCCCCTTAAGAAGAAAGGAGGCCTTAACGGGGAGGTTGTGGGTGAGAAACACAGCTTCTCATAGGAAGCTGAAGTGTGAGATTACCTTATAATGCTGACCCTATAAGATGCTCTAGTTCAGGTGTGAGGCGAAGGTAATTCAGAGCGTCCTTGGAAATAAGCAGGCTGGATTCAGTGCATAACTGAGATACTGCTTCTCCTAAATAACATGCTCAATGCAGTCTGCTTTGCGTAGACTGCATTTTACAGGCAGTAGGGCAGAGACAATGATGTGATGAATTTGACAATATTCTTACTATACAATTTATTGAGCATTTACTAAGCCCTTCATTCTTTCCATACACATTTTCACTGGAATGGTGTGAATTCTTACAGCAGCCACCTAAAGTAAGTAGTGCTGTTTCACCATTTTACAAATGAGGAAACTGAGGCACACAAGCTTGAAATGACATGCCCTGTGTCTTACAGCTAGAGTGTAGCAGAGTCAGGGTTTAAACCCAGGTTTGCCCACCTCTTTCACCTGCTGATCTAATCACTCAGCCTCATGGGCTGCCAAGAATGGGAGAAAGAACCAGACCAGAAGTATTTTAGCCAGTCAGGAGACCTACAGGAAGGCACTTGGTTTTCTCATCTCCACAATGAGGAGTTTGTATACCAAATATCCTTGCTCAGTTTGTGTCCTTCATAAAGATGTCCTAAGGAACAGATCTCCTCATCAGATAAGCCAGTGTGATGTAGGGAAGGATTATAATTAAGATAACTCATCTAATTTTCTATCAAGTGTTAGAACAAAAAGATTGAAGCTGGTAAGAGAAACACACAAACCAAGTTCAGACTGGTTTTACTAAGAAAGAAATGGATACATGGTACTAAAAACTCTAGAATAGTGATACTTAAAACAGCTGATTTTCTGTCAACTTACTGTATAGTTAACAACAGCGGTTCTCAAACTTTAGTGTAACCATAATCACCCGGAGGGCTTGTTACAATGCAGATTGCTGAGTCCTGTTGTGCCAACCCCCTATTAACCTCAGTAGGGAAGCACGAGGTTCAAGAGGCTAAAGAAGAGACTCAGAGCCAGCAAATGAGACCTTATTAGGGGTTTCCATACCAGGAAGAGAGTCCAGTGACAGTGGGCTGGACAGGAGAACTGCCTTAATTACAAAAATAGTCCAGCGGTGGCAGGCTGGATCACATGACCTCACAGCCCAGTGGCGAAGGGCTCAGCAGGAAAATCACAACCACCTACAAATATCATGCAGTTTATACAGGATTTTCACTTAACTCCCTCCCACTAACAACCTCCACCTGGTTACCTTCATTTACCCTCCCCCCCCACCCCCCCGCCCCCCCCAAACTCAGAGCCTCTATCCCCTGTATGGTCCATGTTCCATGGGACAGGCTGGAGGCTCAGATCTTCCTCATAGACAAGGAACAAATCTCCAGGTTGGCCACTGGTGGATTCCCTAGCTTGGAACACACATTTAGGTGCATCTGACATACAGTGTCATTCTAAGGGTATGCTTAAGTTATTACTGTCAAGGGCGTTTACCCTACAGACCCCATGCACAGAGTTCTGTTTCAGGAAGTCTAGAGTGGGGACCAAAAAATTTGCATTTCCGATGAGTTCTCAGGTAAAGCTGACTCTGCTGGTCCTCACATGGGAAACCACTGGCCCAGAGAATAGGATATGTCAGGTGAGGCTTGCTTCAAAGGTATCTATGTTACCTATGTCCAAATTGCCCTCCATCTCTTTGTTCTGGCATCTGTAGAGTTTTCTTCAGCTTTGGGCTCTGCATTTGCCTTGTCCTCTAGAATGGCTGCAGTATTTCACTAGCAGCACTATATTCCATTTCCCCACACCACATGTTTTAGGGGTTGAGAAAGAAAGGGTCCCTCTTTTCCTGGGAACACAGCTTTTCCGCTAGGCTGTTTACAGTATCTTATTGGTTCTGATTGCTCAGGTGCTCTTCTGTGACCCAAGGCCTGGGGAGGAATGGCTTAAGCCAATCAGAAACTCTGGAAATAAAGATGTGAGGTTAAAATACATGGCTGAGAAGGGCTGAGGGATGAATTCCGCAAAGAGAAATCAGAAACCTGATTTTGGGTGGGATTAAATAGATACTGGAGAGAGAAACAACATATTCTCCCAATTTTATAACATGATGAGATGCCTTGTTACAGCCAGTGCTGTGGCCAGAGCTGGCTTTTGCCTGAACACAGCAAATTCGGGATATAATTCGGGATAGGAATTATTCCAGGAGACATGTCTGACTCCTTTCAGAATCCTAGCTGTGCTCTAGTGGGGTTCTGCTCCATTCTTCTTACTTATTAAGTGAATATCATATGCTCAAGATAAATTTTCTCTCTTCCTGCTTACATGGCTACAGAGCACTATGAAAAATAGAGACTTTAAAAAAAACCTGGCAGTGCAACCAATCTTTATGCAAAAAAAAATCTCAGAGTCTTAAAGCAGTAGCCATAGCCCTAATGACCACTGGGTATAAAGGGAACTCATTGCTGAATTCCAGGTAATTGTTTAGGCAGCAGGCATCCTTACCATGCAGCACAGGAGTGTCCACAAATCTCCAATTCACTGTCACAGCAAGGAGAAAAAATGCTTCCCTGCAGGCAGGGCCTTGGGTAAAAGGAAGGATTGCAGTTTGTTTTCTGTATACATTGTACCTGAGGTCAGTCCTTTGGGGAGGAGGCCCTGGTGGGAACAGCTCAAGACAGCAAGGGCTGATTGTTGCTCCATTTAGAGGGCACCTGAGTTAAACAGGTGGAAGGCCTTTACTGTAAAAGGCCTCAGGGTCAGGAAACAAATAGCTGAGACATATGACTGTGTGTGGGTGAAATGGGAGCAAATAAATGAAGGAGGTGATGTGAGAGTGGATATATATATATATATATCCACACACACACACACACACACACACACACACATACTGTGGTGCTGAGTGCTTGAAGATTTGCCAGCCAGGCCTGGTGCCCTCTAACAGAGGGTCAAAGCACTTCTGCCACCTAACTTGCCCAGTCTCCCAGTCTCTCGGGCTGACCCTGCCTGGTGCTGGGAATTTTTGTTACATACCTGATCTCCCAGCACCTAACATGCTTCTGGATACAAGCAAGCACTCAAAATAAAAAAGTACTTGGAATGTTTGGCCATTTGGGCTGGACTTGTGTTTCTGGTTAATATTCGTGTGGGCTTGTCATACATTTTGATATGTAAAGTGCTCATCAGTCTGGCTCAGTAATTCTTGACAAAGATGAGTTTTAACATGTCTCTCTCCTGCTTTTGTCCTCCGATGGTTTCTAATGAAATCTAGAGTCCTTGCCATAAGGACCTATGCAACCTGTCCCCAGCTTCCCCATGTTCTCAGATCTCATCTGCTATATCTCCCCCTTACTAATCACTTCATGTGGGACCTCCAAGCTGAACTCTTTGCTCTTGCCTTGCACTTACTCTTCCCTCTGGCTGAAAACCTTGCTCCTGATTATCCTCATGGCTCTCTCCTGACTTCCTTCAGGTCTCTGCTCAAGTGTCAATTTATCAAAAGGACCTTCTCTATTGTCTTAGTCCATTTAGTGTTGCTGTAAAGGAATACCTAAGGCTGGGTAATTTACAAAGAAAAGAGGTTTATTTGAGTCATGGTTCTGCAGGCTGTACAAGAAGCATGGCACTAGCATCAGCTCCTGGTGGGAGTTTCAGAGAAAGGGGAGCCAGCATGTGCAGAGATCACAGGGTGAGAGAGGAGGTAAGAGAGCAAGCAGGGAGGCTCCAGGCTCTTTTTAACCCTTTTCCTGTTTAGAAAAATAAAATGTGCAGCTCACTGCCAGCACTCATTTAATTTTACATAAACACACTCTTTGTGGCTGAAGTAAATCTGACTGATTTTCAATGTGAAAATAAAATATAGAAACTGTTCTTGTAGTTATGTATAATAACTAATATCACAATCATCTGAATGATCAGAATTGTCTATTTCAGAAACATTGGATTCATGCAATGAATCTTCAGCCAACAACTGTTCAAGAATGATGTTAACATCATTGGCATGCTATGTTTTCTAGGATTTGACATTTTCAGCCATTGAGAATTACTGTATTTTGTAAATGGAAATACCACTACTAAAAACAGAATGCTATAAATAGAATGATGTGTTTTGTTTCCAAAGTCTATTTACTAAAGTGATGTGAACATAATAACAAATGTGAAATATTTTGTGGCAAAGTTATTTTGGGGTAAATGCGGCAGCCGCAAGCACCACCTGCAAGTATTCTCGGGGCAAACGGGAAAAACATTAACAACCAGCTGTTGCAGGAACTAACAGAGTGAGAACTCACTCATCCCCTCCCGACCCTGCCAAGGAGGATATTCATCTCTTCATGAGGGCTTCACCCCATGACCAAAATACCTCCCATTAAGCCCCTCTTCCTATATTGGGGATCAAATTTCAACATGAGGTTTGGAGAGTCAAATATCCAAACCATTGCACCTATCTTATTTCAAATGTTACTGCCAACCTCAACACTCTCTTTTTCCTAAACTTGCCTAATTTTCCTCATTGCTCTTATCACCATGAATGTATTGTATACTGGTGGTCACCACATTGGACACTGGAGACTCAATTTTGTGTTAAAATAACGAACAGGTAAATAGTAAATAGTGTGCAGGAAAATGAACAGATAAGCAATGAACATGTAAGACATGGCCACGAGATGCCCATGGGTCAAGCCAAAGAGTATTCAAGGCTACTGATTATTTCTCCGGAGTCCCCTTCTTTCAGGGGAAAAGTTAAGGTGATCTGTATGGTTTGACAATAGGCCAGGTAATTTTACTTTAGTCTTCAGCAAGGGGAACTCTAGGAGGTATGAGAAAAATCAGCATGTGGCCTGCGAGAAAGAGGTTATTGAACTGGGTCTAGCTATATGGCCTCTCAAAGGCCTGTGTTTCCCAACTATAAAATGGAGTTAATAACGATACCTACTCCTCAGGGCAGTACAAGGGTGAAATGAGATAAAGCAGGTAAGAAGTTTAGACCAGTGCCTGGCATGTGGTAAGTGCTCAGTAAATGCTAGTTATCACTTTATTATTGTTTTCATTATAGAAATGAATCATCTAGCTACACTGCTGTAAACTTTAGACTAAGGCCTCCTCACCTAGGAGCCCTCAAAATGCTTCACAGGGGTTGTGAGGCCCTCAAAAGTAAATACCAAGTACTTTTTGCGTGAGCATATCTAGATTTCTCTGGAAAAGAGACTCTGAAGAACTCCTCCCCATGTGTCCCCTCCTCAACACCAGAGTGATCCAGCATCAGGGTGAAGACATAGAAGGCTGTGAAGAATGGCATGGTGAGCAATGCACAAAGCTGCTGGCTCAGCAAAACTGTTAAGCCTCCCAACACTATGTTGAATAGGAGTGGTGAGAGAGGGCATCCCTGTCTTGTGCCAGTTTTCAAAGGGAATGCTTCCTGTTTTTGCCCATTCAGTATGATATTGGCCGTGGGTTTGTCATAGATAGCTCTTATTATTTTGAGATATGTCCCATCAATACCGAATTCATTGAGAGTTTTTAGCATGAAGGTTGTTGAATTTTGTCAAAGGCCTTTTCTGCATCTATTGAGATAATCATGTGGTTTTTGTCTTTGGTTCTGTTTATATAGCCATCCCATTACTGGGTATATACCCAAAAGACTATAAATCATGCTACTATAAAGACACATGCACACGTATGTTTATTGCGGCACTATTCACAATAGCAAAGACTTGAAACCAACCCAAATGTCCAACAATGATAGACTGGATTAAGAAAATGTGGCACATATACACCATGGAATACTATGCAGCCATAAAAAATGATGAGTTCATGTCCTTTGTAGGGACATGGATGAAATTGGAAATCATCATTCTCAGTAAACTATTGCCAGGACAAAAAACCAAACACCGCATGTTCTCACTCATAGGTGGAAATTGAACAATCAGAACACATGGACACAGGAAGGGGAACATCACACTCTGGGGACTGTTGTGTGGTGGGGGGAGGGGGGAGGGGGGAGGGGGGAGGGATAGCATTAGGAGCTATACTTAATGCTAAATGACGAGTTAATGGGTGCAGCACACCAGCATGGCACATGTATACATATGTAACTAACCTGCACATTGTGCACATGTACCCTAAAACTTAAAGTATAATAATAATAAATTAAAAAAAAACTGTTGAGCCTCAATTTAACCAAAAGTCTAGGGGAAAATATTTGTCTTCAATGGAGCAAACACATTGTAGAATAGAAGGTTAATATTCATGAACTTGAGAGAGAAAACACTAGAGTTAAAGGAAATTTCCTATCACAGAGACTTAGGATGGTGAACCCATATTCCCAGAAAGTACAGGATCACTCACATCTGCTAATGGGTGCTGGTGATATATACAAGATAGTATAAAGTTTGAGAAACAACAGTGATGTTTAAATTAGTGTGCATCAAAATTCTCTGAGATGTGTGTTAAAATTGCCAGAGATTCTGATTCAGGGGGTGAGCAGTAGATTGAAAAACTTGCATTTGTAAGAAGCACCCTGTATTAGTCCACTTTCATGATACTAATAAAGACATGCTTGAGACTGTGTAATTTATAAAGAAAAAGAGGTTTAATAGACTCACAGTTTCACGTGCCTGGGGAGGCCTCACAATCATGGCAGAAGGCAAGAGGCACATCTTTTTTTTTGGGGGATGGAGTCTCGCTCTGTTGCACAGGCTGAAGTGTAGTGGCACGATCTCTGCTCACTGCAAGCTCTGCCTCCTGGGTTGATGCCATTCTCCTGCCTCAGCCCCCTGAGTAGCTGGGACTACAGGTGCCCGCCACCATGCCCGGCTAATTTTTTTTTGTATTTTTAGTAGAGACGGGATTTCACTGTGTTAGCCAGGATGGTCTCGATCTCCTGACCTCGTGATCCGCCCACCTTGGCCTCCCAAAGTGCTGACATTACAGACGTGAGCCACTGCACCCGGCCGAGGCATATCTTATATGGCAGAAGTCAAGAGAGAATAAGAACCAAGTGAAAGGGATTTCCCCTTATAAAACCATCAGATCTCATGAGACTTATTCACTGCCATGAGAACAGTAGGAGAGAAACTACCTCCATGATTCAATTATCTCCCATCAGGTCCCTCAAACAACATGTGGGAATTATGGGAGCTACAAAACAAGATGAGATTTGGGTGGAGACACAGCCAAACCATATCACACCCTAAGTAATTCCATACAGGTGGTCCAAGGCCCATTCTAAAAAAAATGAGTCAAAAGGAAAGAGGTTAGAAAGCAGTCCTCTCAGCAACTTTCAGCTCAGCTCACCAGGATCAAAGAGCATAGCATTCAGGGCCAGTGCTTTAGGAGAGGTGTATTTGCATGGTGTATCTTTTGTATCTAAAGTGTTGGAGATCTGTGCAGAGACGGGAGGCTAGTTGAGGCTTAGAAATCCTTACCATTTCCTCTTTGGGAACTTGGCTCATATCCACTGAACTTCCTATGATTCATCCATCATCCTTTTATCTTAGAACACTGGTTTCTATGTACAGAAATCCCCAGGTAAGTTCTGAGTTGTCTTCTGGAATCCTAGATTTGGAAGGAAGACCTAGTGAGCAAATGCTACGAAAGAAACAAAACAAAGTATGGTAGATTATTATTCAGCAAAAAATCTCTTGCTTTCACTCCTCCCTGACCTCCATAGGAGTAGTGTACATCCCAGCTTCATGGGTACTGGGCTTGTCCTGGTGACAGGTTTTGGCTAATGGAAGGTAGGTAGAAGGGACAGTGTCTGGATTCCAAGCTTATGTTGTATGATCTTCATATGTTTCCATTCATCCCTCTGTGTATTGGTTTTCTGTGGTTGCTGTAACAAATTACTGCAAACTTGATGGTATAAAATAACTGAAATTCTTTCACTGTTCTGGAGGCCAGAAGTTCAAAGTCAAGAGGTCAACAAAGCTGTTCTCCCTGCAAAGTGTGTTCCTAGGCTTGTGCTTGCCTAATTCTAATCTCTGTCTTTATCTTTCCACAGCCTCCTTGTACCATCTTCTCTTCTGTATCTTATGAGAACCCTTACTTGGTCATTGGATATAGTACCCACATAGATTGCAAATGATTATCTCATCTTAAGATCCTGGACTTAATTACATTTACAAAGACACTGTCTTAGTTAGCTTGGGCTGCTATGATGAAATACCATAGACTTGGTGACTTAAACAACAGATATTTATTTTTCACACTTCTGGAGGCTGAAAAGTTCAAGATCAAGGTGCTGGCAGATGCCATGTCTTGCGAAGACCCTCTTCCTGGTTTGCAGATGGCCATCTTCTTGCCATAGCCTCACATAGTTGAAGAGAGAGAGAGAGAGAGAGCGCTGATGTCTCTCCCTCTTCTTAAAACGGCACCAATACCATCATGGAAGTTCCACTCTCATCTAAACCTAATTACCTCCCAAAGGCCCTGCCTCCAAATACTATCATATTGAGGGTAAGGGCTTAAACATATGAATTTTGGGGGAAACAAACATTCAACCTATAGAAGACTTTTTTTCCTAAATAAGATCACATTTACAGGTTCAAAAGGTGTATTAGTCCATATTCACCCTACTGATAAAGACATACCCAAGGCTGGGTAATTTACAAAGAAAAGAGGTTTAATTGACTCATAGTTCCACATGTCTGGGGAGGCCTCACAATCATGGTGGAAGGCAAGGAGGAGCAAGTCACATCTTACACAGTGGCAGGGAAGATAGAGCATGTGCAGGGAAACTCCTCTTTATAAAACCATCAGATTTCATGAGACTTATTCACTATCACAAGAAAAGCATAGGAAAGACCCACCCCTACGATTCAATTACCTCCCACCGGGTCCCTCCCACCACACTTGGGAATTGTGGGAGCTAAAATTCCAGATGAGATTTGGGTGGGGACACAGCCAAACCATATCAAGGAGTTAGAACATTTTGTAGGGTGTGGGGACACCTTTCAACTCACTATACTGGGAGCTTCTAATGTCTACAGTGAGAGGAACATGCTCCAGTTCTTCAGTCTGGGCCTCAGTACATTTGAGCACAACCCACACCCTGAAGCAGAGACACCAGCTCAACTGCCCAACTTGAACAGAGATAATTGCTGATTACTGTGTGCTGCTGAGACTTAGTGATAGCTTGCTGTATAGCAAAAGCCGACTAATAACCTGGGTATGAAGAGCATGCCCACTTAGTCCCCTCTTGGCAAAAGGGAATTTTGTAAATTATGTCACAGACACAGTAACAGTAAAAAGTGACTTTGTGTTATGGAAGTTATTAGGGAGGCTGGTTTTGGTTTCTTTTACCAGATAATTTACCCCCAAATTGGCCTGAGAACATTCATTCTGCCTCAAGGTTCACATATAGTGATTTAATTGCCAACTTGGAGAGAGTGTGGAGGGGAAGTGGAAATGATTTTAGCATTCCTTACTTGCATGCTCCTCAATAAAGCAACCCACAGTTGCAAATGATCATAAGATTCCTTTGGATAATCTGCATTTCTCCTTACAGAGAGAACTTGGCTTTTTGAAATCTGATGAAATACATTTTAATACAAAACACTTTTAACTTGAATATATACCAGCCTTGATTCAGCCATAAGAAAGAAATTATTAGTCAGATTAGGGAAAGTAATGGATGAGCCTGTGAAAAATGGGCTTGGCACCAATCAAACAGAAGGCAATACATGGGAATGGTTGAGGCACTCAGCAGTGGAATAAAACTACAGCCTCACTCACTCACAACCCATGGTCCTTGCCCATGTACTGAATTAAATAAGACATTTAACTCATTTTCAGAGCAACCTGTATAAATAGCTGCAGCAGATTCCGTGAACTGAAAGAAGAAGCCAAATTTTGTTTAACTTTGTGTCCCCAATTCCTGGCGTCAAGCTT
This sequence comes from Homo sapiens, assembly GCF_000001405.40. Classification (NCBI taxonomy): domain Eukaryota; kingdom Metazoa; phylum Chordata; class Mammalia; order Primates; family Hominidae; genus Homo; species Homo sapiens. Next base: position 68,646,282 of record NC_000003.12, on the reverse strand, counting down.
GATGCTAAGTATATGCTCAATAAGTGTTTGTTACATGAACACATGGGCACAAGAGTGATTCTCTTAAAATTAAGATAGACCATGTAATTCCTCCACTCAAATCTTTTAGTAGTTCACATCTCATCCAGACACAAACTCAAAGACTTTTTGATGCCTGTCAGAACTTTACATGGTATGATCCTGAGCTCCACTCTGACCTTGTCTGTCCACTACTGCTCTACAACACACCGATTCCTCCCCAGCCACTTCATCGTCCTCTCCTTGTTTGTAAAACTCACCAAGCATTCTCTAGCCTCAGGAACTCTGCACTTCCTAACTTCTCTGCCTGGATTGCTCTTTCCCTACATATCTGTATGTCTTTTCGGTCTTTGCTCACACCATTTCCTTCTCCATTAGGCCTCCCATGACCATCATATATAAAATTGCAATTCCCAGCCTCACTCCCCAACACTTCCTGCTTCCAATCACTGCTTTATTTAGTCATTTATTCCTACTCCAATTTAACAATGAATATTGATATATTTATCTCTCTCTCTAGCTAGACTATAAACTCTTCCAAAGGAAGAGTTTATATATATATATATATATATATATATATATATATATATATATATAAATTTATAAAGAAAAAGAGGTTTAATAGACATATATATATATATATATATATATATATTCTATCTATCTATCTTAAAATAGTGCCTGGCACAGAGTAGTCACACAGTAAAGATTTGTTAAATGAGTGAAAAAATGGCAGTTTGTGCCAAGCATTGAGTGATTCCATGAACAAGAAAATGCACCTTGGTAATGAATGCTGTTGCTACAGCTTAGTACCAGAACTGTCTCTTTAAAATTTACCTGAAAGCGCCCTTGTTTCTGCTACTCTGTCTTCTGATCACACTGAGGCTTCCTGAGGTTTCCTTACATGGCCTGCTTGGCATGCCGTGCCTCCTATTTCTAGGCCATAGCACTTAAAATCCACTCTCTTATAAATTTTCAGGGAGAAGAGGCAAGATGGCCAACTATATGCAGGCAGGAAGAACATCTCCCACAAAAAGACCAGATAGAGAAGACTGGCACGCTCTGAGCAGACCTTCGGAAGGAAGGCATTGAGAATAGACGGAGGGAGGATGCAAACCCTGAGCTGCAGGGGGAGTAAGGTAGGAACCCTGTACAGGACTGCTGAGTACCAGGACTTATTCCTGGCCTTCAGTGGCTCCTGGGGAAGGAGTGAGTTAAATAGGCAAGGAGTGGCCTACTCTCACCATGGATCTTCAGAATCCTAGCTGCAGGAGACCCTATGACCCCCATGAACATTTGAGCTGACAGGGACAGCTGCTTGGAGAGGTGGCAGGGACAGAACTCTAGCCTGTGTGGAGCCCAGAGGGTTTGGCGTGGGAATGGCTACAGTGGAGCATGGCCAGGGATGTCATACCCCAAGGCTTGCCATGCTCCTCTAGGTGGCTTTGGCTTTTGTTGACTCTTGGACCTAGACAAAGCAGGGTGGTCTTGCCTGTGGGACAGGACCAGTCTGATCTGAGCAGGCCCCTGTTTGTTGGCCTCTCCTGTGGTCCCTGCCTGGCTGTATCTGCTTGCAGCGCAGCCTTGGAAGCACTTTCTGGTAGCCATCACCATAGATTCTTTGCTGGTAGTCCCCGCCTAACTGTCAGAGAGCTTCAGTAGATGGGCCCCAGAGGATGTGCACTTGCCCACAGCCTCCTCCCACTGCTTTGCCAGCATGTGTGGACCTCACCACGCTATTGCCGCCAGTGCACACGTGAACCTCGCCACTGCTGCCCTGCCCCTGCCAGTGCAGGTGTACAGTACATGTGTGCATATGGATGCCACCACCCCACATTTGCTGGTGTGTACACACCCTCCCACACCACTGTTGCCACCAGCATATGCACACAGACACCACCACATCAATGCTGCTGGAGTGAGCACACGCATGTGGTCTCTACCACCCCACTACTGCCGGCATACATGCACATGAGCATGGACCCTGCTGCCACCACCCAAATGAAGTGCTTTTGCCGGCACCCCATCAGAGCATTTTTACCAGTGGAGTGGGAACACCTCAGCCCCTCCAACACAGCAGGTGCTTAACCTCGAGGGGCCAGAGAGTAAAGCTGTAGGCTTGGTACCAACCCTCCAGGGTTAGAGCACACAGCCTAGGAGTGGTGAGCTGAGTCTTGGCACCCTGAAATAATCCAGGAACAAAGCCAGTCAACTGGGTCAAACCCTCAAGGGCACTGAAGAATACAAAAGCAAAAAAACCCCATCCGAAGGACAGCAATGTCAAATACTAAAGGAACATCAGCCCACACAGATGAGAAATAACCAGCTCAAGAACTCTGGCAACTCAAAAAGTCAGAGTGTCTTCTTACCTCCAAACAATCACACTAGCTCTTCAGCAATGGTTCTTAACCAGGCTGAAATGGCTGAAAAGACAGACATTGAATTCAGTATCTGGATAGTAACAAAGATCATTGAGATTCAGGAGAAAGTTGAAACCCAATCCAAGGAATCTAAGGAATCCAATAAAATGAAACAAGAGCTCAACCAAACTGATCTGATAGAGCTAAATAACTCACTATAAGAATTTCACAATACAGTCAGACACTGGATCACCTATATTCATAAAACAAGTTCTTACATACCTATGAGGTAACTTAGATAACCACACAATAATAGTGGGGGACCTCAACATCGCAATGACAGTATTAGACACATCATGGAAGCAGAAAACTAACAAATATATTTGGGACTTAAACTCGACACTTGACCAAATGGGTGTAAAAGACACCTATACAATATATGTTCTTCTCTTCTCATGTGGCATGCACTCTAAAATCAACCAGACACTCACACATAAAACAATTCTCAACAAACTAAAAAATACTCCAAATCATAAGAAACACATTCTTGGAGCACAGCACAATAAAAACAGAAATTAATACTAAGATGATCTCTCAAAACCATACAATTACATGGAAATTAAACAGCCTGCTCCTGAATGACTTTTGTGTAGACAATGAAATTAAGGGGGGAAATCAAGAAATTCTTTGAAACTAATGAGAACTAAGCTATAATATACCAGAATCTCTGAGACACATGTAAAGCAATCTTAAGAGGAAAGTTTATAGCATTAAATGTTCACATCAAAAATTAGAAAGATCTCAAATTAACAACCTAATATCACACCTAGAGGAACTAGAAAAACAAGAGCAAACCAACCCCAAAGACAGCAGAAGAAAAGAAATAAGCAAAATCAAAGCTAAACTGAATGAAATTGAGAAGCAAAAAAATGACACCAATGATCAATGAAACCAAGAGTTTGTTTTTTGAAGGAAGAGGACTAATAGGCTGCTGGCTAGACTAATAAAGAAAAAAGAGAGAAGATCCAAATAAACACAATTAGAAATGACAAAGGGGACATTTCTACTGACCTCACAGAAATACAAAAAATACTCAGAGACTACTACAAACACCTTTATGCAGACAAACTAGAAAACCTACAAGAGATGGGTAAATTCCTGGAAACATACAACCTCCCAAGATTGAAACAGGAAGAAATTAAAAAGCCTGAAGAGACCAATAATGAGTTCTGAAATTGAATCAGTAATAAAAAGCCTACGAACCAGGAAAAGCCCTGGACAAGACAGATTCACAGCTGAATTATACCAGATGTGTAAAGAGCTGGTATAAATCCTATTAAAACTAATCCAGCGAATTGAGAAAGAGGAACTCCACCCCAACTCATTCTACTCTATGAGGCCAGCATCATTCTGATACCAAAACCTGGCAGGGACATAACAAAAATAGAAAACTTCAGGTCAATATCCCTCACGAACAGGGATGCAAAAATCCTCAACAAAACACTAGCAAACCGAATCCAGCAGCACATCAAAAAGCTAATCAAACACAATCAAGTAGATTTTATTCCTGGGATGCAAGGTTGGCTCAGCATGTGTAAATCAATAAATGTGATTCATCACATAAACAGAACTAAAAACAAAATCATATGATCATCTCAATAGACACAGGAAGGGCTTTTTGATAAAATTCAACATCCTTTCTTGTTAAAAATCATCAACAAACCAGGCATCGAAGGAAACTACTTCAAAATAATGAGTCATCTATTATAAATCCACTGCCAAGAGCATACCGAATGGGCAAAAGCTAGAAGCATTCTCCTTGAGAACTGTAACAAGACAAGGATGCCTGTTCTCACCACTCCTATTCAACATAGTACTGGAAATCCTAGCCAGAGCAATCAGGCAAGAGAAAGAAATAAAAGGCATCAAAATAGGAAGAAAGGAAGTCAAATTACCTCTCTTCATGAACAATATGATTTTATACCTAGAAAACCCCATAGTTTCTGCCCCAAAGCAGAGACTTTCAAAAGTTGGAGAGGAAAAAAAACTAAAAATATAATATATTGCTTTTATCTGTAGTCAACCATAATTTAAAAAAAATCTCTAACTTAAAAAAAAGAAAATTCACCTGAAAGGAATGCTAGTCTTGAGATAGGTGGAAGATTTGTAGGAGGTAATTCTTTAAGTTGTTTGTGATTATCTTTGACAGCTGGAATAATAAACCAAAATAGTGCTAATGTGCAATATAGAGGTAGCAATTGTGTCTTAGCTCTGTATTACATATCAGTCTGCAACTTTGTATTGGTCAGTAGAAAAGAACCAGATGATCATTGTGATTTATTAAATGTGTCTCCTTAATTAAGATGAAAGAATTGATGCATTAATATTATCTGCTGACTGGAAAAAAAATCCAGTGAGCAATAAACCCTTCAGATTCTGATAAAATGATTTGGGTTGGGACTTATGAAAAGCTAGTTCTTTTCCAATGGAGAGAAGTAGGGAGAGATACCTTAAATTCTGAGCCCTGGAATAGATTGTGGCTGCATCTTTGGCTTTATAACCAGCCATTAGAGTAGGGCCCTAAGAACCAATGACACACCTTTGGCTTTCCCTTGGATGGAAAATATAGGGTACCAAGTCAATGGTTCAGAAAGTGCCATTAACATAGCATTATCCATAAGTCAAACCACTCCCTAGGGGAAGGAACTCCAGACTGAAAGCCTTGTCTATCTTGAGTGTGTTCTATCTTGGGGTCATGATAAGAGGGGAGAGGAGGGGTTGAGATATGGGTTTCATGTACACATCCATATGTCCCTTAAATAAGCTTTCATGAATATTTGCATTAAAGAATGTTTAAATCTGGTCAATCAAATGGGTGGCTAAAGAGAACTCAAATATACTGTAAACTAAAAAATTCTGAAATAATTCAAATGAGGGTACTACGGTTTAAATGTGTTCCTCAAATTTCATGTGTAGAAAACATAATCCTGGCCAGGCATGGTGGCTCACGCCTGTAATCCCAGCACTGTGGAGGGCCAAGGCAGGTAGATCACCTGAGGTCAGGAGTTCAAGACCAGCCTGCCCAACATGGCAAAACCCCAACTCCACTAAATATACAAAAAATTAGCTGGGCATGGTGGCAGGCACCTGTAATCCCAGCTACTCAGGAGGCTGAGGAAGGAGAATCGCTTGAACCTGGGAGGCAGAGGTTGCAGTGAGCCGAGATCAGTGAAATTCTGTCTCAAAAAAAAATAAAAAATAAAAATAAAGAAAACATAATCCCCACACTCATATGTTGATTGGTTGTGGAGCCTTTGTGAGGTAATTAGGATGAGACAAAGTCTTTAGGGTAGGGCCCTCATGATAGGACTGTTGACTTTATAAAAAGAAGTCACTTAAGCTGACCTGCACTCACTTGCTTTCTCACCATGTGATGCCCTATGCCACATTATGGCACAGCAAGAAGGCCCTCACAGATGCTGGTGCCATGCTTTTGGATTTCCCAGTCTCCAGAATCATGAGCCAAATAAATTTCTGTTCATTATAAATTACCCAGTCTCAGGTATTCTGTTATAGCAACAGAAAAGGACTAAGACAGAAAATTGGTACCAAGAAGTGTGGTTGTTGGTATAGCAGATACTTGAAAATGTAGAATTAGCTTGAGAACTAGGTAACTGGTAGAGGTTGAAAGACTTTGGAAGAACAAGCTAGAAAAAGCCTGAATTTTCATAAACAGAATGTTAAGAGTGATTCTGGTGAGGACTCAGGAGGATTGACTAGGAAAAGTCTGAAACTTCTTAGAGATTACTTAATTTGTGTGACCAGAATGTTGACAGAAATATAAACAGTAAAGGCCATTCTGATGAGTTCTTAGATGGAAATGAAGATCAAGACATTGGAAACTGGACTAAAGGCCATCCTTGTTATTCTGTTGTAAAGAACTTAGCTGCATTGTGTCCATGCCCTAGGGCTTTATGGAAGGCAGAATTTAAGAATGAGGAACAAGAATATTTGGTGGAAGAAATATTTAGGCAGGAAAACATTCAGGCTGCTGCATGGCTACTTTTAACTGCTTATAGTAAAAGAAGGAGATTAGTATTGACAGAACAAAGTTAGAGGCTATTCATCAGGACAATGGGACATCAATACATGATATGGAATTCAGAGAAATGCTCTTTTCCTAGAAGCAGATGAGGCAATTTTGTATTATAAAACTGAATAATAGGTGTAAGAGTCAGGAGGCCTGGATTATCGTTCCAGATATACTACTCTGGGCACATCACTTAACTCCACTGAGCCTCAATTTCCTCATCTGTAAACAAAATCAATTGTATTTTGTCTGCATACTTTGGAGGGTAATTCTTAAAATCATATAAGGACACATATGTCTGATCACTATATAAGCATAGCTTAAAAACATTTTTTTAAATAAAAAAACTCATAGCTTTTGTTAAAACAATCTTAATCCCATAAACCCCAGTATGGACTGACCAATCAACCCAGCAGACAGCTGGGATGGTGTGGGCAGAGGATATTTAAGTCTATCAAAAATCAGATTTCTTTTGAAACAAGTCATTGTCTTATTTCTGAAGTTGCCCATATGCTAGCAATACCATGAGATTAAAATTCACAAAAGTTCTTTTTTTTCCCTTTTTTTTTCAGGATTTAAATATTTCACAGTTGAATTTTGAGGAAAAACAACTCCATGTTTAATGTTTTTACTGCTCCTTAAGGCTCCAAGTCAGGATTTAAGACCCTGCCTTGAAAACCTTAATAGAAGATGAAACTATGCTAACTAGGACAATGGAAATTCATGTATCTACGTGGAAGGATCCTTTGTGTGTGTGTGTGTGTGTGTGTGTTGGTGGGAATCTCTACTGGGTAGCTCCTCACTGTAGTGGGAGAAAAAAATACATTAAAAATAATACAGGGGCTGGGTGCGGTGGCTCATGCCTGTAATCCCAGCACTTCGGAAGGCTGAGACAGGCGGATCACGAGGTCAAGAGATCGAGACCATCCTGGCCAACATGGTGAAGTGCCGTCTCTACTAAAAATACAAAAATTAGCTGGGCATGGTGGTGCGCACCTGTAGTCCCAGCTACTCGGGAGGCTGAGGCAGGAGAATCACTTGAACCTGGGAGGCGGAGGTTGCAGTGAGCCGATATTGTGCCATTTCATTCCAGCCTGCCGACAGAACAAGACTCCACCTCAAAAAAAAATAATAATAAAATAATAATAATAATAAAGGATGCTACTCTATGAAAATATATTTAAAAGGCATTATTTTCTCCTCTGCTTGGGGAACAGAGTTAAAGCTGTTCTGAGGACTCTGAAAAATTTCTCAGAGGTCTGAAGTCAACAGACACTCCCCTATGGCCTCAGTTTCACATGTAATTTTTCTTTTCCATGCACACATGCCCCTCTGCAATGCCCTTTGAGATTCATTTTCCCTTTTAAGCCTGCCTGCATGAGGCTGCATTTCATACAGAAATTGTTATCTCTCTTTATTACTCTGTTACTCTTCCCAAGAAAAAGGGAATACTAATTTTATTGGTCAGATTTTGGAATACTTTATAGAAAATTTACTATTGTATGCGGTCACTGCAAATTAAGAGGTTGTACATATGATATTGAGGTATAGCATTGAAACTCTTTAAGTTCAATGTTAAAATAGACTTTGAATGAATGAAATAAAATAGGCTCTAAATCTACAGTTCTTTCCCTAATATTCATCTTAAGTCTTCAAAACCAGATTCCATGTAATAGTCAGACAATGGCATGGTGAATTTTCTTGTTTTCCTTTTCCTCCCAGATAACTAAGTTTTATTTTCTCTGTCATTCATATCTTCAGCCCAGAAACCCAGTTCCAGACCACTGTAAGCAAGGCTATAGGTATAGATAAAATAAACTTTTTTCTTGTCTAGGAATTTATATTGTTGTTTTTATTATAGGTTACCAAAGAGTTTATTCTTATATCTTTTGACATAATAAATGCTAAGCTTTCTCAGTTCTCTGCCTCCAGCCATTCTGTCTTAGGGATGTGAGTATTTACAGCTTTTGGCTGCAATTAGTGAAAGCAAGTTTGTTACTAGTTATCATTTTGGAGTTCATGAAATTCTTGTGAAAGTCTTTCTCTCTGAGTCAGCCAGGACCTGGGACTTTGCTTGACTCTCATGACTTGGGGTATACCACATGGGAAGATAAAATACCTTAAAGTTCTGCCATGATAATGGTCTCTTTCTAAAGGATACTGACTAGAAGGCAAAGGGTGGTGCATAGGATTCATTAGACATAACGGTTGGCTGTAGCTCTCGCTCTGCTCCTCTCTCTTCTTTATCTTGCTTCCAAAATAAATGTGCATACAATCACTGAGGGGTTTTTGTTAAAATAGAGATTCTGACTCAGTAGGTTTGGAAGCCACAGATTCTGCATTTTTAGCAAGTTCTCAGGTGATACAGATGTTGCTAGTCTATGGCCCACACCCAAAGACCAACCTATGGGAGGACACTTCAGCTCAGCTTGCCAGAGAGTGCAGTCCTCTAGTAGTGTAGCAGGCACAAATCTACCTAACAGTCCATTGGTATTTTGATTCATTCAGCTTCAATCCATTGTATGCACTACTTCCTCAAGCTCTTTTTTTTTTTTTTTTTTTTTTTGTTTGTTTGTGAAAGAGCACGCTTTATTGGGAAGCAGACTGCTGCACAGTGACCAACAGGCCACCCAATGGGCACTTACACATCGTACTCCAAAAGACACAGGATGTTTTGCTAATAAAAATCAGTGGGAACAGGGATTCCTCTGGGCAACTCCCCCAGCCTCATCCCTTTCAGGGACTGAGAAATCTCCCAACCATTTTCCTGATGACAGCCATGGTTCATTAGAGATACAGCCCCTCAGGGGTGCCTTCCTGTTTCTTATAAAGAACATTTTCTTTAGATTTTTTGAAGTCTTCATTTGTTACTTTCATTCTACGTTCTCTTAAGGCCATCAGACCAGCTTCTGTACAGATTGCCTTGATGTCAGCACCAGAGAGGTCATCTTTAGCCATGATCAGGTCGTCCAGGGTTACATCATCAGCCAGCGTCATCCTGCTTGTGTGAATCTGAAAGATGCGCTTCTTCGTCTTTTCATCAGGCAGGGGGAACTCAATCTTCCTGTCAATGCGGCCTGGTCTGATAAGTGCTGGATCCAAAGTTTCTATTCGGTTTGTGGCCATGATAACTTTCACATCTCCCCTAGAATCAAATCCATCCAACTGGTTCAGCAGTTCCAACATTGTTCGCTGAATTTCTCTCTCACCACCAGAATTGGAGTCTTATCTTTTTGTCCCAATGGCGTCAATTTCATCAATAAACACGATGGACGGTGCATGTTCTTCAGCAACTCGGAACAATTCCCGTACGAGTTTGGGCCCATCACCTAGGTACTTCTGAATAAGTTCAGAGCCAACCACTCTCAAGAAAGTGGCTGAGGTTTGGTTTGCTACTGCTTTGGCTAACAAGGTTTTACCTGTGCCAGGTGGACCATAGAGAATGACCCCCTTAGGAGGCTTTATACCCATCTCTTCATAATATTCAGGATGGGTGAGAGGAAGCTCCACAGATTCCTTAATTTCCTGAATTTGGTTGTCCAACCCCCCAATATCTGCATAGGTCTCCTGGGGGGCCTTTTCTACCTTCATCACTGTGACCAGGGGATCCGTGTCATCCATCAGCACCCCTATCACGGCATGCACCTTGTGGTTGAGCAGGACCGAGCAGCCAGGTTCCAGCAGATCCTTGTCTACAAATGAAAGAATGCTGACGTAGTGTTCTGAGCCCACAGATGTAGACACGATGGCATGATTGTCATCAATGATCTCTTCCAAGGTTCCTACTGACATCGGGGTCCCCCTCAGATCATCCACTTTTGATCTTTCCTCCTCTTGCTTTTCTTCTAATGGTTTCATTTGTTCCTGATTTCTAATGAATTCTTCCTCCATGAGAAGATAGTCTTTAATTCTCTCTAACTTCAGTAATTTTAACCGGCACTGAGTGTGAGGTGTCACCAGTGGCAGTTTGCTGGCAGCATCTGGTCCCTTTGTTTTCTTCTTCTTTTTCCCCACTCTAGTTGGTACAGGAGGTTCATATTTCTTTTTCTTGTCCTTGTCATCCTTCTTGCCACCTCCAGGACCATGACCACCACTCTGACTTTGACCCATCTTGCCTTGGCCACTTGAGCCCTCAAGCTCTTTTTGTAGAGGGGTGATTGGGAAAGCAGGTAGGATCTCCTGGTACAAAAACGATACAAATTCCTTCAGGATATTACCACTCTTCCTACCAACAATCCATTTATATTTCTAGATTTAAAACTGCAGTAGCAAAGTTATCCTCCAGAGGATAAAAACTAGTGGCCAGAAGGATGATTACTGGTGGCCAGAAGGTCACTTTTATTCCCTTTTCCTCCTTGATTTATGTTTAATTTAACTGTCTTAAGCTATCCAGTCTCCATGGATGGCATCATCAGTTAGGCTGCTGATATTTTTCAAGACTTCTGTGAAGGGGCTAAGAGCTTTTTCAAACTAATGATACCTGCATTAAAATAACTTCACCAACACAGCTTTAAACAAGTGGGAACTCAACAAAGCTGCAAAGGCACATTAGCCTGTTTAACAAGGCAGGCGGGCAGGATGGTAGAGAATTTTTCTAGTTGGATTGAGGATGCTTACAGCCTCTGTTGACGATCTGTTCCTTGGGATCAACAATAATATTGAATTGTATTCCTTCATGAGATGGCTCTTCTATAAACACTACTAAACATTTGCTTTGTGTTGGGGACCACATGAGGTATTGTGGGAACAGCAAAGATAAATAAGACAAGTGTTGGCTTTCCGGAGATCTAAACACAGGCCAGAACAGACATGTTAATGACTAGATTTTAAAGGATTCACTAGATGCCATTAATGTATGCATCCAATAAATATTTACTAAGCCACTACCATGTGCCAGGCAAAGTGGTGAAAATAATAGACATAGTCCCTTCTTCCATCGGAGCTCATTAAATAGCCAATTACACAAATAAATATGGGATGACAAATGTATGTAAGTATCATGAAAGGTAGATGGGCTATAAGGAAGCAAAAAGAGAGACCTGGTTGAGAATGGAATTAGAGAGAGCCTTTCTGAGGAAGGGACATTTCTCCTGAGACTCTGAAGGATAAGGAGGAGTTTGCTAAGTAAAGAGATGGGAAGACCAGTACAAAGGAAAGCACGGCATGTGCTAAGGCAGGAAACAACTTGAGACATTCCAGAACTAAAAGCAGACCAGCATGGCCAAATGGTCATGAGGGAGAGAGAGAGAGGAACAAGATGAGGCTGGACAAGCAGGCAAAGAAGCTCACATTGAAGCACCCTGCAGGACCAGACTCAGCATTTTCTTCTAAATGCAGTGGGAAACCACCAACACAATTTACATTTTTAGAAGTTGACTATGCCTGCAGACAGGAGAGAGGCAAAATTCTTAGTTGATGGACCAGTTGGAGCCGTCAGTTGGGTCATGTTCATTATGTTCTGAGTTCAGGGACACACTGCTGGCCAATAAGGTGCCAGCTACCACCAATGCTGGTGCCACTGCCCCATGTGAAGTCTCTGTGCCCAGAAAACCATGCTGAGACCAGGTGTTCTTCCAGGCATTAGGCATCACCACCAAAATCTCCAGGGGCATCGTTGAAATCGTAAGGGATGTGCAGCTCATTAAGACTGGAGACAAAGTGGGAGCCAGTGAAGCCATACGGCTGAACGTCTCCCCTATTCCTTGGCGGATCATCAAGCCAGTGTCTGACAATGGCAGCATCTACATCCCTGAAGTGCTTTACATCACAGGGGACACTCTGCATCCTCTCTTCCAGGGTGTCTGCATGGTGCCAGTGTTTGCAGATTGGTTACCCAGCTGTTGCATCAGTACCCCATTTTATCATCAACGGGTACAAAGAAGTCCTGGCTTTGTCTGTGGAGACTGATTGCACCTTCCCACTTGCTGAAAAGGTCAAGACCTTCTTGGCTGATCTACCTGCCTTGTGGCTGCTGCCCGTGTGACCTCTGCTATCACTGCTGCTCCTACTGTGGCCACAGCTACAGCCAAGGTTGAACCAAGGAGGAATCGAGAGTTGGACAAGGATATGGAGTTTGGTCTCATTGATCACCAAAAAGCAACCAACTTAGCCAGCTTTTTTTTTTTTCAAAACAAGTAAATAAAGACTTCTCTTAAAAAAAGAAAAAGAAGTTTCAACACAGACTAAAGTGCCTGAGGTCAAGATGGAGACAAATTTGGTCAGAATGTTTCTCTTATATTCTAAGGTGTCCTGAGGGGATGTACTTGGAGAAGAAATTTTGGAGCATGTACTTCAGAGAAGAAAGTAGACTTCAGAGATGACCTAAAAATATAGAATAAGTTAATCTTAAAGTATCCTTTTGTGTAAGACAATACACTAAGTGTTGTGGGACTTGAGTTCCCATCCCCATTTCACTATGTGTACATGTGTATACACAGTACACATGTGTAAACTTAGGACCGAATGCTTATTTTTCTCATATATAAACATTGATATGATCTCTAAAGCTCCTTTCAGCTATATGTTTATTCTGTGGAAATGAACATGGGATTTGAATCAGAGGAACTGGGTCTTTTGCTCACTCCTGTGACCTTGGCCAAGTCACTTAATCTTGCTGAAACCAGGTTCCTCATTTAAAAATAGAGAAATGATGCTATCTAGAATTGCAGACACAACATTGAACACAATGCCTGGCACTTTGTAGGAAGTATTTTGTAATGAATGAATACTTTTCTACCTCGTGAAGATTAAACGAGATCTGACGTAAGTTTGGAAACTATATAGCTCTGTTTCAATACTCACTATGAACTCAAATTTACATTATTAAAAAACTTTACTGTGTTCGGGGCTGAGCATGGCTCTTTATCCAGCATCATTTGTTCAAATGAGGGTACATCTCCAAATTCCTCAGCACGTATTAAAACAGCAGAAAGTGAGGCTGGATAAAAATGAGACGGTATACCATTTAATGAGCTATTAAACTTCCCACCAGAAAGCCAGAAACTCAGGAGTTCAAAATAGCAACAGCTACATAACCAGCCAAATAATCAGTTACATTTATGAGCAAGCAATCTATTCTTAATGCACCTACAAGATAAATAGGAGAAATAAAATAAAATTAAAAAGCCGGCTTTGGCTCAGCCTTCCCTGTAAGGTAACTTTATCGATCATCTTTAACACTTCCGATTTCCAGGCAACAGTTTCTTAACATGGACTTGCAGGTTTCATATGAGAATGACAAGTAAAGTATAAAAAGTTGCCTCTGCAGAAGAGTCAACTTTTTACACTTTAAACTACTTCACCTTATGTTGGAATTTTCTTGAAATGATGGCTTGAGTTTAAGCTGCCAATGTTATTTAAATGCCAGAGTGGTTGTTCATCCTCGCCCCCACCCCACAGCACTCCATTCTAGTTTCTCCGACTGCTGCTTTCCTATTCTTGAGAGTTGCAGGGGGTACCAGCTGCGATTCAGTTTGGCTTTGAAGTTCAGCGCCTTCCCCTGTTTCCCATGAATGATTTCTCTCATTGAGAGTTACTTTGAGCTCGAGGTAGAATTTAATGTTCTCAGAAGACTAAAAAAAAATCCCTTAGGTGTGTGATATGAAGAAAGAACATTGCCTCCTTATTTCTGCTCCAGTTCATCCATCTACAAGGCAGGCCAGTGGGAAGGCTGGAAAAAAGTCTAGGCTAAATTAATACTCTGGTTCCAATATTCGCTATTTATATATTGCATGAGGAAACCTGCTGGTGGCCCCATGGAGTGATCTGAAAAGGATAGGAGACAAAGACGGCTATGAGTACAAAGGGCATTGTGGACAAGAGCTAATGTTTCCTCAGGGGGAGTATGAGCCAGTAAGAATGTTAGTAAGAATATCAGCAAAAGTAGCAGCAATACCAGTAACAATAAGGTGCTACCATTTAATTGAGTGCCTCCAATGTGTCAGGCATAAAAGTTCCATCATATACATTGACTCTTGCACAGATGAGGAAATGGAGGTGAAGAGAAGGTCAGTGATTTGGCCAAATTTATTTAACTAGAATGACGAGGGAGTGGGATTCAAACCCAGGTACATCTCAGTCTACAGTCTTTTCATTTCATCAAGCTAGGGTGTCAAGAAGGATCTCAATAACTCTTTCATGGTGGCCTTATTTTTCTGTCCTCCCTGATTTCCAGGACTTATGTGAGGGTAGATGGAACTTGCTCAGGGCAAACGGAATGACCATGTTTTGCTAAGAGAGTGAGGGAGCTTTGATTTTTTTTCCTGTTTAAAGCTAAAACGAATCTGAATTGTGATGTGTTGGCAAAAGGAAAGAGGAATGGTGCTAAAAGTAGAAAACATCGTGGGATGTTTGCAATCTAGTAGTAGGTGCGTAGAGACCCAGCACCTACTTGCCCCAAGAGGAAACACCAAGCCCAATGGGGCATTCAGAGCACAAATAAATTATATCTGTCTGGGTGGAAGAGACGGACTCAGAAAAGGCTTCATGGAGGTGGTGGCTTTTGGTCTATGCTTCAAAAAGCAGAATTCTAGAAGGCAGAGATAGTATTCTAAAAAGCCTAACAGGGGAATTTTAATTAGTTGCATCTCAGACTACAGAGTGACTTTTAGGGCAGGAGAAACTTGTATATTTAAGCAATCTTCTTGGTCAACAAAGAAGGTCAGCCTTAGCAGTTTGCCAAAGTAGATATTATAACACTCTAGTAGAAAGAGATTTGAAACTGAAGTAGAAGGCCTGGTTTCAAATTCTAATTCTGGCACTGAGGTGGGACTTAATCACTCTGAGACTTAATCCATCAACTATAAAATTCTAATAACTTATACCCTGCCTTTCTCCTAGCTTGTGAAAAAGTTTAAAGTAGATGACAGGGTTGTAAATGTGAGAAATTATCATTTCTTTTGGAAAATTTACCCCTCCATTCTGGGGACAGGGGTTCCCAGTGGAAAGATTTTGAGTTCCACTGGCTAACCAATTTGCTGCTGGCCCTTTAACTGTCTAAGTGAATGAAATCTCTCATGAAATCTCTCATGGTGTTTGAGTTTCATGAACTAGTAAATGACCAAGATAGAATTTGGACATCCAACTTTCTACATGTCACAATAGGTCATAAAAAATCCATCACACTTGCACACCAAGCACACACTCACACACACACCTGCCTTCATTTGTCTTCTAGTTTTAAAAAATAGTTTGAACACCAAAAAAGTAGAAAGAACATAACCTCAGTAAAAATTCAGGTTTTTAAATGGAATAAATATAGCTTTAAGAGAAATTTAATTGTACTGTGCATCTGCCACAGAAGGTGAAAGCATCATACAGTGATGGCATAAGATCACATGGGACCTAATTTCCCTCCCACAGATACTTGCTAGGGACAGGTTGTTTTTTAATTAATTTATTTATTTTAGTTGTTCTTCCACAGACTAGAGGATATAATTTCTCAGTATGGTTATTCTGTAGGCTGAGGCAAAGTTTAAGTCTCTCACGATATATTTTTCATGTGTCTACCTTCCTAGCCCACAGCTTAGTATCTGAGATGAAACACTGAGGACAATGTGGGAGTATAGGAAATATAAAGGAGAATTATTTTGCTTATTATTTGAAGTTGTTCTGGGTTTAGCAGGTAAAGTAGGAATTATGGTGGTCATTACAAAGATACAAAACCAACCTAAGTGTCCATCAGTTGGTGAGTGGATAAAGACAATATTATGTATATATAATACACATATTATATATATAATTACATATAATACACATATTATATATATAATTACATATAATACACACATTATATATATAATTACATATAATACACACATTATATATATAATTATATATAATACACACATTATATATAATTATATATAATACACACATTATATATAATTATATATAATACACACATTATATATAATTATATATAATACACACATTATATATATAATTATATATAATACACACATTATATATAATTATATATAATACACACATTATATATAATTATATATAATACACACATTATATATAATTATATATAATACACACATTATATATAATTATATACAATACACACATTATATATATAATTATATATAATACACACATTATATATAATTCTATATAATACACACATTATATATAATTCTATACAATATACATTATATATAATTATATATAATACACACATTATATATAATTATATATAATACACACATTATATATAATTATATATAATACACACATTATATATAATTATATATAATACACACATTATATATAATTATATATAATACACACATTATATATAATTATATATAATACACACATATATAATACATATCTATAATGTATACATATATACACACATACCATGGAATACTCCTCAGCCATAACAAAGAATAAAATAATGTCTTTTGCAGCAACTTGGATGGAGCTAGAGGCCATTCTTCTAAGTGAAGTAACTCAAGAATGGACAACTAAATACCATATGTTCTCAATTATAAGTGGGGGGCTAAGCTATGCGTATGCAAAGGCATATAGAGTGATATAATGGACTTTGGAGATTCAGAGGATGGGAGGGTGGGAGAGGAGTGGAGGATAATAAAACTACATATTGGGTACAATGTACTCTAGTCAAGTGGTGGGTACACGAAAATTTTAGTCTAAAATTTAACCAAAAACCACTTGTATCCCTACAACTATTGAAAAAAAGTTTTAAAAAATTAATTATGGTGAAGGTGGCCATGAACACATTTAATCTACAAACTGAATTTAGACCTAAGCTTTTTCCAGACCTGTTCTCTGCAATCAGATCCTACTCTATCAAATCCTCAAACAGGTTAAGGTTAGATGTCTTAATGGAAAAATGGTACAAACTCTGAGCACATAGAGAATGTTTAGAGTTTTCACATATTTCTGACTCACTGCTAGGAATTTTCTAATTATGTTAAAAGCAGAAGAGTTTGAAAGTCCAGGTATCTGCACAGAGACCCTGTTTTTGTTTCTTTCTTTGGGGTTTCTTAAACTGGGATAAGCATACATTTGCAGAGCTATAAACACAAAATCATGACTCTGAACTTCGGGGATAATTTGCAAGCTCTTCAAGGGTGTTTTTGATCAGTCATAACTTCTACTTTACACACTGACTCTGACACCTGTCTTTTCTCTTCCAACCAAATGAAGGGTCTGCACTAAGAATCATTGAGCTAAACAGTCCAGGACTTGAAACTTTGCTGGCAAGTAGAGGAACTGTTGATACTATGTTAGGTGACCCAGCAAGTTCAGGAGGAGAGGACTGAGATACAACCAAAGAGTTTACACAGAAACTGAAAAAGAACCTCTAGTTTGTGTTTGTCACAGTGTACTGGTTAGCAATAGCCACAATAATGCCATGTAACAAATTACCCCTAAGCTTAGTGGCTTCAAATAACAACCGTTTGTTATCATGCACTTGGGTCAGTGACTTAGCTGCTGAGCAGCTCTGCTTCTACCTGTGGGTCAGCTGGGCTTGGCTCTAGCCTTTTGGTTGGGCTCAGAACATTCTATTGCTCAAGCTGAAAGGGCAGAAGCTACCTTCAGCATGCCCTTTTCATGAAAGAGGGCAAGCCCAACCCTGAAAGCACAATTCAACTGTATGCTCATATCATGTTCACTAACAGCCCACTGTTAAAACAGGTTGTATGTCCAAACACACAGTCAAGGGCTGGAAAATACATCACAACTACCAGAAGGCCACAGAAGAGGTGTGGACATATAACTCCACTGCAGAGAGCTAAAGAAATTGGGATCAATAGTTTATGCTATCCCAGTGAGGACATCCAGATACACCATGGGAGAGTTTTAGAGGACAAAAGGACAAAACTCTGTTTAGCCAGTTAAGTTCTTTTCCAGGCAGCTAAATAAGCATCCTTTCCCAAGGCAGTGACTTGATGTTTTTCTATTAAGTTTTACTTTTGTTGCCAGATCTGGGCTCTGGTGGCCATAGTTGATTTCTCTAGAGCCAACACACGACACATAGGCAAATGCAGAATAAAGGTTAACCATCAGAATGTGAAAAACTTAACACTTCTTCATTTCTGTGACTGAATTCCTAGCTCCAAAAAGAACACTGATAACTTGAGATAAGTTGCTTCACCTCTCTATGCCTCAGTTTCCATATTGATAAATCTGGTTTAATAATGGTATTTACTGAAAAACATATTTGAGGGAATAATCAAGGAAAATGTCCTCGGCCTTGCCAGAAATCTAGACATCCAAATAAAAGAAGCTCAAAGAACACCTCAGAAATTTATCACAAAAAGGTCATTGCCTAGGCACATAGTCGTCAAGTTATCTAAAGTCAAAACAAAGGAAAGAATCTTAAGAGCTATGAGGCAAAAGCACCAGGTAACCTATAAAGGAAAACCTATCAGATTAACAGCAGATTTCTCAGCAGAAACCCTACAAGCTAGAAAGCATTGGGGTCCTATCTTCAGCCTCCTTAAACAAAACAATTATCAGCCAAGAATTTTGTATCCAGTGAAACTAAGCTTCATAAATCAACGAAAGATAGTCTTTTTCAGATAAACAAATGCTGAGAGAATTCGCCAGTACCATGCCAGCACTACAAGAACTGCTAAAAGGAGCTCTAAATCTTGAAAAAATCCTTGAAACACACGAAAATAGAACCTGTTTAAAGCGTAAATCTCACAGGACCTATAAAACAAAAACGCAATAAAAAAATCCTCAAGGTTTTCAGGCAACAAATAGCATGATGAATAGAATAGTACCTCACATCTCAATACTAACATTGAATGTAAATAAACGAAATGTTCCACTTAAAAGACACAGAATGGCAGAATGGATAAAAGTTCACCAACTAAGTATCTGCTGTCTTCAAAAGAATCACCTAACACATAAGGACTCACATAAACTTAAAGAGTGGAAAAAGATATTCCATGCGAATGGACACCAAAAAGCAGGCAGAAGTAGCTATTCTTATATAAGACAAAACAAACTTTAAAGCAACATCAGTTAAAAAAGACAAAGATGGACATTATATAATGATAAAAAGACTAGTCCAAGAGGAAAAATATCACAATCCTAAATATATATACACCTAACATCGGAGCTTCCAGATTTATAAAACAGTTACTATTAGACTTAAGAAATGGGATAGATGTCAACACAATATTAGTGTGAAACTTCAGTATTCCACTGACAACACTAGACAGGTCATAAAGACAAAAACTCAACAGAGAAACAATGGATTTAAACTGTACCCTAGAACAAATGGACTTAACAGATATTTACAGAACATTCTACCCAACAAATGAAGAATATACACTCTATTCATCAGCACATGGAACTTTCTCCAAGATAGGCCATATGATAGGCCACAAAACAAGTCTCAATACATTTAAGAAAACTGAAATTATATCAAGTACTCTCTCAGACAACAGTGGAATAAAATTTGGAATCAACTCCAGAAGGAACCCTCAAAACCATGCAAATACATGGAAATTAAATAACATGCTCCTGAATGATTACTGGGAATTTAAAAATTCTTTCAACAGAACAATAACAGTGACAAAACCTATCAAAACCTCTGCGATACAGGAAAGGTGGTGTTAAAAGGAAAGTTCATAGCCTTAAATGCCTATATCAAAAAGTCTGAAAGAGCACAAACAGACAATCTAAGGTCAAACCTCAAGGAACTAGAGAAACAAAAACAAACCACACCCAAACCCAGCAGAAGAAAGAAATAACAAATATCAGAGCAGAATTAAATGAAATTAAAACAAAAAAAGTACAAAGAGTAAATGAAACAAAAATCTTTTTCTTTGAAAAGGTAAATAAAACTGATCGACCATTAGCAAGATTAACCAAAAAAAGAAGAGAGAAGATCCAAATAAGCTCAATTAGAAACAAAACAGGCAATATTACAACTGATACCACAGAAATACAAAAGATCATTCAAGTCTAGTATGAACACCTTTGCATGTACAAACTAGAAAACCTAGAGGAGATGGATAAATTCCTGGAAATATACACCCATCTTAGATTAAACCAGGAAGAAATAGAAACTTTGAACAGACAAATAAGGTGCAGCAAGATTGAAATGGTAATAAAAAAAATTGCCAACCCCCCCCCACCAAAAAAAATCCAGGATCAGATGGATTCACAGCTGAATTCTATCAGACATACAAAGAAGAATTGGTAGCAATACTATTGACACTATTCCCCAAGATAGAAAAGAGAAAATCCTCCCAAAATTATTCTATGAAGTCAGTATCACCCTAATCCCCAAACCAGGAAAGAACATAATAAAAAAAGAAAACTACAGACCAATATCCCTGATGAATATAGATGCAAATATCCTCAACAAAATACTAGCAAATTGAATTCAACAGCATATCAAAAAGATAACCCACCACGATCAAGTGGATTTTATACCAGGGATGCACCGATGGCTTAACATACACAAGTCAATAAATGTGATAGACCACATAAACAGAATTAAAAATAAAAATCACATAATCATCTCAATAGATGCAGAAAAAGCATTTGACAAAATCTAGTCCTTTTAAAACCCTCAGCAAAATCAGCATAAAAGGGACATAACTTAATGTAATAAAAGCCATCTATGACAAACTCACAGCCAATATAATACTGAATGGGGAAAAGTTGAAAGCATTCCCCCTAAGAACTGGGACAAGACAAGAATGTCCATTCTTACCACTTCTATAGAACATAGTACTGGAAATCCTAGCCAGAGCAATCAGACAAGAGAAAAAAATAAAGGGCATCCAAACTGGTATAGAAGAAGTCAAACTGTTGCTGTTTGCTGATGATATGACTGTATTCCTAGAAAACTCTAAAGGCTCCTCCAAAAAGCTCCTAGAACTGATGAATGAATTCAGCAAAATTTCAGAATACAAAATTAATCTACACAAATCAGTAGCTCTGCTGTACACCAATAGCGGCCAAGCTGAGAATCAAATTAAGAAATCAACCCCTTTTACAATAGCTGCAAAATAAAAAAAGCAAAAAACAAACAAACAAACAAAAAACTGAGAAATATACCTAACCAAGAAGGTGAAAGACCTCTACAAGGAAAACTACAAAACACTGCTGAAAGAAATCATAGATGACACAAATGGAAGCGTATTCCATGCTTATGGATGGCTAGGATCAATATTGTGAAAATGACCATATTGACAAAAGCAATCTACAAATTCAGTGCAATTCCCATCAAAGTGCCAACATCATTCTTCACAGAACTAGAAAATACAATCTTAAAATTCATATGGAACCAGAAAAGAGCCCACATAGCCAAAGCAAGACTAAGCGAAAAGAACAAATTCTGGAGGCATCACATTACTTGACTTCAAACTGTACTATAAACTCATGGTCACCATAACAGCATGGCACTGGCATAAAAATAGGCACATAGACCAATGGAACAGAATAAAGAACACAGAAATAAAGTCAACTGATCTTTGACAAAGCAAACAAAAACATAAAGTAAGGAAAGAATATCCTATTCAACAAATGGTGCTGGGATAATTGGCAAGCCACATGTAGGAAAATGAAACTGGATCCTCATCTGTAACCTTATACAAAAAACACCTCAAGATGGATTAAGGACTTAAATCTAATGCCTGAAAGCATAAAAATTCTAGAAGATAAAATCAGAAAAATCCTTCTAGACATAGACCTAGACAAAGACTTCATGACCAAGAACCCAAAAGGAAATGCAAAGAAAACAAAGATAAACAGATGGCACTTAATTAAAGAAAAAAGCTTCTGCACAGCAACAGAAATAATCAGCTGCGTAAACAGACAACCTACTTAGTAGGAGAAAATCTTTGCAATCTATATATCTGACAAAGGACTAATATACAGAATCTACAAGGAACTCAAACAAATCAGCAAGAAAAAAAACAAACAATCCCAAAAAAAAGTGGTCTAAGGCCATGAATAGACAATTCTCAAAAGAAGATATACAAATAGCCAAGAAACATATGAAAAAAATGCTCAACATCATTAATGATCAGCGAAATGCAAATCAAAGCCACAATGTGATACCACCTTACTCCTGAAAGAATGGCCATAATAAAAAAATCAAAAAATAATAGATGTTGGTGTGGATACTGTGAAAAGGGAACACTTTTACACTGCGGGTAGGAATGTAAACTAGTACAACCACTATGGAAAGCAGTGTGGGGATTCCTTAAAGAACTAAAAATAGAACTGCCATCTATTTGATCCAGCAGTCTCACTACAGGGTATCTAGCCAGAGGAAAGTAAGTCATTATACGAAAAAGGTACTTGCACATGCATGTTTATAGCAGCACAATTCACAACTGCAAAAATATGGAACTAGCCCAAATGCCCATTAATCAACAAATGGATAAAGAAAATATATACTTTTATATGTATGTACATATATACATACATATATACATATATATATAAATATATATATACACACACACACACGCACCATGGAATATTACTCAGCCACAAAAAGAAATGAAATAATGGCATTCACAGCAACCTGGATGGAATTGGAGACCATTATACTAAGTGAAGTAACTCTGGAATGGAAAACCAAACATCATGTGTTCTCACTCATAAGTGTGAGCTAAGCTATGAGGACGTAAAGGCATAAGAATGATACAATGGACTCTGGGGACTCAGGGGACTAAGGGTGGGGCAGGTGAGGGATAAAAGACTACAGATTGGGTACAGCATATACTGCTTGGGTGATGGCTGCACCAAAATCTCACAAATCACCACTAAAGAACTTATTCATGTGGCCAGGCATGGTGGCTCACACCTGTAATCCCAGCACTTTGGGAGGTCAAGGCAGGCAGATCACTTGGGGTCAGGAGTTCAAGACCAGCCTAGCAACATGGTGAAACCCTGTCCCTACTAAAAATACAAAAAATTAGCCAGGCATGGTGGTGCACTCCTGTAGTTCCTGCTACTTGGGAGGCTGAGGCATGAGAGTTGCTTGAACCCAGGAGGCAGAGGTTGCAGTGAGCTGAGATTGTGCCACTGCACTCCAGCCTGGGTGACAGAGCAAGACTGTCTTAAAAAAAAAAAAAAAAAAAAAGCACTTATTCATGTAACCAAACACCACCTGTTTCCCAAAAAGCTATTGTAATAAAAAAATTAATTTTAAAAATTTAAAAAAACTAAAAACATAAAAATATAAAGACATTTTCGTACAACTATGCATTTTTTGTGTATTAAGCTAAATGTTATTACAAAAGAGTCAAAAACTTAAAAAAATAAAAAATCAATAAAGGAAAAAAGTTACAAGAAGTTAAGTTTAATTTATTATTGAACAAATGAAACATTTTTAAAATTAAAAAATAATGGTATTTACTTCACAGAATCGTTGAGAAAAAATAAGAGAATTCAGGTGAATCACTGGCTGTAATTTCTCAGCAAATGCTTTTTTTTTGCTACAAATATTAGAACAACTCTTAGAAAGTTTAACCAATAGATGGAGAAAGGAGGATGCCCCTGAACATGCCATATCAGTCTCCTCAAGACGACTGAAGAAGGAGTATGTGAATGGTACTTTCAAGTGACATTTTCCAAGAATAGATCAAAATGGATATCAAAATACAGGGTCTCCGTTCAGCCTGGCTGCTAGATATCAGCAGCTTCCCATTTCCGCATTGCATTGCTATTTTACATGCTGGCCTCATGGTCACTTCAGGGAAAATTTGCCGAACATGCTGTCAGGAATTTCACTGGAAGAACAGAGTGGCATCTGGAAGCACGTTCATAGGACTTTATTAAACTTCATACTTTATTTTGTCAGGCTCTGAGCTGCCATTAGAGCTCTAGAAGGTGTTCATTAGTTTATATTTGCAAGAAGTCTCATTTTGGGAGAACTTTGTGTAAGTCACAAACCTCTCTGGACACAATTACTTAGGACATAGACAGTTCTCAGGAAATATCAAGAGTGTCTTTGCAAAACTTTGCAAAATTTTGACCAAATACTAGGCTGGGGATTTTGTGCAGTAACAATATCACAGTCTATGTGGTACTATTCCAGGAGCAATTATTGCTGTTTGAAATAAATATCAGGTGTCTGGTGACACTCCTTACTTTAGTGGTTCTCAAAAGGGATGTCTCAATTTTACTGGTGTGCCATGTATCCTTCGAATGTATTGATTGATGTGTACAATTTTTTTTGTTACAACTGAGGGTACATATTATTATGATGATTTCTGTCAGGCATCAGGTTGTGCTGAGTGAGGCTCATGAAACCCTGCAGAACAGAGAAAACGTGCTGACAGGGAGAAGAGGCTAATCATGATATCAAGTTATCATCAAGGAAAAAAGCGTATGTTTTGTGGAATATTTAAGAACTTTGCCTTATGAGTATTAGAGAGCTTAGTCAGGGAAGTAAACTCTTCTAAAAAGGTCTGCATTTGGTTGAAGGACAATCAACAGTGTTTAAAACTATGATTATTTTGGTAGACACTGTGAAGCGTTATCCTCTTGTAATAGAATTGTACTGTAATTATTAGGCTTCTTTATTGGTTTCAATCACTTCATTGCTTTAATGTATGGTCATCATTTCTGGTATTTTAGATATTGAGAACAACTAATTTAGCATCATAAAACCTTATCCTTCACATGCTGTGGGGAGAGAAGGTCAGTATTTACCAAATGAATGAGAATCTAGGATTTATGTGCTCATTTCAGGTTCTCAGGAGGGTTTAGGGATTCAAGGAAGCACAAAAATATCTGAGAAATAGCAAACTGGGAACATCCTCATATTAAAAAGTTGCGGGGTCAGGGCACAGTGGCTCACACCCCTAACCCCAGCACTTGGGGAGGCCCATGTGGGCGGATCACCTGAGGTCAGGAGTTCAAGACCAGCCTGGCCAATATGGTGAAACCTCGTCTCTACTAAAAATACAAAAATTAGCCGGGCATGGATGCCTGTACTCCCAGCTACTTGGGAGGCAGAGGTAGGAGGATCCCTTGAACCTGGGAGGTGGAGGTTGCAGTGAGCCGAGATTGAGCCATTGCACTCCAGCCTGGGCAACAGAGTAAGACTCTGTCTCAAAATAAATAAATAAATAGAATAAAATGTTTTGGGGGCATTACAGGAGTTAATAAAAAAATTAGACGGATAGAGCGGGTAAAATAGTCCTCTCTAAAGCTTTTTCTTTTAATAAAAAGCACCCATGAAAACATTTCTTTTCTAACAGAAAGCGGCTTGAAAAACCAGATCCGCAAGCATTGACATGCCCGCTCCACCCAATGTGGAGGTTAAAAGCCCGGCCCACCCAATGTGGAGGTTCCTACCACTTTCTCTTTGTTGCCACTAGTGGAAGACATCATGGCCACCAGCCAGGTAGAGGCCAACTGTGCAGGACAACATGGCGGCCAGCCAGGCATGTTAAAAGGCTAGGGTGGGAGGGCCAGTTTGCTCTCAGGCTACATGAATGACATGCCTGGTCAAACCAATCCTCTGGGCCCTATGCAAATCAGACACCATGTCTTCTAGCCTCCCAATAGAACCTACTGATTTCTGCTGCATGTGGGGTTTTCCATTCGGAGCCCTCTTCCCTCTGTATGGGGGAGCTGTTTTCTTCTTTCTTTCCTATTAAACTTTCCGCTCCTTAAACCACTCCACTTGTGTCCGTGTTGCTAATTTTCTTGGGGTGAGACCAAGGACCCTGGGTGTTTCTCCAGACAATGGAGCCATATTGGGGGAGTGATGATAACAAATCAAATGCTCCAAAATAATGAAGAATAATATGCAGCTAACGAAAGAAGACAAAAAAACTGCTGCGTGCTGTACTTTGAAGGGGCAGAATACCAGTGGTTAAATACACATCTGTTGAATAGACAAACATGTAAAAAAAAAATGAGTGAATGAATAAATAACCTTACCATATATTGTGGATTTACTATGTGTCTCACGTGTATATGACCTGATTTAAGGAGGCAGGTATTTTCATGCCCATTTGGCCACTGTAAGTTATAAAGCTAGAAATTAAATAACTTGCACAGGGTGAGCTACTAAATGGTAGAGCTGGGATTTAGACTGAGAACTATCTAATCCCCATAACTCAATTCTCTAAAGTGATTATATTTTAGACAAAATGTTATAGATCTATTCACTACAGATTAGCCAAAATATAACCTTTAAGAAAGTTAAACCAGGTCATATCCTTCTTCTACTAAAGCCTTGTGATAATTTCCCGTCACTCAGAAAATAAAACCCCAACTCCTGACCTGGACCGACCAAGCATGTCCCACAGAATCTTGCCCTGTCTACTCCTTAGTTCTCATCTTTTTATGCTGGACTCTCTGTTTTTCTAACCAACCACGTTTATTCCTGCTTCAGAGGCTTACATTTGCTGTTCCATCTGTCTGGAATATTCTTCCCCCAAGTCTTTTCAGATCTCTGTACAAGTGCCACCTCTTGAAAAGATATTCAATGGTTACCTTGTCTAATTGTATGCCCTACAATTTCCTTACTTCCTTCATTGCTGTATTCACTCTCTGAAATTAGGTGTTTTTGTTTACTTGTTTCTTGTGTCTGAGCTCCAGTAGCAGGTGAGTTCTAAAGATCCCCTCAGGATTATCACAGTAGCCCAGTCCCTAAAACAATACCTGACACACAGTAGACACTCAACTGATACTTACTAAATGAATGAACAAATTCATCCTTTGAAGCAAAGACTGAGTGCTACTTGTCATCATGAAAACATTTCATTTGTCTGTAAGACAGATGATACCTTGAAGTGTAGGGAGATAAAAAATAATGTCTAGGTAAGATATTGTCACTTTAGGAAAGCACAAGATTGATCATGGAACATAACCCCCCAGCCTGTACGAACAAAGCAGCAGAAAGATGAAGGTGAAACAGAATCGAACGGGTTGAGAATTTGTGGTCATATTCTCACTGGTCAGGTTAAACTTCGTGACCTCAAAATGGTGCAGGTAAATATGAATTTTGGCCAAAGTTAGCCGATGACAAATTTGGCCACAGGGTCACAAGGCAGCCACAATTTTAATGTAAACAACCTTCCACAGTGAGAGCAGTATCGTATTTGTGCATGTGATTCCAAAGTAATATTTTAAAGGGCTGCAGCAATTTTGGCCAGGCACAGAACTGTACAAGTCTGTAGCTAAGTTTAAACCACTGTCGAATTCAGAATATGTTGTGTGAGTGTCAATTTGTGAACTCTTAGCTCTAGCAAGTTTTAGAAGATGACAAATCGATTCCCATTCAGCTACCCGTCCCAAGGTTAAGGTACCTCTGAGGAACGATCTCCAAGACTAAGATGTAGTTTGGAATTTAACAGTTATTGTTTCAGGTTAGAAGTATAATCTAATGAAGTGTGCAGTAATATCCTGTGGTGAGCAGCTGAACGTTAAGCTGCTTGGGATGAGGCAGTGGATCTCATCCGACCTTGTCATCTATATTGAATTTAACACTCCCAGTGAACGCATTTTGAGCAGCCCACCTCAAATGGATGCGATCTATTTCGATTTTCATTCTTCCTCCTAATAGTTTAATACAGCTGAGTAACTCCAGGGGCCTTGGTACAAATCAGAAGTGTTGCTCCCTGCTGTCATTTAAGGGCTGGTGCATGAGGTAACTAGAAATTGACCTTCATAAAACACCTCTCTGTTTCTACTACTGATCCTAATTCCAGGAGGTGATTGAGAAACCCAATGGCCAATTCTCCCCTGAGGATCTCCCCACTCTAACCCATGGAGGAGGGCCTTGACAGATGTGGGAATTGTGAGAGATGAGAACTGGCAACATCTGTTTCCTTTCATAATTAGAGCTTAACTGCTCTGAGAAGTGGTTTAATGCTGTGGGGTAACATTACACAGTAGTTTCTGGTTTCCATATTTTATAGACCATAGCGAGTATGACATAATTCAACACTGATCAATTCCATTTTCCTGGATGAGCTGGTTACTGCCAAACGGTAAGAAATGGCATTTCTAGGATATTTGCATGAATTTTACTTTGACAGTCCATTGCATTCCCCATCTAAGGTGTGAGAAGACTGGCAGCAGTTTCTTATACCCCACCCAAGTAAATACTACACAATTATTTAACATTATTACAGAGGCAACTGGATAATCCAGGTCTTGGGAAGGGGGCTCAACTTCAAGCTTTGTTGAGAGTGAATGCATTAATATAGAAAATAGAATGGGTAACTTTGGGCAAAATATCCCATTTGGATTTTAAGGTATACATAGTCTCTTTGTAGAAATCAGACTAAACTAGGTTAACTAAAAACCTCTATTTCTTCCTAATACAGTTCGCATAGCTTTGGTCTCTCAGGAAAACAACTCAAAAAACCAGCAAAAATGGGGCAAATGTCACCTTAAACATTTATGGAGAGCCTGAAATGTTCTGGGCTCTGGGCTAGATTTTACAGCCAAGTGTCATAACATAAGGCATTTTAGAGATGAAAAGTCTGAGGCTCAGAGAGGCTAAGTGACTTTGGCGAAGTCCCACAGCTTGTCAGTAGCAGAATAAGGACTTGAAGCCAAGTTCTGCCACTGAATTTCCAGCTGTTTCCCAGCATCTATCTGCAATCAGGCTTTGGGATTCCATCCTCTCTAAATGGATAAGCTGCCCAAGGTAGGGGGTCCAAGACCTCCTTCTGAGATAATGCCATTTGGTGCATCAAGCACTGGAATGCTTTAAGGATCATCTCTGTACTCTCTAAATTCCAAGAGGTTGGGACTTACACCTGTATTAAGTACCTACTACTTCACTATTTTATTCCTAGTGCCTGGGAGGAAGTAGGTGCTTAATAAATGAGTGCATGAATGCATAAACTGATGAATGAATGGTCCATGCAGTTAGAGTCTAAAATACTTCCCTAAATAGAAAGAAAATGATCTGGATAAGGCATACAAAAGTCAACAGCAAGAAGCCATCAAGAAAATCCCCAATTCAGGAACTTTGCACTGGCTTTTGTCACTGCTTGGATGATACTTTCTACAGATTCTTGCATGTTTGGCTCCGTCTCTACCTTTATCATCTCCAAGGCCATCTCCTCAGAGATGCTTACCTCACCATCTCCCCTTTGTGTAGAGTTTATCTTAAATCTAGTTACTTTCTGTTCCCTGACTCTAATTGATTATAGTGCTCATTATTGAGGCTATCTTGTTTATTCATTTGTTTCTTTCTTTCTTTCTTTGTTTCCTACCTTTAGAAGGCCAGCTGGCTTGTTTCACCACTGCATCCCTACTGCCTAGACACATAGTAGGCACTTAATAATTATTTCTTGAATGAATGAATGAAGCCAAGGAAAGTGAGATCAAGTCAGGACTTCAGAGGTCAAGGTCCAAGGGGAAAGGTCGTCTAAGAAGCCAGAGATTAATACAGCAGCACATAGCTGATCCCCTGAAGCCTTATAAGTCTGTCTGTCTTGGGGTTTGGGGTCTACATTCTACCCAAACGCTCTCTTGGAGTTCAGCTGCTTTCCAGCAACCCCTCCCACAAAGATTGCTTGGACTGAATTGTTCTCAACACTTGGCCCTTCAAATTAGTCTTCAGTAACTGAATGCAGGGGTATGATAGAACAGATTCTACTTTTCTCCTGACTTCAGTTCCAAGGGGATACAGCAGTCCCCAACCTTTTTGGGAATAGGGACTGGCTTTGTGCAAGACAATTTTTTCCATGGAAGGTGAAGGGAGGGGATGTGATGGTGGTTTCAGGATGAAACTGTTCCACCTCAGGTCATCAGGCATTAGTTAGATTCTCATAAGGAGTGCACAGCCTAGATCCCTCACATGCACAGTTCACAGTAAGGTTTGTGAACCACTACTGTCCATGGCCCGGGAGTTGGGGAATCCCTGGGATAAGGTATCCATTTGGTCCCTGGTTGGTGTTCTCATGTCTCAAACAAAACAAAAGAAAACCTCCAAAAATTTACAATGTTATCTCTCAGTTGAAAAAAAAAGTATATATATTATATAATTGTATGGTGGCATTTTGCATTTTCCTTTAGCCCTAACTCCCTAAAAGCAGAGGTCTTTATAACTAGTCAGCTGTGAGGCCTGGCTGCTGTAAAGTAGGGGGTTAAATGACTAAAAAGCCCCAATATCGAACAGACAAAGGGTAGTTTGGAAACTTTTCCCAGGCGTGATTCACTACAAATGATCCAGCATCAGCGGCTGACTCCTCATGGAACAAAGCCCACTCTTGTCACTTCCCTGACCCTTGTTTCCTACCCAGACAGATGGCTTCATCTTCCACTTCTGCCATTGCACTGCCTTCCTCACCAATGGGATTCAATCAATGAGCCTAACCAGAGTAAATGTGATGTAGGCCGGCTTGGCTGTCTCATCTCAGTGCAGTAAATGCCACCGTCGATCATTGTTTGGGCTTTTCCCGGAAAGGCCACAGGTTCCGGGAGAGTCTGTCATTTTCTGAAAGGCACATTCTGTTCTTCAAGGTAAGAAGAGACATTTGTTTAAACTCAAAGTGCCTGGGAAATATATATTTTTTTTTCTGGGGCCTGACAGGATAGGAACAACTGAGAATGTGTCAGCAGCGCATCATTCATACGAAGTGAATTAATACTAATAATTACCGTGGATAGAGTTATCATGGCTGACATTTATCAAGTGCTTTTTAAGTGCCAGTCTGCACTTTACATTACGTCGCTGAATCCTCACACCAATTCTCTGTGGTAGGCGTTGTTATTCTCTCCATTTTCCAGAGGCTTAGAGATATTACAGAATTTGTCTAAGGCCACACAGGAAAAAAAGTGGTAGAAGTGAGACTTGAACCCAGATATTCTACAGCAGTCGTTCTCAACTGGGGATACTTTTGCTTCCCAGGGGACACTTGTGGTATCTGGAGACAATTTTTAAATTATCTTTTTATTGTAGAACAGTTTTAGATTTACAGAGAAGTTGTGAAGATATTACAGACAGTTCCCATATATCTCACACTATGTTTGCCCTATTATTAACATCTCCCATAGGAAGAATTAGTATGGTACGTTTGTAACAATGAACCAATACTCATACACTATTCTTAAATACATTTTCTTCTTTATTCAAATTTCTTTAGCTTTTACCTGATGTCTGTTTTCTAGGATCCCATGCAGGACATACACAATGTTCATCTGTCTCCATAGGTTCCTCTTAGCCATGACAGTTTCTCAGAATTTCCTTGTTTGTTTTTGTTTTTTGTTTTTGAGACAGAGTCTAGCTCTGTTGCCCAGGCTGGGGTGCAGTGACAGGATCTTGGCTCACTGCAACCTCTGCCTCCTGGGTTCAAGTGATTCTCATGTCTCAGCCTCCCAAGTAGCTGGGATTATAGGCATGTGCCAAAGTGCCTGGCTAATTTTTGTATTTTGTAGAGACGGGATTTCACCATGTTGGTCAGGCTGGTCTCGAACTCCTGACCTCAAGGGATTCGCCTGCCTTGGCTTCCCAAAGTGCTGGGATTACAGGTGTGAGCCACCACACCCGGCCTTTCCTTTTCTTTTTCTTTTTTTTGATGACCTTGGCAGTTTTGAGGAGTACTAGTCAAATATTTTGGAGAACGTCCCTTGATTTGGATTTGTCTGATGCTTTTCTCATGATTAGACTATGGCTATGGTCTTGGAAAAAAGACCACAGAGATAAAGTGCCATTCTCATCCCATCATTTCATGGGTACATATTGTCGAATATGACCTATCACTGTTGATGTTGACCTTGATCATGTGGCTGAGATCGTGTTTGTCAAGTTTCTCCGTGGCAAAGTTCCTTTTTTGATTTCTTTCCATACTGTACTCTTTGGATAGAAGTCACTATGCACAGCCCACCCTTAAAGAGTAGAGAATTCCACACCATCTCCTTGAAGGCTGAATATCTACATACATTATTTGGAATTTGTCTGCACAGGAGATTTGTCTATTGTCCCTATTTAATTAATTACTCATTTATTTATATCCTCTTGAATATTTATTTTATACTTTGGATTATAATCCAATCCTACCTTACTAATTTTATTGCTCAAATTATTTCAGGTTTGGCCACTGGGAATGCTTTCAGTTGGCTCCTGTATGCCTTTGACATAGGCCTACCAGTGTGTGTGTGTGTGTGTGTGTGTGTGTGTGTGTGTGTGTGTGTATGTGTGTGTGTGTGCGTGTTTTGATAACTTCCTTTCTTTCCAACACCACAAGAAGCACTAGGGCCGGGCGCGGTGGCTCACGCCTGTAATCCCAGCACTTTGGGAGGCCGAGGCGGGCGGATCACGAGGTCAGGAGATCGAGACCATCCCGGCTAAAACGGTGAAACCCCGTCTCTACTAAAAATACAAAAAATTAGCTGGGCGTAGTGGCGGGCGCCTGTAGTCCCAGCTACTTGGGAGGCTGAGGCAGGAGAATGGCGTGAACCCGGGAGGCGGAGCTTGCAGTGAGCCGAGATCCCGCCACTGCACTCCAGCCTGGGCGACAGAGCGAGACTCCGTCTCAAAAAAAAAAAAAAAAAAAAAAAAAAGAAGCACTAGGCTCATTTTGCATATTCCTTCCCCAGCCACAGAATCAGCTCTTTCCCTGGAAATATTGTTGATTGTTGTGACTGGGGGAGGGTGCTCCTGGCATCTAGTGGGTAGAGGCCAGGGATGCTGCTAAACATCTTGCAATACACAGAACAGCCCCCACAACGAAGAATTATCCCGTGGAAAATGTCAATAGTGCCAAGGTTGAGAAATCTCACTCTATTATCACGTAGAAGTTGAAATATGCCATGTTGACAATTACTGCCTATTCTTTATCCAAAGTTTCTAAGTGAAAATGTAGCAAAGGTGAGGGCACAACCAATGAATGCCACACAATGTTTCAACCAAAATGAAAACACCAGGCTAACGGATTCAAAGATTCTTTTTTTTATTTGCATGCATTTTCCTTGCTTTTCTGCTTGCCTTGAAGAAGGAAGTATATTTGCCAATAGGAGGGAAGGTTTTTTTGAGTACAGCGCACAAGACAGAAGGAGCAATGACTGAACACATGAATCTAGCATCTGCTAAATTAAAAATAAAAGTCTGTGTCCCTGGGTAGCTCCATTACCAATCCCTATTTTCCTTCTAGCAAATTATCCTTGGTATGAAGGTAAAACTCCTTTCCCAATCCTCTGTAGAAGGATATTTTAGAATTCAGTTTAAATAAATTATATGCCTGGAAAATATAACACAGTAACTGGTAAGAGAAGCAGATCTGTCGTTTGTGTCTTCTCTTGATTAAGCATAGTTAGTTTATCTTACACTGGGACACAATGACTGCTTTGTATGGTTGTCACAAGTTCCTGACACTTGTTCATGTCAAATTTCTGTTTGTAATTGATTTTTCTGTTGTAATAGTTTTGGCTAGTAGAGTTTGCATGCTCTTTCCCCACGTGTGAATTTTTCTCTCTTGTTTTGAGATAGGATGGGTATTTTATCCGTCTTACTTCCACAACTGCTCCCACTAGGGACTATAGAACACACAAATTCTTGCACAAAGGAAATGAAATAACCAGCCTATGAATGAAGACAAAGCCAGGTCATTCAGAGAAAGTCAGTGCTTATGAAGTATGCCAGTTCAATCTCTGGGATAGCCAAGCATGTCCTCAGCAGACCAAAACAGATTCAGAGAATGAATTACCACCTAATGTGGATATTCCTGAACCCTGACCCTCACTTCAACACACATAATTTTTCATTAGAGAGAGGTAGCCATGTACAGGGAAGGGCATCAGACTTAGATAATTTTTAATCCTGGCTCAGTCATTGCCTAGCTGTGTGACCCAGGGCCACTCACTTAATCTCTCTGAGCCCCCTGGATACTCATTCATAAAAGTAGACCAATTTTGGCTACCTCATAGAGTTGAGGATTCAGTGAAATAGTGAATATAAAGCACTTTTTATAGTGCTACATATCGTAGATGTTCCACAAATTAGTCTGATTAGATATATCTCTATATACCGCATGACATTGATATGTTGATTAGCAGAGAATCCTGAAATTACTGGAAAAAAGTGAAGCTCAGACAAATTAGTTCACTGCTATTGATCTTGTTTTCTTTTTTCATATTTGAGTGATAGGGTGGGACAAGATGATCTTTAAACTTTCAGAGTTGTTAAAATTCTAAAATTCTAGGATTCTCTTAAGTAGGCATTGAAATATGAATTTTAGCCCCCCCAATTGGCATACATACATATATACATTATTATTATGGCTATTATTTACCATAACAAAATCTATAGGTTTCACCCAGCCTCATAGAATCCCAAGAGAATGCATAATTTCCTGCCCCAATTCTCTTCTCCTCCCCTCTCCTAGTAATCCACTGGTTGCTCTCACTCAGCCAGTGGGCCCAGGGGTGCAGATCTGGCAAAGGGCAAAGAAGGGCAGACCCGGGGGGTCACAGGTGGGGAAGAGTGACAAGGTGAGAGGTTCAGTTGGTCTCCACGATGAAGACATGGAGAAGAGAGAGGATGGGTGTGCAGAGAATAAAAAGGGGTTGGGTCATGGCAAGAAAGAGCACAAGCAAGGTGCTGGTGTAGAGAAGAGCAATGGAAATACAGTAAATGTTGAAAGTTTTGAGTTGGATCCCTTGAATTATCGTATGAATTTGAGTAAAGAATAGACCACTCCCTTTAAGTTTCAGACAAGTATATGCAACTGCCTGCTCTACATTGCCACTTGGATAGCATTTTAACACAATCCATCCAAGACTGAATTCCTAAACTTTGCCCAAATCAGCTTTACTCAACATCTTTCCTATCTCAGCTGGGGGCAGCTTGATCCTTTAAGTTGCTCAGGACAAAATGTTAGAGTCCACTTTACTGGAATTTTTCTCCCACAGTCGTATCCACATAATCAGAAAACTTAGTCAGTTGATATTGTCAAATAAACAAGTAGAATCTGATCATTTCTCATCACTCTTATTGCTATTACCTTGCTGAAATCACCATTATCTTTTGCCTGCAATATTGAAATAGGTACTTGCTGGTTTTTCTGCCTCTGCCTTAGTACTCATGCCACAGTGATATAGTTAACATGTAAAGCAGATTATGTCATTTCACTGCTCAAAACCCTTCAATAGCTCCCAATCCTGTGCAAAATGTGATGCTTAATTTTATGTGTCAAGATAGACAAATGGGATTACATTAGACTAAAAAGCTGCACAGCAAAGGAAATAGCGACAAGTGAAGAGACAACCTGTGGATTGGGAAGCATATATTTGTAAAATGTACATCTGATAAGGGGTTAACATCCTATATCTATATCTATACATTTATTTTTATTTTAAGTTCCAGGATACATGTGCAGGATGTGCAGATTTGCTACATAGGTAAACATGTGCCATGATGTCCCATGAAGGTTTGCAGCACCTATCAACTCATCACCTAGGTAGTAAACCCAGTATGCATTAAATATTTATCCTGATGCTCTCCCTCCCTCTGTCCCCAACCCTGACAGGCCCCAGTGTGACTTGTTCCCCTCCCTGTGTCCATGTGTTCTCATTGTTCAGCTCCCAATTATAAGTGAGAACATGCGGTGTTTGGTTTTCTCTTCCTGTGCTGGTTTGCTGAGGATATTGGCTTCCAGCTCCATCCGTGTCCCTATAATGGACATGATCTCTTTCCTTTTCATGGCTGCATAGCATTCCATGTTGTATATGTACCACATTTTCTTAATTCAGTCTATCACTGATGGGCATTTGGGTTGATTCCATGTCTTTGCTATCATGAATAGTGCCACAATGAACATACACATGCGTGTATCTTTAGAATGGAATAATTTATATTCCTTTGGATATACATCTAGTAATGCGATTGCTGGGTAATATGGTTTGGCTGTGTCCCACACAAATCTCATCTTGAATTGTAGCATTCACAATTCCCATGTGTTATGGGAGGCAACTGGTGGGAGGTAATTGAATCATGGAGGCAGGTCTTTCCTGTGCTGTTCTCATGGGAGTAAATAAGTCTCATGAGATCTGATGGTTTTATAAGGGGGAGTTCCCCTACACAAGCTCTCTTGACTACTGCCGTCCATGTAAGATGTGGCTTTGCTCCTTCTTGCCTTCCACTATGATTGTGAGGCCTCCTCAGCCATATGGAACTGTGAGTCAATTAAACCTCTTTCCTTTATAAACTACCCAGTGTCAGGTATGTCTTTATTAGAATTGTGAGAACAGACTAATACAGTAAATTGTTACTGGTAGAGTGGGGTGCTGCTGTAAAGATACCCAAAAATGTGGAAGCGACTTTGGAACTGGTTAGCAGGCAAAGGATGGAACAGTTTGGAAGGCTCAGAAGAAGACAGAAAAATGTGGGAAAGTTTGGAACTTCCTAGAGACTAATTGAATGGCTTTGACCAAAATGCTGATAATGATATGGACAATGAAATCCAGGCTGAGGTAGTCTCAGACGGAGATGAGGAACTTGTTGGGAACTGGAGTAATGATGACTGACTCTTGCTATGTTTCAGCAAAGAGACTGGTGGGGTTTTGCCCCTGCCCTAGACACTTGTGAAACTTTGAACTTGAGGGAGATGATTTATGGTACCTGGTAGAAGAAATTTCTAAGCAGCAAAGCATTCAAGAGGTGACTTGGGTGCTGTTAAAAGCATTCAGTTTTAAAAGGAAAACAGAGCATAAACGTTTGGAAAATTTGCAGCCTGATGATGTGATAGAAAAGGAAAAACCCATTTTCTGAGGAGAAATTTAAGCCAGCTGCATAAATTTGCATAAGTAATGAGGAGCCAAATGTTAATCACCAAGACAATGGGGAAAATGTCTCTAGGGCATGTCAAAGATCTTTGCACTAGCCCCTCCCACACAGGCCTAGAGGCCTAGGAGGAAAAAATGGTTTCGTGGGCCAGACCCAAGGCCCCCATGCTGTGTGCAGCCTAGGGACTTGGTGCCCTGCATCCCAGCTGCTCTAGCTATGTCTAAAAGGGGCCAAAGTACAGCTTGGGCTGTTGCTTCAGAGGGTGCAAGCCCCAAGCCTTAGCAGCTTCCACATGGTGTTGAGCCTGCCGGTGCACAGAACTCAAGAATTGAGATTTGGGAACCTCCACCTTGATTTCAGAGGACGTATGGGAATGCCTGGATGGCCAGGCATAAGTTTGCTGCAGGGACAGGGCTCTCATGGAGAAAGTCTGCTAGGGCAGTGTGGAAGGGATATGTTGGGTTGAAGTCCTCACACAGAGTCCCCACTGGAGCACTGTCTAGTGGAGCTGTGAAAAGAGAGCCACCACCCTCCAGACCCCAGAATGGTAGATCCACCAACAGCTTGCACCATGCACCTGGAAAACTACAGACACTCAATGCCAGCTCATGAAAGCAGCTGGGAGGGAGGTTGTACCCTGAAAAGCCACAGGAGCAGAGCTGCCCAAGACCACGGGAACCCACCTCTTACATCATCGTGACCTGGATGTGAGACATGCAGTTAAAGGAGATTATTATGGAACTTTAAGATTTAACTGCCCCACTGGATTTTGGATTTGCACAGGGCCTGTAGCCCCTTTGTTTTGGCGAGTTTCTCCCATTTGGAATGTCTGTATTTATCCAATGCCTGTGCCCCCATTGCATCTAGGAAGTAACTAAATTGATTTTGATTTCACAGGCTCATAGGTGGAAGGGACTTGATTTGTCTCAGATGAGACTTTGGACTATGGACTTTTGAGTAAGTGCTGAAATGAGTTAATAATTTGGGGGATTGTTGGGAAGGCATGATTGGTTTTGAAATGTGAGGACATGAGATTTGGGGGAGCAGGGGCAGAATGTTATGGTTTGGTTGTGTCCTCACACAAATGTCATCTTGAATTGTAGCTCCTACAATTCCCACATGTTGTGGGAGGGACCTTGTGGGAGGTAATTGAATCATGGGCCCGGGTCTTTCTCATGCTGTTCTCATGAGAGTGAATAAGTCTCATGAGAGCTGATGGTTGTATAAGGGGGAGTTCCCCTACACAAACTCCCTTGACTGCCACCATCCATGTAAGAAGTGACTTTGCTCCTCCTTGCTTTCCACCATGATTGTGAGGCCTCCCCAGCCATGTGAAACTGTGAGTCAATTAAACCTCTTTCCTTCATAAATTGCCCAGTCTTAGGTATGTCTTTATCAGCAGTGTGAGAGCAGACTAATATTCTGGATCAAACGGTATTTCTGGTTCCAGGTCTTTGAGGAATTACCACACTGTCTTCCACAATGGTTGAACTAATTCACATTCCCACCAACAGTGTCAAAACATTCCTATTTCTCCACAGCCTTGCCAGCACCTGTTGTTTCTTGACTTTTTAATAATCACCATTCTGACTGGTGTGAGATGGTATCTCATTGTGGTTTTGATTTGCATTTCTCTAATGATCAGTGATGTTAAGCTTTTCTCATGTTTCTTGGCCACATAAATGCCTTCTTTTGATAAGTGGCCATTCATGTCCTTTTACTACTAATAGGTTTTTTTTTTTTCTTGTAAATTTGTTTAAGTTCCTTGTAGATTCTGGATACTAGACTTCTGTCAGACGGATAGATTGCAAAAATTTTCTCCCATTTTGTAGATTATCTGTTTACTCTAATAGTTTCTTTTGTTGTGCAGAAGCTCTTTAGATTAATTAGATCGCATATGTCAATTTTTGCTTTTGTTACAATTGCTTGTGACATTTTCGTCAGGAAACCTTTGCCTGTGCCCATGTCCTGAAAGGCATTGCCTAGATTTTCTTTTAGGGTTTTCATAGTTTTGGGTTTTACATTTAAATCTTTAAACCATCTTGAGTTAATTTTTGTAACAGATGTAAGGAAGAGGTCCACTTTCAATATTCTGCCTATGGCTAGCCAGTTTTCCCAGCACCATTTATTAAATAAGGAATCCTTTCCCCGTTGCTTGCTTCTGTCAGGTTTGTCAAATATCAGATGGTTGTAGATGTGCAGTCTTATTTCTGAGTTCTCTGTTCTGTTTCCTTGGTCTATGTTTCTGCTTTTGTGTCAGTACCATGCTGTTTTGGTTACTGTAGCCTTGTAGTATAGTTTGAAGTTGGGTAGCATGATGCCTTCACCTTTGTTCTTTTTTCTTAGTATTGTCTTGGCTATATGGGCTCCTTTTTTGGTCCCATATGAATTTTAAAGTAGTTTTTTCTAATTCTGTAAAGAATGTGAATGGTAGTTTAATGGGAATAGTGTTGAATCTTTAAATTACTTTGGTCAGTATGGCCATTTTTATAATATTATTTCTTCCTATCCATGATCATGGAATGTTTTTCCATTTGTTTGTGTCCTCTCTGATTTCCTTGAGCAGTGGTTTGTAGTTCTCCTTGAAGAGGCCCTTCACTTCTCTTGTTAGCTGCATTCCTTGGTATTTTATTCTCTTTGTAGCAATTGTGAATGGGAGTTCATTTATGATTTGGCTCTCTGCTTGTCTGCTGTTGGTGTATGGGAGTGCTTGTGATTTTTGCACATTGATTTTGTATCCTGAGACTGTTGAATTTGCTTATCAGCTTAAGAAGCTTTTGGGCTGAGATGATGGGGTTTTCTAAAGGATTATATCATCAGCAGACAGAGACAGTTTGACTTCTCTCTTCCTATTTGAATACCCTTTATTTTTTTATCTTGCCTGATTGCCTTGGAGACTGTAATCCCAGCACTTTGGGAGGCTGAGGTGGGCACATCATGAGGTCAGGAGTTCGAGACCAGCCAGACCAACATGTTGAAATTCCATGTCTACTAAAAATACAAAAAATTAGCCAGGCATGGTGGTGTGCAACTGTAATCCCAGCTACTTGGGAGGCTGAGGAAGGAGAATTGCTTGAACCCAGGAGGCAGGGGTTGCAGTGAGCCTAGATTGCACATTGCACTCCAGCCTGAGTGACAGAGCAAGACTCCATCCTGAAAAAAAAAAAAAAAAAGAATGGGAATGGTGAGAGAGGGCATCCTTGTCTTTTGCCAGTTTTCAAGGGGAATGCTTCTACTTTTTGCCCATTCAGTATGATATTGGTTGTGGGTATGTCATAAATGACTCATTATTTTAAGGTATGTTCCATCAATACTTAGTTTATTGAGAGTTTTTAACATGAAGGGATGTTGAATTTTATCAAAGGCCTTCTCTGCATCTGTTGAGATAATCAAGTGGTTTTTGTCTTTAGCTCTGTTTATATGAATTATCTAGATTTGATTATGTTGAACCAGACTTGCATCCTGGGAATAAAGCTGAGTTGATCATGTGGATATACCTTTTCATGTGCTGCTGGATTTGGTTTGCCAGTATTTTACTGAGAATTTTGCATCAATGTTCATCAGGGATATTGGCCTGAATTATTCTTCTCTCTTTTTTTTTTTTTTTTTTTGTAGCTCTGCCAGGTTTTGGTATCAGGATGATGCTGGTTTCATAAAATGAGTTAGGGATGAGTCCTTCCTTTTGAATTGTTTGGAATAGTTCCAGAAGAAACGTTACCAGCTTCTTTTAATATCTCCGGTAGAATTCAGCTGAAAATCTCCCTGGTCCTGGGCTTTTCTTGGATGGTAGGCTATTTATTACTGCCTCAATTTCAGAACTTGTTTTATTGGTCTATTCAGGGATTCAACTTCTTCCCGATTCAGTCTTGGGAGGGTGTATGTGTCCAGGAATTTATCCATTTCTTCTAGATTTTCTAGTTTACTTGTGTAGAGGTGTTTAGAGTATTCTCTTATGGTTGCTTGCATTTCTGTGGTATCAGTGGTGATATCCCCTTTATCATTTCTTATTGTGTCTATTTGATTCTTCTCTTTTCTTCTTTATTAACCTAGCTAGTGGTCTATATTTTATAAATTTTTTCAAAAAATGGGCTTCTGGATTTATTGATTTTTTGAAGGGTTTTTTGTGTCTCTGTTGTTGTGTCTTTGTTCTCACTGGTTTCAAAGAACTTGATATCTGCCTTAATTTTATTATTGACCCAGGAGAAATTCAGGAGCAGGTTGTTCAATTTCCATGTAGTTGTGTGGTTTTGAGTGAGTTTTTTGATCTTGAGTTCTAATTTGATTGCAATGTTGTCTGTGAGACTGTTTATGATATCAGTGTTTTTTTTGCATTTGTTCAGGAGTGTTTTACATCCAATTATGTGATCTATTTCAGAGTATGTGTTGTGTGTTGCTGAGAAGAACGTATATTCTATTGTTTTTGGGTCAAGAGTTCTGTAGATATCTATCAGGTCCACTTGATCTAGAGCTGAGTTCAAGTCCTGAATATCCTTGCAAATTTTCTGTCTCAATGATCCGCTTAATATTGACAGTGGGGTGTTAGAGTCTCCCACTATTATTGTTGGTTTAAAATCTGTTTTGTCAGAAACTAGGATTACAACCCCTGCTTTTTTCTGCTTTCCCTTTGCTTGGTAAATTTTCTTCCATCCCTTTATTTTGAGCCTATGTGTGTCTTTGCATGTGAGATGGGTTTCTTGAATACAGCACAACAATGAGTCTTGATTCTTTATCCAGCTTGCCATTCTGTGTCTTTTAATTGGGGGCATTTAGCTCATTTACATTTAAGCTTAATATTGTTCTGTATGAATTTGATCCTGTCATCATGATTTTAGCTGATTATTTTGCTGACTTGATGTAGTTGCTTCATAGTGTCATTGGTTTTTGTACTTCAGTGTGTTTTTGTAGTGACTGGTAATGGTTTTTCCTTTTTATACTTAGTATTTCCTTTGGGATCTTTTGCAAGGCAGGCCTGGTGGTGACAAATTCCCTCAGCATTTGGTTATCTGAAAAGAATTTTATTTCTCCTTTGCCAATGAAGCTTAGTTTGGCCAGAAATGAAATTCTGGATTGGAAATTTTTTTCTTTAGGAATGTTGAATATTGGCCCCTAATTTCTTCTGGCTTGTAGGTTTTCTGGTGACCCCTGTGGGGGAGTCTCACCCAGTCAGGATGCATGGGGTCAAGGACCTGCTTAATGAAGCACTCTTGCTGCCCCTTGGTGTCAGAGGAGCACTGTGCTGGGAGTAATCCCACTGGTTCAGAATTCCCAGGTTCCTCAGAGCCATCAGTGGGAAAGACTAAGTCCACTGATCCATGAAGACTGCGGCTGCCCTGCTTCCAGTGACTCCGTCCCAGGGAGAACAGAGTTCTGTCTGTAAACCCCTGGCTGGACTTGCTGAAATTACCACAGGGAGCCCCCACCCAGTGAGGAAGGATGGGTCAAGATCCAGCTTAAAGAGGCAATCTGGCCACAATCTGCTACAGCCACTGTGCTGTGCTGTGGGAAGTTCCTCCTGGGTCCAAACTGCTCAGTCTCTCCAGCACCAGCAGGAGAAAACTGGATACTGGAGCTGCAGTAATGGTGGCTGCCCCTCCCCCCAGGAACTCGGTAGTCTTAGGCAGTCTCCAGTCAAGTGGTCACCGAGAATCTGCACAGCTCTGTGCTTGGGACCCAAGACTGCAGTAGTGTGGGCTCATGAGGGGATCTGATCCATGGGTTGCACAGATCCATGGAAAAAAGCATGGTTTCCTGCGTGGGGTAGCACAATCACTCACCACCTCCCTTGGCTGGGGGTGGGAGTTCTCCTTGTGCCATGTGGCTCCCAGGTGGCCTTCGCTGCACCTTGTTTTACCTTGATCTCCGTGGGTCACGCCAACCGCCTAGTCAGTCCCAGTGAAAGAACCTGGATATTTCAGTTGCTGATGCAGGATTCACTTGCTGTTTTCATTCTTCTTATTGGGAGCCTCTGACTGTGGCTGTTTCTATTCAGCCATCCGGGCCCCTCCCAGGCTTATTTCTATAACAATTTTGCTTCCTAGCCTGTATTCCACTCTTGGGATTCTCTCTCCCCACATGCTACTCTAATACTGCTATAGTTATTGTGACAGTCCAAGGCCCTGGAATAGCAGGTTTCATTCAGATGGCCATCGTCCTTGTAGGCATGACTCCTTCAGGTCTGATGATATCCAAATTATATAAGGAACTCAAACAACTCAATGGTAAGAAAACAAATCAGCCAATTAAAAAATGGGTGAAGGATCTGAATAGACTTTTCTCAAAAGACATACAAATGGCCAAGAGGTATATTTAAAAAATGCTCAATATCACTAATCATCAGATATATGCAAATTAAAACAATGAGATGTCAACTCATACTTGTTAGAATAGCTATTATAAAAAAGATGAAAGATGACAAGTGCTGGCGAGGTTGGGGAGAAAAGGGAAGCTTTGTACACTATTAGTGTGAATGTAAATTCTTGCAGCTATTATGGAAAACCATATGGAGGATCCTCAAAAATTAAAAATAGAGCTATCATACAATCCAGCAATACTACTACTGGGAATATATTCTAAGTATATGAAATCAGTGTGTCAAGTTGATATCTGAATTCCAATGGTCACTGCAGTATTATTCACAATAGCTAAGATAGGTGATATTATTTGCATGTTTGTCCCCTCCAAATCTCATGTTGAAATGTGATTTTCAATGTTGAAGATGAGACTTGATGGGAGGTGACTGGATCATGGGGCAGTTCTTTCATGAATGATTTAGTACCATCGCCTCAGCAATAAGTGGGTTCTTGCTCAGTTAGTTCACATGAGAGCTGGCTGTTTGAAAGTCTAGGACCTCCTCCTTCTCTCTTGCTCTGCCTTTTGCCATGTGATGTGCATGCTCCCACTTCACCTTCTGCCAGGATTGTAAACTTCATGAGGCCCTCATCAAAAGCTGAGCAGATGTTGTTGCTATGCTTGTACAGCCTACAGGACTGTGAGCCTCTTTTCTTGATAAATTACCCAGTCTCAGGTATTTCTTTATAACAATGCAAAAATGATCTAACACAATAGGAAATCGACTGTCCATCAATGGATGAATGGATAAACAACATGTGGCACACACATACAACAGAGTACTTATTCAGCCTTCAAAAAGAAAGAAATCCTGTCATTTGAGACAACATGGATAAACCTGGAGGACATTATGTTAACTGAAATGAGCCAGGCACAAAAAGACAAACACCCATTACCTCAGTTATATGTGGAATCTAAAATGTCAAACTAATTGAAACAGAGTATAATGGTGGTCATCAGAGGCTAGAAGGTGGGAAAATTGGAGAGATGTTGACCGAAGGACACAAAGTTTCCATTAGAAGGAATAAGAAAGATCTATCGTACATCACGGTGACTACAGTTAATAACAATGTATTGCATATGAAAATTGCTAAGAGAGTAGATGTTAAGTGTTCTCACTGCCAATTTACATACTTACAACCACATACCTGTCAACAAAAATAAGTATGTGAGGGAATGCATATATTAAATAGCTTGATTTAGCCATTCAACAATGTATATATATATATCAAAACATTATGCTGTACACCACAAATATAAACAATGTTTACTTGTTGGTGAAAAAATAATTATGTATTACCTTGACTGG
Organism: Homo sapiens; assembly: GCF_000001405.40. NCBI lineage: Eukaryota > Metazoa > Chordata > Mammalia > Primates > Hominidae > Homo > Homo sapiens. The sequence goes on along the minus strand of NC_000003.12, from coordinate 68,601,436 downwards.
CCCATGGGGTACCTAGATATTTGGTCATATATTACACTGGATGTGTCTGTGAGGACATTTTTGGCTAGGTTTAACCTTTAAATCAGTAGACTGAGTAAAGTAGATTGCCCTTGATAATGTGGGTGGGCCTCATCCAATCAGTTTTGAAGGCCTGAATGGGCCAAAAAGGCTAACCCTCCCAGAAAGAAGAGACAATTCCTCCTTTCTGACTATGTTTGAGCTGGGACATTTGTGTTTTCCTGGGTTAAGACTTAAACTGAAACATCAGCTTTTCTTGGCTTTTGGCTTTTGGAGTAGAGCTTTTCTGGTTCTCAGGACATGGACTAGAACTACATGGTGAACTCTTCTGGTTCTCTAGCTTGCTGACTGCAGATTTCTGGACTTGTTGGCCCCAGTCATGTGAGCCAATTTCTCATTTTATGCACACACACACACACACACACACACACCCTTCTGGTTGTGTTTCTCTGGAGAACCCAGACTAATACACAAAGTCATTGGGCATGGTGGCTCTTGCCTGTAATCCCAGCACTTTGGGCATCCAAGGCTGGAGGATTGCTTGAGCCCAGTTCAAAACTAGCCTGGCAACAAAATAAGACCCTATCTTTGCCAAAAAAAAAAAAAAAAAAAAGAATAGCTGCGTGTGGTAGCACGCACCTGTGGACCCAGTCACTCAGGAGGCTGAGGTGGGAGGATTGCTTGAACCTGGGAGGTTGTGGCTGTAGTGAGCTGCGATTGTGCCACTGCATTCCAGTCTGGGTGACAGAGCGAGACCCTGTCTTCAAAACAAAACAAAACTAAGGTGGTTACAATGATGTATAATGCCGTGCATCTTCAGGCCTTATTATTCCCTGTTCATTCCTTTAGTCCAGGGGTCTACAAACTATGGCCCATAGGCATACAGCCTGATTTTGTAAATAAAGTTTGATTGGAGCAGTCTCGCCCATTCATTTACGTATTGTCCTGCTGCTTTCATACCCCACTGGTAGAGCTGAGTTGTTGTGATGGAGACTATATGGCCCTCAAAGCTGAAAATCTTCTACTATCTGGTACTTTACAGAAAACATTTGCTGACCGCTGCTCGAGACTCATACCGGCCTTTGTGCAGTTCTGAGCACCCCCCAGGCCTAGCACCCTCCCACCTTAGGGCTTTTGCACTTCCTGTTCCCTGTCTGACATATTCTGCCCTCAGATGTCTGCATGACTCAGTCCCTTACCTCCTTCAGGTTTTTGATCAAAAGTCACCATCTCAAAGAAGCTCCCCCTCCCAAGTATTCTTTCCTGCTGTTTTCCTCCATATCAGCTATCACTATCTTAGTTATCATACATTTTATTTATTCTGTTTATCATCTGTGCTTCCCCATTCAATGTAAACTCTGCGAGGTCGTGCTTTTGTTTCATTTGTTCATTATTGAATCACTAGTCCCTAGAATAGTGGCTGGCATAGAAAATGTTCAACGGAAATGTTGAATGAATGCAAGGAATTCATCTTAATCTATTTCTAGACTGTTGAACTATGCCTCTTGAATAAGATGCCATAGACTGAACTACATGGATCCAAGATTCACAAGGGTTTCATATGTTTATCTAGGCCATGTAAGCATGTATCAGCATAGAATGGCATTGATTGAAATAGCCTTCTGAACAAAACTATAATAGAAATAAGTTTTATTTCCTCAGAGGACAAAAAAAGGAGGGAACACATGCTTTAGGCATTGGAATTTTATCTTTTAATCTCTTTTTTGACACCTCTCCCATTCTTATAAGCATGTGCCACCCTTTGCTCACTCCCTTGACTCTTTGACTTTCTCTGAAATGACTACATTTGATTTTCCTCGTCTTATTATCTTCTGATCCCCTTCTATTTGTCCATACCATCTCAATTCTAATCCTTTAATTCCTTTTAGCAAATAAGAGTGTGAAGAATGAAAAAAAGAGATAAACCTCAAGCACAGAGGTTGTGGACAAAAATAAGTTCTCATGAGAAATAGACATTTGTCTTTTTTATTAAACAGCTGCTGAGAGTCTGCCGGGCAATGCACAATTGCTTTGCTTCACCAAAGCAGATATTCATGGCTTGCATGTTGTGGATAAATGGAAAGATTGTGGGGATCTGACTGCCATTTCCTGAGACCCTCGTTTATATTCTTATTTAACTATCTGTGCATGATTAAGAACAAACATATTTTTGTACCTCTTTCCACATGCCTATATACAGATATAGGTGTAGACACAGATATGGATGATATAGATGTAAGATGTAGATCAAATACATTTTATATATGAGTTCTTATATACATACAGAAATTGTATATATTCTAAAATATTTATCAGATTGTATGATGAATCAATACCAGTAGAAAATAAATTCCAATTTCCTATGTGCTTTATTTAGTCTTTGTGGATCTGTAGGGTAAGAAACTTGACTCAAACTGGTTTAAACAAAAAGAAAATTTGTTTGTGCATGTAACTAAAATGTCTATGGGATTACTTCAGTCACAGTATGATTCAGAGACTCAACCTGAGTCAAATAAGCCCCTAGTTTCTTCAGAGCTCCAATAGGGAGACTAACCAAATTCAGTGTAGCAAATGCAGTAGCTATCCCACCCACATCCCCTTTTGGACTCTTTTTTAGTGCAGTGGGCCCTGACTTTCAAAACCTAGCATCTGTATGTCTTTGCCTGAAGTCATCCTTCAGTGGCTAAAACATTTACTCTGCTAATGCTCAGGGCAGACCAGAAGTATCAGGGAATTAACACTCCTAGGAGCAGCCCTCTACCAATGACTGACAAGAGTTAGTTTCCACTCTTGTGTCAGGCTAACTCTGAGGCTCCTGTTCTACATGGGCTCCCAGAGTTTCCCAGAAGGATTAAGCTACAATCCCCTCAGTTGTAACTTACTTGATGGTAACACATGCTTTATTGGCTGGCCTTTCTTCTTCCTTCTCTATCACATTTCCTGGGATCACTTCTCAAATAAACCATTTACACTGAAATGTTTGTCTCGGTTCTACTGCTGGGAGATTCTTCCTGGTTGAACATGATGCACACCTTATCATGATTGGACAAGTTGGGACCACGTCCTATCTCTGCACCAGTCACTGTGGCTAGGGGGATTAGTGTGACCATTGGTTAGATTTAGATCACACTCTTTTCCCATAGGGCCCAGAGTCCAGCTCAAGAAAAAGTGTGTGGACCAAAGGATGTCAAGAGAAATAGATCCCAAGTAGCCCAGAAAACAAAACCAACAATGCCAACATTACCCATCTCTGCCACATTGTCATCAGGCAAGTATATCTGCATACCCAAATTTTGGGCACCAGATGTTATGACTAATGAACAGACAGATCTTCTTTAGTGCAGATGAGCTAGACCAGAGGTTGGGAGACTGTGGCCCTATGGGCCAAATCCAGCTGCTGATTGTTCTTTGTAAAAAAGTTTTATTGGAACCTGGCCATGCTCCTTTATGTATTGTATATGGCCATTTTCATGCTCTAACATTGAAGTAAAACAGTTGCAACAAAGACCTTATGGCTCACAAAGCCTAAAATATTTACTATCTGGTCCTCTACAGACAAACTTTGCCAACTCTTGTTTGACACTAACCACTTTTATTTCCAGAAGCTGTTTCCTAGATCCCAAGTCAGCACACGAAGAATTGTTATTCTCAACTCCTCATTCTCGTTTTCTGTTCCTTCATAGCTATCCCCATCTGAGGGGTATCACCTGAGCAAATGGCAATTAATTTAGCAGATGCAACTTGTCATACTTCCCTAAGCAAGAACTATATATTAAATCTCACAACCTTGCAGCTAATCTTTTCAGTAACTCAGTACCCATGGCCCCACTAATGGAATATACTTAATACAAAATGCAACTCCAGTGCTTCTAAACACAGTTGTCACAAGTGTGATTAATTCAGTGAAATTGCCCATATACAGCTGGAGAGAATGAGAAAGGCAAATGTTGATTGGTTTTGAACCTTAAGTGACAATCTAAGTTGTGCAAAAATTAACTTTACTTCTACAAAACTCTTTGATTTTTTGACTCATTGGTCCCCTCTGAGAGAAGAGTTAATTCAGTTTTTTTTGAGGATTTTTTCAGTCCAGTCTAGAGATTTTCATGAGGCTACTTCTGGGTTTAAACTCATTACCATTCAGAAGATCATACAAGCCATCTTGAGATTTTCTTCTTCCCTCTAATTCAGTCCTGATTTTAAATGCCTCAGGACTAAGACAATTTCTGCAATGCCACTGAGGAGCCAAATCCAGATCTTGGTCCTTTGCTAGAGTTTTTAAATATGTAATTTGTCTTGTATGAATCTTGAGTGTGCTACACTTTCTATGCTGGCACTTGACCTTCATGGCTTATGGCCATTGACTTTTAGCTGCTCTGCCCTCTGAGATGTTCAAGATTTTGCCCTAGCTTTGATAATCAGGTCCTTAGGTTATTCTCCACCCTCCAGGTCCTTTATCCAGGCTTATTCAGATTTTTCAGCCCAATTTCAGTCCTTCCAGGTCTTTCCTATAGGGTTGATTGTTGTCCCTCATCTTTAGGAGCACCACAGGAGTTGCAGAATTACTCTTCCCTAACCCCTTACTCCCAGCTCTATATGACTACCAATGACCATAGTTTGAAACAGAATAGACAGAGGTCCAATCCTTTCTATTATCAGGTTCCCAAATTAAAAGCCATTGTGAGGCAGTTTTCCCTCTCCATCATAGGATTTATTCCAGGGAGAGATGATAGAATAAATCACCCTGGTACTGTGTCTTTTCTCTTGTAATCTAAATTCTTTTGTCCATCTGCAGCTCAGAGGATCTTTTGTAGAGTCTTGGGGCAGGAAGAAAACATTTTTTTTACTTGTTTGTCCATTTGGAGGCTAAGGATGTCACACTTAGCTGCGGACTGTCTCTTCTGCAATACGTGTTCATCCATTTGGGTGTCAAAGATGGATGGTGAGCAGCTACACTGGGAGGTAGTAAGTAGTACTTCAATTAACACTTTGAAATATTATTATGTCACATTAAGAAATGGGTTGTTGATGATATCCAGAAAGGCAAATAGTTGTCAAAAATAATAATTATAGTTAGCATTTCTTGGATGCAAAGAATGCATTAGGTGTTATATTGAGCTCTTTTAAAACATTTTCTCATCTACTTCTCACAAATCTCTATAGGACAGGTGAGCTCATAATCCCTGAGGAAGAGTTTGAGATTGAGTTAGGTCATTTAAATGATATGACCTCTGTATGGCAGAGAAGGGGCTTCATCCCAAGTCTCTGGCTTTCTAATGAGTGTCTTTAATCACTAAGAGACTCTGCCTCCTCAGAAACACTAACAACACAGGTTTCTCTCTCTTCCTCCCTTCCCCACCCCACTCTGTTTCTTTCTCTCTCTCTTTAACAGAAGCACGGTTTTGCAAAGAGTCTGTGTGGCTTCCAACAAGACCTGACAAATGGTTCTCCCAGATGCGAGAGTAGCATATATTACTATTGTATAATTGTTGAGTTCATATATGTCTGTGCTTAAAAATGTCAGTTACTCAGTGGTAAGACTGTAATTTATCTTTATGACCCTGGGGCCCAGCAGTTAGTAGGCAGATAGCATCTGAGTGTTGCCTGAATTAAGAAATCAAGCATCAACAGAAAGAGTCATTCTCACTTCTTGCAGAACAGTTTTCACTCCTGACATGTATAAACTTTGGTAACATCTTTTTGGCTAAATTAATGTATTTGTTTAAAATGGCTACTAAGGCCATCATCTTAGGGATGACCATGATTTTTACACATTTCATCCTTCCATCCATCCACTTGTCTACCCAGCTTTCAGTAAATGCTCCCTGTGAATTCCTGTTCTAGGCTGGGTGCTGAAGAGTTTTGCCCCAGAGGAGCTCACATTCAATTGGGGGGAGCCAGAAATATGAAGTATTAATTTCAGTACAATATGGTGAGTACAAAAGAAGTATGAATAAAGAGTTATGGGAGGAATCCAAGGAAATGGGTAGCTACTTGTCTGTGGAAATTTTCATGGAAAATTTAGAGAAGGCAACTTTCCAAGAGAAAGTTGACGAAATAATATAGAAGTCAAGAGAATTAATGTAGTAGACTCCTCAAAGAGATCGGTGTCCTAATCCTGGGAATTTGTGAATATGTTACCTTACATGGTGAAAAGGACTTTGCAGATGTAAATACATTAAGAACACTGGGATTATCTTGAATTATCCAGGCGGGCCCAAGGTAATAACACACATCCTTATAAGAGGGAGGCAAGAAGGTCAAAGTTAGAGAAGGAGATCTGATGATGGAAGCAAAGTCATAGAGAGGAAGAGAAAGGAAGGGAAAGGAAGAGGGTGGGAGAAGGAATGAGAGAAAGAAAAAGAAACATTTGAGATGTAATGCTGCTGGCTTTGGTAGTAGAGGAAAGGGCCATGAGTGAAGGGATGTGGGCAGCCTCTAGCAGCTGGACAAGTCAAGAAAACAGATTATCCCCTAGAACTCCAGAAGGAAGGCAGTCTTGCCAGCACCTTTATTATAGCCCAGTATAATTCATTTTGGACTTCTGACTTTTAGAACTGTAAGATAATAGGTTTGTGTTGTTTTAAGGTACTACATTTGTGATGATTTGTCACAGCTTGATAGGAAATAAATATAGCAACTTTGGAGCCAGAGCACCTTGATTTCTCTGCCACTTCATGGACATAAATCCTTGAATGTGTATCACTTTGTTGAGCTCCATTTTGCCAAGCCTTAGATTCCTTCTTGTGCTGAATAATACTACATCATAGAGTGTTGATCATCACCATGCTGGGCACACAACACGCACTTAATAAATATAAGCTAATAAGGTGACCCTTGGCCAGAGCCTTGAGGGCTCCACAGGGACATTCCAGGCAAAGGGAAGAGTATATGCATGGCATGATATTATGACCAGGTGGCGTACAGTGAAAATTTTGCTCTGGCGGCAGTAAGACATGGAGGATGCAAAGAAGCCAGATATGAGGCTGAAGAGGTGAGACTGGAACAAGTTGTGAATACCTTATATACTATCTTAAGGAGTTTAAACTCTACTCTGTTGACTAGAAAGGCAGGAGCAATCTTTAAAAGAGTGAGAGCCACGATGAACTTGGGTATTTAGAGACATGGCTCTTTTGTTCATAAAAAGTATAGGGATGGAGAAGCTTGTTTGAGGGAAATAATGTTAAATACCCATTGGTCTTGCAAGTGATCATTATCATCAAAATTCCATTATCTAAATTAACGTATTGGGCTAGGTGCAGTGGTTCCCGTCTTTCGTCCCAGCTACATGGGAGGCTGAGGCAGAAGGATCACTGGAGCCTGGGGTTTCGAGGCTACAATGAGCTATGATCATGCCACTGCACTCCAAACTGAGTGATGGAGCAAGAGCCTATCTTCAGAAATAAAATAGGACCCTATCTTCAGAAACAATACATTTCCACCAAACTATTGTCTCCTTTATGCTAGCCTATATAGCTGTTTTTGAACATGGGAAACACTTTTTAACCTTATGAGAAGAAATGTAATACTACCACATAATTCATCAAGCTGCACACTGATAAATGTGCAGTTATCTGTGTGTATGTATACATATTACATTTCAATAACAAGTTTAAAATATTAGCTTGAAAGTGATGCTACCAATATGTACACATGTGTAGTTTGGAAACACAAAAATAGGGGTATTCTAAGAAGATATGTTCCTCCTAGAATTTAGAAACATGACTATAGCAGACATATATTTCAGACCCTAGCTTCAGAAACAAAATGCAAGTATTTCTTGAGTGCTTAGTTTGTGTCTGGCACTGTAATAACTGCTTTTCAAAGGTTATCTAATTTAGTGACCCCAAGAATCTTATACCTTGGTATATTATTAGACCCAAGAGACAGAAGAGAATGTGTACTTAAAAAGGTTAAGTGGCTAGCCCAAGGTCAACTAACTAGCAAGGAGCAGAGAGAGGATTCAAGTCCAAGTCTTTCTGATGCCAGGGGTTATTGTTTTACCTACTGCGTAATTTTTCACTTCTGTCTCTTCCAAGCCATTTCATAAGTGAAGGCATATACTAATGAGGTCCTTCGGTCCTTAGAGACTAAATTAGGCTCCATAAAATACTCTCACTCTATCTATTAATGTTATTTCTTCTTGAACTGTACCAGAGCAAGTTTCCAGTATAATAGTTTCTCTGCAAGTTCATTCTTCAATCTAGCAGTCACATATGCTAGAGACTATTTAACCACCGAATGTCTTTATTGCTATGAATTTATGCCCTCCTCTCCATTCGACGGATGAACTAATAGCCATTGATGAGCCAGTGAAGCGCTGTGGATGTTGGCATTCTAAAAATACAGCCAGTTAAGTTTGTTGGGTAGAAATGAACCCTATCATAACTGTTGCTGATGTCAAAGATTTGTTTGTCTTGGTATCAGAAATAAATATAATAAGCTTTTGCATTCTAAAATGGCATCAGAGAAAATACATGCCTTGCTGGGTGCAGAAGATGTTGTGATATCAACTCTGGTACTTTTTGTGGAGTGGATGAGATAGGAGATTGGGGAAGACTTCAGGTTGTGATAATCATATGAAACATCCTTTATAAGAGATTATTAAGGAGATTAGCACACCTTCAGTTACATACCCTTGAACATAAAAAATTTCCACATCCCAGATATCAGAAAAAGAAAAGACATTCTAGAATCTGGGGTTGATTACATACTGGGGCCTGTCAGGGAGTAAGGTGGGGGGAGGGAGAGAATTAGGAAAAATAGATAATGTATACTGGGCTTAATACCTAGGTGATGGGTTGACAGATGAAGCAAACCATCATGACATACGTTTACCTATGTAACAAACCTGCACATCCTGCATATGTACCCCAGAACTTAAAATAAAAATAAAAATAAAAAGGAATCTGAGGTTGATAACATGAGACCAAAAGAAATTGAGGGGTGACTTCAAAGGCAAGGGAAGACACTTGTGATGCCTAAAACTGAAACAGGTAGGATAAGATGAAAAATAAATAAATAGGGGAAAAAAGGAGAAATATGGAATTATGGACTTTGAGAGCTGGGAAATGTTAGCTTCTCTAGTCAAGAGTTAGCTAATAGACAGCATTTGGTCCATTATATCTCAAGGCAGCCCTACAGGAGGGACTTGGGAAATTAATACCTTGACTTCCCTTGTCTCCCTCCTTCTAATTTCCTACACATGTTCTCCATTGGCTGAACCCAAATGACAGGCAGAAAGTAAGGAAACCTGATGATGTCATACATACAAGTCAGTCTTGAGGCAGAGATGGGTGGTGAGTAGACATAGAGGGGCAAAACTGAGATATCCACCACATTGGAGTGGGAAATTAATCTCTAGACTAACAGTAAGAAAGGGCTCCTAAGACCCTAGTTAATAATAAAAGAGCTGGATGAAGCCATCTAATGATATGTGTATAGTAATCCCTGCTAACCTGCTGGGGATACATTTCAACATCCCTAGTGGATTCCTGAAATCACATATCATACAAAACCCAGATATACTATATTTTTTCCTATACATACATAACTATGATAAAGTTTAATTTAAAAATTAGGCCCACTAAGAGATTAACAACAATAAATAATAATAAAATAGAACAATTATAACAATATACTGTAATAAAAGCTATGTTAATGTGGTCTCTCTCCCAAAATATCTTATTGTACTGTAGTCACCCTTCTTGTGATGATGTGAGATGACACAATGCCTATGTGATGAGATGAAGTGAGGTGAACGACATAGGCATTGTGATGGAGCGTTAGGCTACTATTGACCTTCTGATGATACATCAGAAGGAGGATCATCTGTTTTAGGTGATCCTGGATCACTGAGCCATGACGATGTCAATTATTGGATGTTGGGAGTGAATAATGTCAATGACTAATGGGCAGGTAGGGATATAGCATGGAGAAACTGGACAAAGGGGAACTCATGTCCCAGGAAGGACAGAGTGAGACAATGAGATTTCATCACGCTACTCAGAGTGGTACATGATTGAAAACTTATGAATTGTTTATTTCTGGAATTTTTTCATTTAATATTTTTAGACCATAGAAAGCAAAACCACAGGTATGTAGGTACTACTATATGATGGACATGTAAGCTGGCCACACCAGAACAGACTTAGCTTTTTGGTAGCATTTCCCCATACACCTGTAGATAACCAGTTGCCTGGAGCTTTTCTCTTATTAAGCCAATGGTTCAACTCAATAAATACTTGGTGACCAGGACTGTCGTACATGAGCTAGACCCAAAGCCAAACACAAATGGTGGAAAACCATGCTTGGTAAGTTACAGGGCCAGCTTACCTTTAAGCTTTGTTAGTCCATGAGCTGCAGACATTTAGTTCCCATTGTCCTGCTCCTCAAATCTACCTTCTTGAATATTTCATCCATATATTTCCACCAAACTATTGTCTCCTTTAAGCTATAGCCTGTATAGCTGTTTTTGAAGATAGGAAACACTTCTCAACCTTATGAGAAGAAATGTAATACTACCACATAATTCATCAAACTGTACCCTGATAAATGTGGAGTTATCTGTCTGTGTGTATGCATATTACACTTCAATAAGAAGTTTAAAATACTAGCTTGAAAGTTATGCTACTAATATGTACACATACATTGTTTGGAAACACAAAATTGTGGGTATTCTAAGAAGATATGTTCCTCCTAGAAACAAGAAATATGATTATAGCAGACATATATTTTTACTCCTTAATTCTACTTTCTTTGGAGAATTATCCCTCCCACTTTCTGAATGGTTTCGTGGGTGGCTGCTCTTGCTCCATGAGCCCAAGGATGAGCATGTAATCCAGTTCTGGCTAACAAACCCCACCCCTCTGGCTGCAGCGACAGGTGTGGCAATAGATATTTAACCTAGATAAGCCAAAGTTCTCTTTGGACCTTTCTGCTGGAACTATGGAGGTGTATCCTCTTATGTTTGGATAACAAATTATAAGAAAAATGATGTATACATGGGACTTCTGGTTGTCATCTTTCCAATTACATGGCAGGAGAATAAAATGAGTCCAACACATATTGGAAGTAGAATGGAAAATTAGAGAAAGAAAGGCAACCACTATCATCTGAGCCCCCTGGAATCTGCTATGCCCAGTGTGTAAATGTCTTGATTATGCCATGGGTCCATTTTTATATTTTACAGCTAGATGAGCCAATACATTCTATTTTGAGTCAGTTTTTATCATTTTCCTGCCATTTGTCATCAAAAGAACCAATCAATATAACAGTATTAGTAGTAGAGTTTTTTTCTTCCAAAGGTTGAAACATATCTTGGGCTTCCTCTTTTCCTTGGAGCCAGGAATTAAACAACATTGTCCTGACATCCTCCAAACTCACTGTGTGTCTCATTAAAGAAATAATGATTTTATATACCTTAGCATATGCGAATCCCAGTTTGCATATCCAACATAATTATGATGCAAAGGTAGGGAAAGCTTTAATAAAGTCATAAGACCATCTGGGTTTCAGATTCTCTCCTCTTCCTTTCCATCCCCTGTCTCACTGTCTCTGAGACTCTTGAGTTAGAACTAATCCCTGGCACTATGCCTCTGAGAAGGCATTTCAACTCTCCAGACCTTACCTCAATTTTCTGGGATTTGCAGGGATAAAGAAAAGAAAAATGCTTCTCTCATTTGAGAAGCAGAGAGATACCGATATATGGCCTCCTTTGATAGCTGCAGGGAGTCAACAAGACTCCTGAGAGACCAGTAGAGCTGTCCCAGTCTGCTGAAAATCAGCCTCCAGGGGACTGACAAAGAGCCTGGTATGACCACAGCTGGTTGTTTCCTTAGGGTCTATTCTCACTCACCTCACGTCTGCTGCCAAAAATCCCTGCTCTCTGGAAACTTCTTTGTTCTTTGGCCTAGACTCAGACTCTATTTTTCTGTTTAAAAATGCAGGTATGATTAGACTCTTTCTTGGAGCAGTTGCAAAGAGAAATGTAATTTTCTTCTCCCAGCTTGACTGGTTTTACAGTGAGACCTACAACTAAACTTCTAAGATGACACTTCATGAGAACATGGTCTTGATCTTAAAATAATGAATGAACCCTTACCTTAAGGGTGTTTGTTCCATGTAAGATTGATCTCAGACACTAAGATTTATTTGCTAGGCTGACCTTGGCCATTCCCTGAGATCTGAAGGTTCTACTTGTAACACATTTTCATCATTTTTGAAACAAGAGGGAATTACCTATTGATCAATATGCCTCAATCTCAAGAGTGGCTTTCCCCTCTTGTGTACTTTTTATAGTGTCCATTTCTTACTCCTTCTATGTCCACCCCTCCCTTCTGTGCCACCATCATGTCTCACCTGGATTGCCATCACAACTTCCTAACTTGTCTAGCTGCATCTACTTCTGTCCTTCTGCCCCTTTGATCTATTTTCAACAAAGCAGCCAGAGTGATTTTATTGAAAGGAAATCAGATCATATCACTCTTCTACTCAATATCCTCCCAAGGTTCTCATCCCTTACTTGGAGTAAAAACCAAAGTCCTTAATGTAACCCACCGGTCCCATAAACTGTGGGTCCTCCTTCCCTTTCTAACTTCCCTTTCCACTACTCTTTTCCTCATTCACTCTGCTTCTGCCATATTGATCTTCCTGCTATCTTTTGTCTTCCTCAGGTTCACCAGGCATGCATGTACCTTGAGGCCTTTGCACGTGTCCATAGTGTTCTCCCTCAGATATTCTAATGGCTAGCACCCTCATTTCCTCAGGATCTTTTCTCAGAAGTCACTTTCTCACTGAGGCTATGTATGACACCTGACCTAAAATTTCAACCCTTACCAACTGTCACTTCATATTGCCTTTCTTTGCCTCCAATTACATTTCATGTATTATTAGTAATTCTATTTGTCATCTGTTTCTCCTACTAGAAAGTAAGCTCTACAAGGGCAGGAATTTTGGTCTTTTATTTTTACAAAAAAAAACCCACTGAATCCTCAGGGTCTAGAAGAGTACCTGGCACATAGTATGTGCCAATAAATATTTTTAGAAAGAATAAATGAATGGATGAATATTTAAAATGGAAGACAGAGGCACACAGCTGAGAACTAAACTGAAAATGTGTGTAAGATTTTTCAGAGAAGATGTTGCTCCAAAGTGGGGAGGGGCAATGGCTTTATAGAGGCAGGAAACATATGTATAAACTGCTACTTAGGAGGTAAAAAAATAAGCAGTTGACATAAAAATACATGAGGCTGGGTGCAGTGGCTCATGCCTGCAATCCCAGCACTTTGGGAGGCCGAGGTGGGCAGATCACAAGGTCAGGAGATTGAAACCAGCCTGGCCAACATGGTGAAACCCCATCTCTACTAAAAATACAAAAATTAGCTGAACGTGGTGGTGTACACCCATAATCCTAGCTGCTCGGGAGGCTGAGGCAGGAGAATCACTTGAACCAGGTAGTTGGAGGTTGCAGTGAGCCAAAATTGTGCCACTGCACTCCAGTCTGGTGACAGAGTGAGACTCCATCTAAAAAAAAAAAAAATACTGACATGAAACTATCTACAAATATGCTATATACATATATACAAATACACTATTAAGTAAAGCACCTCACAGGACAATGAACAAATAAAATCTTACATCTATAAACAAATCAAAAAACAAACTATAGATTTCTGTATGTGTGTGTGTGTATAGATGCATACCCAGAAAAGGGTCTAGAAGTCTACACCAGTGGTCAAAATTGTTTTCTGTAAAGGGCCAGACTATAAATATTTTAGGCTTCGTAGGCCACACATTGGTCTCTGCTGAATATCTTATTTTTCTTCTTTTTAAAACAAACCTTTTAAATGTAAAAAGAAAAATTTATTTGACATAATGCGCAAAAACAAAATCCAGCCTTCGGTCCTTCAGGTTATTGACTCCTGATCCAGATATTTTTTTAGTTATGGCAAAGGCAATGACATTGGGAAAAATGAGGAAGACTAGTTTTTGCCTTTAGATGTTTTAAAACTATTTTGAATTTTTAAAAAATTATTGAATTATTTTGAATTTCAAAATAATTGATGGGGTTTGAATTATGTTTTCAGGATGTGTATTCCTTAAATTTATGGGTAAAAAGAAATTAGGAGTTTTTTTTTTTTCATTCTAAGATGGCTGAATAGTAACAGCTATGATTTGTAGCTCCTAGCATGATTGAAACAGAAGACACGTGATTTCTGCATTTCCAACTGAGGTACCTGGTTCATCTCATTGGGACTGGTTGGGCAGTGGGTGCAGCCCATGGAGGGTGAGCTGAAGCAAGGCGGGGCATCACCTCACCCGGGAAGCATAAGGGGTTGGGGGATTTCCCTTTCCTAGCAAAGGGAAGCTGTGACAGACTGTACTTGGAAAACTGGTACACTTCTGCCCAAATACTGCACTTTTCCCATGGTCTTAGCAACTGGCAGACCAGGAGATTCTCTCCCGTGCCTAGCTCAGCAGGTCCCACACCCACAGAGCCTTGCTCACTGATAGTGCAGCAGTCTGAAATCGACCTGCAAGGCTGCAGCCTGGCAGGGGGAGGGGTGTCCGCCATTGCTGAGGCTTAAGTAGGTAAACAAAGCAGCCAGGAAGCTCAAACTGGGCAGAGCCCACCTCAGCTCAGCAAGGCCTACTGCCTCTACAGACTCCACCTCTGTGGGCAGGGCTTAGCTGAACAAAAGGCAGCAGACAACTTCCGCAGACTTAAATGTCCCTGTCTGACAGCTTGGAATAGAGCAGTGGTTCTACCAGCATGGTGTTTGAGCTCTGAAAATGGACAAACTACCTCCTCAACTGGGTACCTGACCCCTGTGTAGTCTAACTGGGAGACACCTCCCAGTAGGGGCTGACAGACACCTCGTACAGGCGGGTGCCCCTATGGGATGAAGCTTCCAGAGGAAGGATCAGGCAGCAATATTTGCTGTTCTGCAGCCTCCACTGGTGATACCCAGGCAAACAGGGTCTGGAGTGGACCTCCAGCAAACTCCAACAGACCTGCAGCAGAGGGACCTGACTGTTAGAAGAAAAACTAACAAACAGAAAGAAATAGCTTCAACATCAACAAAAAGGACATCCACATCAAAACCTCATCTGTAGGTCACCAACATCAAAGACCAAAGGTAGATAAAACCACAAAGATGGGGAGAAACTAGAGCAGAAAAGCTGATAATTGTAGAAACCGGAGTGCCTCTTCTCCTCCAAAGGATCACAGCTCCTCACCAGCAATGGAACAAAACTGGATGAAGAATGACTTTGATGAGTTGACAAAAGTAAGCTTCAGAAGGTCGGTAATAATAAACTTCTCTGAGCTAAAGGAACATGTTCTAACCCATGACAAGGAAGCTAAAAACCTTGAAAAAAAGTTAGACGAATGGCTAACTAGAATAAACAGTGTAGAGAAGACATTAAATGACCTGATGGAGCTGAAAACCATGGCATGAGAACTTCATGACACATGCAAAATCTCCAATAGCTGATTCGATCAAGTGGAAGAACAGATATCAGTGATTGAAGATCAAATTAATGAAATAAAGTGAGAAGACAAGATTAGAGAAAAAAGGGTAAAAAGAAACCAACAAAGCATCCAAGAAATATGGGACTATGTGAAAAGACCAAATGTACATTTGACTGGTGTACCTGAAAGTGGCAGGAAGAATGGAACCAAGTTGGAAAACACTCTTCAGGATATTATCCAGGAGAACTTCCCCAACCTAGCAAGGAAGTCCAACATTCAAATTCAGGAAATACAGAGAATACCACAAAGATACTCCTTGAGAAGAGTAACCCCAAGACAAATAATTGTCAGATTCACCAAGGTTGAAATGAGGGAAAACATGTTAAGGGCAGCCAGAGAGAAAGGTCGGGTTACCCACAAAGGGAAGCCCATCAGACTAACAGCGGATCTCTTGGCAGAAACCCTACAATCCAGAAGAGACTGGAGGTCAATATTCAACATTCTTAAAGAAAAGAATTTCCAACCCAGGATTTCATATCCAGCCAAACTAAGCTTCATAAGTGAAGGAGAAATAAAATCCTTTACAGACAAGCAAATGCTGAGAGATTTTATCACCACCAGGCCTGCCTTACAAGAGCTCCTGAAGGAAGCACTAAACATAGAGAGGGACAACTGGTAGCAGCCACTGCTAAAACATGCCAAATTGTAAAGACCATCAATGCTAGGAGGAAACTGCATCAGTTAATGGGCAAAATAACCAGCGAACATCATAATGCCAGGGTCAAATTCACACATAACAATATTAACCTTAAATGTAAATGGGCTAAAGCCCCAATTAAAAGACACAAGACTGGCAAATTGGATAAAGAGTCAAGACCAATCAGTGCTATATTCAGGAGACCCATCTCACGTGCAGAGACACATATAGGCTCAAAATAAAGGGATGGAGGAAGATCTATCAAGCAAATGGAAAGCAAAAAAAAAAAAAAAAAAAAAAAAAAAAGCAGGGGTTCAATCCTAGGCTCTGATAAAACAGACTTTAAACCAACAAAGAACAAAAGAGACAAAGAAGGCCATTACATAATGGTAAAGGGATCAATTAAACAAGAAGAGCTAACTAACCTAAATATATATGCACCCAATACAGGAGCAACCAGGTTCATAAAGCAAGTCCTTACAGACCTACAAAGAGACTTAGACTCCCACACAATAATAATGGGAGACTTTAACACCCCACTGTCAATATTAGACAGATCAATGAGACAGAAGATTAACAAAGATATTCAGAACCTGAACTCAGCTCTGCACCAAGCGGACCTAACAGACATCTACAGAACTCTCCACCCCAAGTCAACAGAATATACACTCTTCTCAGCACCACATCACATTTATTCTAAAATGGACCACATAATTGGAAGTAAAGCACTCCTCAGCAAATGTAAAAGAACAGAAATCACAACAAACTGTTTCTCAGACCACAGTGCAATCAAATTAGAACTCAGGATTAAGTAACTCACTCAAAACCACACAACTGCATGGAAACTGAATAACCTGCTCCTGAATGACTACTAGGTAAATAACAAAATGAAGGAAGAAATAAAGATGTTCTTTGAAACCAATGAGAACAAAGACACAACATACTAGAATCTCTGAGACACATTTAAAGCAGTGTGTAGAGGGAAATTTATAGCACTAAATGCCCACAAGAGAAAGCAGAAAGGATCTAAAATTGACACTCTAACATCGCAATTAAACCAACTCGAGAAGCAAGAGCAAACAAATTCAAAAGCTAGCAGAAGGCAAGAGATAACTAAGATCAGAGCAGAATTGAAGGAGACAGAGACACAAAAAACCCTTCAAAACATCAATGAATCTACGAGCTGGTTTTTTGAAAAGATCAACAAAATAGACCACTAGCAAGACTAATAAAGAAGAAAAGAGAGAAGAATCAAATAGATGCAATAAAAAATGATAAAGAGTATATCACCACTGACCTCACAGAAATACAAATTACCATCAGAGAATATTATAAACACCTGTACCCAAATAAACCAGAAAATCTAGAAGAAATGGATAAATTCCTGCATACATACACCCTCCCAAGACTAAACCATAAAGAAGTTGAATCTCTGAATAGACCAATAACAGTCTCAGAAATTGAGGCAATAATTAATAGCCTACTAGCCAAAAAAAGTTCAGGACCAGATGGATTCACAGCCGAATTCTACCATAGGTACAAAGAGGAGCTGGTCCCATTCCTTCTGAAACTATTCCAATCAACAGAAAAAGAGGGAATCCTCCCTAACTCATTTTATGAGGTCAGCATCATCCTGATACCAAAACCTGGCAGAGACACAACAAAAAAAGAAAACTTCAGGCCAATATCCCTGATGAATGTTGATGTGAAAATCCTTAATAAAATACTGGCAAACTGACTCCAGCAGCATATCAAAAAGCTTATCCACCATGATCAAGTCAGCTTCATCTCTGGGATGCAAGGATGGTTCAACATATGCAAATCAATAAATGTAATCCATCACATAAACAGAACCAATGACAAAAACCACATGATTATCTCAATAGATGCAGAAAAGGCCTTTGACAAAATTCAACAGCCCTTCATGCTAAAAACTCTCAATAAACTAGGTATTGATGGAACATATCTCAAAATAATAAGAGTTATTTATGACAAACCCACAGCCGATATTATACTGAATGGGCAAAAACTGGAAGCATTCCCTTTGAAAACCGGCACAAGACAAGGATGCCCTCTGCTACCACTCCTATTCAACATAGTGTTGGAAGTTCTGGCCAGGGCAATCTAGGAAGGGAAAGAAACAAAGGGTATTCAATTAGGAAAAGAGGAAACCAAATTGTCTCTGTTTGTGGATGACATGATTATCTGTTTAGAAAACCATATTGTCTCAGCCGAAAATCTCCTTAAGCTGATAAGCAACTTCAGCAAAGTCTCAGTATACCAAATCAACGTGCAAAAATCACAAGCATTCCTACACACCATTAACAGACAAACAGAGAGCCAAATCACGAGTGAATTCCCATTCACAATTGCTTCCAAGAGAATAAAATACCTGGAAATGCAACTAACAAGGGATGTGAAAAACCTCTTCAGGGAGAACTACAAACCACTGCTCAACAAAATAAAAGAGGACACAAACAAATGGAAGAATGTTCCATACTCATGGATAGGAAGAATCAATATTGTGAAAATAACCATACTGCCCAAGGTAATTTATAGATTCGATGCCATCCCCATCAAGCTACCAATGACTTTCTTCACAGAATTGGAAAAAAACTACTTTAAAGTGGAACCAAAAAAGAGCCCACATCGCCAAGTCAATCCTAAGCCAAAAGAACAAAGCTGGAGGCATCAACGCTACCTGACTTCAAACTATACTACAAGGCTACAGTAACCAAAACAGCATGGTACTGGAGCCGAAACAGATATATAGACCAATGGAACAGAACAGAGGCCTCAGAAATAACACCACACATCTACAACCATCTGATCTTCGACAAACCTGAAAAAAACAAGAAATCGGGAAAGAATTCCCTATTTAACAAATGGTACTGGGAAAACTGGCTAGCCATACATAGAAAGCTGAAACTGTGTCCCTTCCTTACACCTTATACAAAAATTAATTCACGATGCATTAAAGACTTAAATGTAAGACCTACAAACCTAAAAACCCTAGAAGAAAACTTAAGCAATACCATTCAGGACATAGGTATGGGCAAAGACTTCATGACTAAAACACCAAAAGCAATGGCAACAAAAGCCAAAATAGACAATGGGATCTAATTAAACTAAAGAGCTTCTGCACAGCAAAAGAAACTACCATCACAGTGAACAGGCAACCTACAGAATGGGTGAAAATTTTTGCAATCTACCCATCTGACAAAGGGCTAATATCCAGAATCTACAAAGAACTTAAACAAATTTATAAGAAAAAACAAACAACCCCATCAAAAAGTAAACAAAGGATACGAACAGACACTTCTCAAAAGAAGACATTTATGCAGCCAACAGATATAAAATGAAGGAAAAAAATACTCATCATCATGGGTATTTTGATCATCATCAAAGAAAGCAAATCAAAACCATAATGAGATACCATCTCATGCCAGTTAGAATGATGATCATTAAAAAGTCAGGAAACGACAGATGCTGGAGAGGATGTGGAGAAATAGGAACGCTTTTATACTGTTGGTGGGAGTGTAAATTAGTTCAACCATTGTGGAAGACAGTGTGGTGACTCCTCAAGGATCTAGAATGAGAAATACCATTTGACCCAGCCATCCCATTACTGGGTATATACCCAAGGGATTATAAATCATGCTACTATAAAGACACATGCTCATGTATGTTTATTGTGGCACTATTCACAATAGCAAAGACTTGGAACCAAGCCAAATGTCCATCAATGATAGACCTGATTAGGAAAATGTGGCACATATACACCATGGAATACTATGCAGCCATAAAAAAGGATGGGTTCATGTCCTTTTCAGGGACATGGATGAAGCTGGAAACCATCATTCTCAGCAAACTATCACAAGGACAGAAAACCAAACATTGCATGGCCTCACTTATAGGTGGGAATTGAACAATGAGAACACTTGGACACAGGGCAAGGAATATCACACACAGGGGCATGTCGTGGGGTGCAGTGCAGGGGGAGGGATTGCATTAAGAGGAATACCTAATGCAAATGACGAGTTGATGGGTGCAGCAAACCAACATGGCATATGTACACCTATGTAACAAATCTGCACTTTGTGCACATGTACCCTGGAACTTAAAGTATAATAATAGTAAAAAAATTAGGAAAAAAAAACAAATTGGGAAAAAAACTGATATGTAGGAGGTATTCAAGAAATATTTGTTGAATGAATGGATTTTTTTTTTTTCTTTTTGAGACAGGAGTCTCGCCCTGTTGCCCAGACTGGAGTGCAGTGACATGATCTCAGCTCACTGCAACCTCCGCCTCCTGGGTTCAAATGATTCTTCTGCCTCAGCCTCCAGAGTAGCTGGGATTACAGGCACCCGCCCTCATGCCCAGCTAATTTTTTTGTATTTTTAGTCGACAGGGTTTCACCGTGTTAGCTGGGTGACCTCGTGATCCTCCTATATGCTACCATAAAGACACATGCACATATATGTTTATTGTGGCACTATTCACAATAGCAAAGACTTGGAACCAACACAAATGTCCATCAATGATAGACTAGATTAAGAAAATGTGGCACATATCCACCATGGAGGCCTCAGCCTCCCAAAGTGCTGGGATTACAGGCATGAGCCACTGCACCCAACCATGAATGGATTTTAAATAAATGAATAACTGAATGTTCAAATGAACGAATGAATACATGGACTCACATGTTTCCAATTCTTTTGCTATGTTTTGTGTAGAGGCAAGTAAGTAGTTTGCAAAGTTTCAGAGCTAACAGAAGAAGCCCTGAGGCATGTCCTATAAGATTCAAAGTCCAAGGTACTGACTTCATATTTTTCATTATTATCAATTTTCATAATATTAGTACTGAAAAACTTGTTAATAAAATCAATTTCATGGACTTAAAATTATTTTACCTAATGTATTCATCTTTGGTTTGCATGAGGCTTTACTGTAATACACCACAGCAAAACTTGCAATCATATTTAGTTACTTCCACATTTTGTAACAAGCCTAAGTGAGCATTGAGCCACAAATATTTATTCATATTAAACCCACTTGTCTAGGAATTAGTTGCTTTTCAGGCTCAATATGTCAAACTTTTTTGTAGAATAAGCATTTTAAACCTTTTTGGAGTTTGCAAAATCTATTGTTTAATGACCTCTTTACAAAGAAGCAAAAGAAAACACATGCACATCTGTGTCCTTGTAGAGAGATGACACTGTCTTCATTTTTGCCTTTAAATCCTTTTTATACAATAATAAAAACATAAATTTTAAATTGTCCTTGAGATTACTATCTAAATTGCTAATAATTGTTTAAAACACCCCTTGCCACGCTTTAGTACCTATCCCATGTGTTTTCATAAAATAGCATATGTATCATCATCAATATAAATCTCGTTAAAAACACACATTAGGCACCCATCTGTACATTCTATTCTGGTCCTATACCAAAGGGTTTTAGGGAAAAGAAAAGCAACAATTTAAGTTTGAGAAGTCCTTTAAAAGTTACTACTGAAATTTATTTTAATTCTTGCAAGATTTCATTCTCTTAAATACCTAGATTCTTCTCCCTCTCTGCCCCATGTATGTAGAAGATTTCACTTTCTACTAAATTTATTACCTAATCTGATTTCCAAAAAAGTATTGGAAAGGACAGAGCAGGATGGCAGAATAGAACTCTCCAGCAATCATTGTCCTGCAGAAGAATCCACTTAAACAACTATCCACACACAAAAATACCTTTACAAGAGCTATATGGCTATAGCATAATAATAAAAAAAGACACACTGAAGAGGGTAGAAGGAACAGCTTTATATTACCTGTGTCATCTTTTCCCCAATCCCAGGCAACACGGCACACAGAGAGATACCATTCCCTTAGGAGAAAGAGAGGAAAGTGAACATCGAACTTTGCCTTGGTCCCCAACACTGAGACTACCACAGAAAAACCCAGCACCAGGCAGACCCTCATCGTCCCTAAATGCAGTCTTATACCCTGGACTGAGCCCCAGTGTCAGGTGGGAACCCATAGTCCCCGTGAAATGGATTCAATCTCTGGCCTGTACCACAGCTGGCTGACTACAATGGCCTTGGATCTCAGAAAGACTTCGGCAGCAGGCAGGCCTCAGCAGCTGTAGACTTTGGCTGTGCCACATGGTATGCCAGCCTCAGCAGCCAGACAATTCCAACTCAGCATTGTGCCAACCACAGCAGTTCTGGGCTTAGGGTACTCCCTAGCACTGCAACAGTTGCAGTGATCACAGACTTAGCAAACATGCTAGAGACCTACCCAGAATCTCTGCAATCACAGGCATTCTGTGAAGGGCATTCCCAGACAAAGCCAAACTGTGAAGACAGAAATAAGTACTTCTTCAATGTGCAGACACCTATGCATGACCACAAGAATCAAGAACAATCAGAGAAACATGAAAAAACAAAACAAAACAAAGACCAATATCAAAGTGACAAAATAAAGTTCCAGTGACCAACCCCAAAAAGATGGAAACGTATGAACCACTTGACAAAGATTAAAAATACTATTTTAATGAAGCCCAGCAAACTTCAATAAACTACAGAGAAACAATTAAACAAAATTAGGAAAACAGTAAATGACCACACTGAACAATTTAACAGAGAGACTGAAATAATAAAAAAAATTAAACAAATTCTGGAGCTTAAAGATACAATAAACAAAAAGAAAAATGCAATAGAAGGCATCTAGAGCAGAATTAATTAAGCAGAAGAATCTGTGAACTTGTAGACAGGTTGTTGAAAATACATAGTTATAGGAGAAAAAAGAACAATGAATGAAAGGGAATAAAGAAAGCTTACAGGATTTATGCGGCAGCATCAAAAAAGCAAAGGTCTGAGTTATTTTGAGTTAAAAAGGAAATAGAGAAAGACAAAGGGGGTAGAAAATTTATTTAAAGAAGCTATAGCAGAAAACCTTCAAAACCTGGAGAAAAATAAATGTTCAGGTAAAGAAAGGTCAAAAACCTGATTCAAATCAAATAAGACTACTCCTACCCCAAGGCATATTGTACCCCATGACATATTATAATCAAACCGTCAAAGCTTGAAGATGAAAAAAGGAGCCTGAAAGCAGGAAGATAAATGACGAAAATAACATACAAGGGACATCCAATATGCCTAGAAGCAGACTACATAGCAGAAACCTTACAGACCAGTGGGATGATATATTCAAAGTGTTGAAGAGAAATAAATGCCAAGCAAGGATGCTGTATCCCGCAAAGCTATCCACCAGAAATGAAGGGGAGATAAAGACTTTCCCAGACAAACAAAAGCTGAGGGAGTTCACTACCACCAGACCTGTCTTAAAAGAAATGCCAAAAGAAGTTCTTCGAGCTGTAAGAAAAGGACACTATTAACATAAAAACATCTGAAAGTATAAAACCTACTGGCAAAAGTAAGTACACAGTCAAATTTAGAATACTCTAATATTATAATGGTGATCTGTAATTTATTTATATCTCTAGTATAAAGGTTAAAAGAGCAAACTATTAAAAATGATAACTACAATAATTTTAGAGATATGCAATATTAAAATGTGTAAATTATGACATCAAAAATTCAAAATATAGGGGGAGAGTAAAAAAGGGAGAGGGTTTTTTTTAAGATAACTGGGCTTTTTTAAAAAAAAACTTTTTTTTTAGGTTCAGGGGTACATGTATAGGTCTGTTATATAAACTTATGTCATGGGGGTTTGTTGTACAGATTATTTTATTACCCGGATACTAAGCCCAGTACTCAATAGTTATTTTTTCTGATCCTCTCCATCCCTCCACCCTCCACCCTCAAGTAGGCCCCAGTGTCTGCTGTTCCCCTCTTGTGTCCGTGTGTTCTCATTATTTAGCTCACACTTGTAAGTGAGAGCATGTAGTATTTGGTTTTCTATTCCTGCATTAGTTTGCTGAGGATAATGGTCTCCAGCTCCAACCATGTTCCCGTAAAAGACATGATCTCATTTTTTTTATGCTGCATAGTATTCTATGGTATACATGTACTATATTTTCTATATCCAGTCTACCATTGATGGGCATTTAGGTTGATTCCATGCCCTTGCTATTGTGAATAGTGCTGCAATGAACATATGCTTGCATGCATCTTTATGATAGAATGATTTATATTCTTTTAGGTATATACCTAGTAGTGGGATTTCTGGGTCAAATTGTAGTTCTGTTTTAGCACTTTGAGGAACTGCCAGATTGCTTTTTACAATGGTTGAACTAATTTACACTCCCACCAACAGTGTATAAGCATACCTTTTTCTCTGCAACCTTGCCAGCATCTGCTATTTTTTGACTTTTTAACAATAGCTATTCTGACTGATGTGACATAATATTTCATTGTGGTTTTGATTTGCATTTCTCTAATGATCAGTGACATTGAGCTTTTCTTTTTTCATATGCTTGTTGGCCATATGTATGTCTTATTTTGATAAGTGGCTGTTCATGTCCTTTGGCCACTTCTTAATGGGTTGTTTTATTCTTATAAATTTGTTTAAGTTTCTTGTAGATTCTGGATATTAGACCTTTGTCAGATAAATAGACTGCAAAATGTTTTCCCATTCTGTAGGTTGTCTGTTCACTCCAATGATAGTTTCTTTTGCTGTGCAGAACTGTTTAGTTTAATTGGATCCCATTTGTCAATTTTTGCTTTTGTTGCTATTGTTTTTGATGTTTTCATCAAAAAATCTTTGCTCATGCCCACATCCTGACTAGTATTGCCTAGATTTTCTTCTAGGGTTTTTATAGTTTTGGGTTTTACATTTAAGTCTTTAAGCCATCTTGAGTTAATTTTTGTATATGGTGAAAGGAAAGAGTCCAGTTTCAATCTTCTTCATATGGGTAGCCAGTTATCCCAGCACCATTTATTAAATAGGGACTCCTTTCCTTATTGCTTATTTTTGTCAGCTTTGTTGAAGATCAAATAATTGTAAGTGTGTGTCCTTATTTCTGGGTTCTCTGTTCTGTTTTGTTCCATTGGTCTATGTATCTGTTTCTGTTGTCTATTTACCATGCTGTTTCAGTTACTGTAGTTCTGTAGTAAACTTTGAAGTCCGGTAACATGATGCCCCTATTTTTTTTCCTTTTGCTTAGGGTTGCCTTGGCTATTTGGGCTCTATTCAGGTTCCATATAAATTTTAAATATTTTTCATAGTTCTGTGAAGAATGTCATTAGTAATTTGATAGGAATAGCATTGCTTTGGGCAGTATAACCATTTTAATGATACTGATTCTTCCTATCCATAAGCATTGAAGGTTTTTTTCATTTGTTTGTGTCATCTCTGATTTCTTTGAGCAGTGTTTTGTAATTCTCATTGTAGAGGTCTTTCACCTCCCTGGTTAGCTATATTCCTAGGCATTTTTTTCTTTTGTGGCAACTATGAATGGGATTGAATTCCTGATTTGGCTCTCAGCTTGGCTGTTGTTGGCGTACAGGAATGCTAGTCTTTTTTATGTTGATTTTGTATCCTGAAACTGTTGAAGTTGCTTATTAGCAGAAGGAGCTTTTGGATCGAGGCTATGGGTTTTTCTAGATATAAAATAATGCTGTCTGCAAACAGAAATAGTTCAACCCCCTCTCTTACTATTGGATGCCTTTAATTCTTTCTTTTTCCTGATTGCCCTGGCCAGGACTTCCAATACTATGTTGGATAAGAGTGGTGAGAGTGGACATCCTTGTCTTGTGCTAGTTTTCAAGGGGAATGATTATAGCTTTTGTCCATTCAGTATGATGTTGGCTGTAGGTTTATAATAGATGGATCTCATTATTTTGAGGTATGTTCCATCAATACCTAGTTTATTGAGAGTTTTTAGCATGAAGGGATGTTGAATTTTATCAAAAGCCATTTCTTCACCTATTAAGATGATCATGGGGTTTTTGTCTTTAGTTCTGTTTATATGATGAATCACATTTATAATTTGCATGTGTTGAACCAGCATCCCAGGAATGAAGCCTACTTGATCATATTGGATTATCTTTTTGATGTGCTGCTGGAGTCAGTTTGTCAGTATATTGTTGCGTATTTTTGCATCAGTGTTCATCAGGAATATTGGCCTGAAGTTTTCTTTTTTTGTTGTGTCTCTGCCAGGTTTGGATATCAGGATGATGTTGGCCTTGTAAAATGAGTTAGGGAGGAGTCCCTCCTCAATTTTTTTGCTTAGTTTCATTAGGAATGGTACCAAGTCCTTCTTTATACATCTGGTAGAATTCAGCTGTGAATTAATTCTGAGCTTTTTTTGCTTGGTAGACTGATTCAATTTTGCATGCATTATTGGTCTATTCATGGATTCAATTTATTCCTGGATTAGTCTTGGGAAGGTGTATGTGTCCATTTCTTATAGATTTTCTAGTTTGTGTTCATAGAGGTGTTCCTAGTAGCTTCTGATGGTTATTTATATTTCTATGGGGTCAGGGGTAACGTTCCCTTTACCAGTTATAATTGTGTTTATTTGAATCTTCTCTCTTTTGTCCTGTGTTAGTCTAGCTAGTGTTCTATTTTATTTTATTTTTCAAAAAACCAGCTCCTGAATTTGTTGATCTTTTGAATGGTTTTCTTATGTCTCAGTCTCTTTCAGTTCAGCTCTGATTTTTGTTATTTCTTGTCTTCTGCTAGCTTTGGGGTTGGATGGCTCTTGCATCACTAGTTCTTTTAGTTGTAATATTAGGTTGCTATTTTGAGATATTTCTGTTTTTTTTGTTTTTTGTTTTTTTTTTGACAGAGTCTCGCTCTATAGCCCAGGCTGGAGTGCAGTGGCATGATCTCGGCTCACTGCAACCTCCACCTCCCAGGTCCTGGTTCAAGCAATTCTACTGCCTCAGCCTCCTGAGTAGCTGGGAATACAGGAATGTACCATCATGCCCAGCTAATTTTTGTATTTTTAGTAGAGATGGGGTTTCAACATGTTGGCCAGGCTGGTCTTGAATTCCTGACCTCATGATCCGTCCAATGTGGACATTTAGTACCGTAAATGCCCACTTTAACATTGTGTTAGCTATGTTCCAGAGATTCTGGTATTTTGGATCTTTGCTCTTACTAGTTTCAAAGAAATTGATTTCTGCCTTAATTTCATTATTTGCCCAAAAGCCATTCAGGAACAGGTTGTTTAATTTGCATATAAATGTATGGTTTTGAGTCATTTTCTTAGTCTTGATTTCTAATTTTATTGCACTGTGGTCTGAGAGAATGATTGGTATGATTTCATTTATTTTGTGTCTGCTGAAGATGTTTTTAATGTCCAATTGTGTGGTTGATTTTAGATTATGTGCCATGTGGCGATGAGAAGAATATATATTCTGTTGTTTTTCTAGTGGAGTGTTCTGTAGATGTCTATCACATGCATTTGGTCCAGTGCTGAGTTCAGGTCCTAAATGTCCTGTTAATTTTCTGCACTGATGATGTATTTAATAGTGTAAGTGGGGCGTTGAAGCCTCCTACTATTATAGTGTGAGAGTCTAAGTCTCTTTGAAGGTCGCTAAAAACTTATGTATGAATCTGAGGGCTCTTGTGTTGGATGCATATATATTTAGGATAGTTAGATCTTGTTGAATTGAACCATCTACCATTATGTAATGCCCTTCTTTGTCTTTTTCGACCTTTGTTGGTTTAAGGTCTGTTTCATCAAAAGCTAGGATTACAACTCCTATTTTTTTCTGTTTTCCATTTTCTTGATACATTTTTCTTCATCCCTTTATTTTGAGGCTATGTATGTCACTTCATGTAAGATGGGCCTCTTGAAAATAGCATACCAATGGGTTGTGCTTCTTTATTCAACTTGCCACTCTGTGCCTTTTAATTGAGGGCATTTAGTTGATTTAGATTCAAGGTTAGTATTGATATGTGTGGAATTGATCCTGTTGTAATGTTGTTAGCTGGTTATTATGCAGACTTGCTTGTGTGGTTACTTTATAGTGTCATTGGTCTGTGTAGTTCAGTGTTTTTTTGTGGTGGCTGCTAATGCTGTTTCCTTTATATATGTAGTGCTTCTTTCAGGAGCTGTTTTAAGGCACGTCTGCTGGTAACAAATTCCCTCAGCATTTCTTTGTCTGAAAAGGATCTTGGCCAGGTGCGGTGGCTCACGCCTGTAATCCCAGTATTTTGGGAGGCCGAGGCAGGTGGATCATGAGGTCAGGAGATCGAGACCATCCTGGCTAACATGGTGAAAACCCGTCTCTACTAAAAAATACAAAAAAAATTAGCCAGGCGTGGTGGTGGGCACCTGTAGTCCCAGCTACTTGGGAGGCTGTGGCAGGAAAAATGGTGTGAACTCGGGAGGCAGAGCTTGCAGCGAGCCGAGATCATGTCACTGCATTCCAGCCTGGGCAACAGAGCGAGACTCCATCTCAAAAAAAAAAAAAAAAAAAAAAGGAAAGGATCTTATTTCTCCTTCACTTATGAAGCTTAGTTTGGCTGGATATGAAATTTTTGGCTGGAATTTCTTTTCTTTAAGAAGGTTGAATATAGGCCCCCAAACTCTTCTGGCTTGCAGGGTTTCTGCTGAGAGGCCCACTGTTAAGTCTGTTGGGCTTCCCTTTGTAGGTGACCTGTCCTTTTTCTCTAGCTGCTTTCAAAATTTTTTCTTTCATTCTGACCTTGGAGAATCTGAAGATTATGCATCTTGAGGTGATCTTCTTGTGAATTATCTTGTAGGGGTTCTCTGCATTTCTTGAATTTGAATTTTGGCCTCTTAGCTAGGTTGGTGAAGTTCTCATGGATGATATCCCGAAATACATTTTCCACATTGCTTCCATTCTCCCCATCTCTTTCAGGGATACCACTGAGTCATAGATTTGGTCTTTTAAATAATCTCATATTTTTTGGAGATTTTGTTCACTTTATTTCTTTTATACTTTATTCTTGTCTAATGTCTTATTTCATACAGGTCGTCTTCAAGCTCTGAGATTCTTTCCTCAACTTGGTCGATTTTTCTATCAATACTTGCAACTGCATTGTAAAATTCTTGTAGTGTGTTTTGCAGCTCTATCAGGTTTGTTACATTCTTTTCTATACTGGCTATTTTGTCTGTCAGCTCCTGTAGTACTTTATTGTGTTTCTTAGCTTCCTTGGATTGAGTTTTGATGTTCTCCTGAACTTCGATAATCTTCCTTCCTATCCATATTCTGAATTCTATTTCTGTCATTTTAGACATTGCAGCCTGGTTAAGAACCCTTGCTGGAGAACTATATCATCATTTGGAGGAAAGAAGGCACTCTGGCTTTTTGAGTTGGCAGAGTTCTTGTCCTGTTTCTTTCTCATCGCTGTGGGCTGATGTTCCTTCAATCTTTGAAGTTGTCGTCCTTTGGATAGGTTATTTTTCTTTTATCCTATTTGGTGACCTTGGAGGTTTGATTGTGGTATAAGGTGGTTTCAGTTGACTGGCTTCATTTCTGGAAGATTTTAGGGGACCAAGACTCAGCTTAGGATTCCTGGAATGCATGCTGTAACTCTGGGGGACTGGTATTGGGCCCCAGCTTTGTTCTCTGGTTCCTTGAGGTTAGGAACCTGTTGCACTGGAAGGGCTGAGGTGCTCCCAGCCTGCCAGTCACAATACTCCAATGGGTGGTGCCAGCCAAAGTGTTTCATAGTGTGCTGGCTGTGGGATCCATCCTCATTTGTATGTGTCAGCAGCAGTGGCAGTGGCAGTGGCAGCATGGCAGGGTGCACACTTGTCAGCTGTGGCAGGGCGCTAGCAGGTGCTGGGCTGCTGGCCTCCATGCAGGCATTCATAGCAGTGGTGGTGGCAGTACAGCATGGAGTGACAGGGGCCCCCAGTGGTGTCTGTGTGTTCATGCTGATGGTGGTGTTAACACAGTGGTGGGGTACTGGTGGATGCAGGGCTGTGTGAGCCCTCTGTGTGCATTTATGCAGGTGGCAGTGGCTTCTCAGGGTGGGGGTGGGTCTACGGTTCTCCACAACTATTTTTGGGCAGGTGGTAGTGTCACTATGGGGTTGGGGGCTGGCAGGTGTGGGGTGCTGGTGTGTGTGTGGCTGGTGAGCTCTGGGCACCAACACTCTAATAGCAATGGTGATGTGTGGCCGGTGAGAGTATGCACTCACACCAGCAGCAGTGGTGTGTCAGGGAGCATGTGCCATGCATGCTAGTGGGAAAGGGGAGGCAAGGTCTGCCTCTGCACACACTCACCATCAAAGAAATTTGGGGAATGGCTGTGGGTGAGTGCATGCAGGTAAAGCAGCATGAGGGAGGCTGCAGTTGGGGGAGGGCATGGGCAGGCTGGTGTGTGTCTGTAGGGGCCACTCTGCTGCAGCTCTCTGTTGTCAGGTGTGATCTACCAGTACAAGAGCTACAATGTGGGCCCCTAGGAGGTATTTCCTGGACAGCTGAGACTGTACTGCAAGCAAGAGTGGCCAGGCTGGGGTCAGTAAATTGAGGGTTGCTTGGGTTGGAGTGGCCCCATCTCCGAGGCAAGACCATCCTGTAGAGTTCAGGTCTGACAGTTCCCGCTAGGGCTAAAGTCTCTTATGGGAGCAAGTTAAGCCTAGTGGGGTGGCCGTTCCTGGCTGTGCTACACTACAGATGCTCCTGCACCAAACCCTCTGGGCTCCACTCTGGCTGTAGTTCTGCTCCTACCATTTCTCTAAGCAGGTCTCCCTGCCAACTCAAGTGTCTGTGGGGGTCATGGGGTCTCCTCCTGCCTGTATTCCAGAGGCCTTTGGTAAGAGTGGGTTGCTTCTTGCCTGTTCAACTCACCCCTTCCCCAGGAGTTACTGGTGGCCAGGAATGAATCTGGGGGGATGGTAGCTTCATGTATGGTTTCCAGCATTTTCCCCCTTCAGCCCAGCATCTATGTCTTCCCTCTGTCCAGTCTCACTGCCTTCCCTCTGAAATCTGCTAAGAGTGCACCAGTCCTCCTGATGTTCCAGTCCTTCAGTGGCAGAGGATCCCTCTGGCTGTGTCTAGTTGGCAATCTTGCCTCAGAGGGGCTTTTTGCATTTAAAATTAAATCGTTTTCAGCTCAAAACAATCTGTTAAAAGACGTTTTTGTAAGACTCATGATAATCACAAAGCAAAATCCTATAATAGATAAACAAAAAATAGAAAGCAAGGCATCAAAACATACTACTACAGAAAATCACTAAACTACAAAGAGAGGAAGAAAGGTGGAAAGTATCTGCAAAACAACTAGAAAACAATGAACAAAATGGCAATACTAAGTCCTTACCTACAAATAATTACCTTGAATGTACATGGATTAAATTATCCAATTAAAAGACAAAGCATGGCTGGATAAATTTTACAAAACGAGACTCAAGTATATGCTGCCTACATAAGGAAGGACACACATAGACTAAAAGTAAAGGGATAGAAAAAGATATTCCATGTAAATGGAAACCAAGAGAAAGGAGGAATAGTTACACTTAAATTGGATATAAAATAGACCTTAAGTCAAAACCTATAAGAGACAAAGAAGGTCATTATATAATGATAAAGAGGTCAATTTAACAAGAAGATATAACAATTACAAATATACAAGTATCCAACGTTAGAGTACTGAAATAGAGGAAGCAAATATTAATAGATATGAAGGAAGAGGTAGACTCCCATACAGTAATACCAGGGCATTTCAACACCTCACTTTCATCAATGACAGATCACCCAGACAGAAAATCAACAAGAAAACAATGGACTTAAATTACAGTTTAGACCAAATGAACTTAACAGACATGTATGGAACTCTCTATCTAACAGCAGCGGAATACACATTCTTTTCAACTGCACATGGAACATTCTCCAGGACAGATCATATGTTAGGCCACAAAACGTCATAATAAACCTAAAATATTGAAATCATATTACTATCAAGTATATTTTCTGATCACAATGGAATAGAACTAGAAATCAATAAAAGAAGGAGTTTAAATAATTCACACATACATGGAAATTAAACAACATGCTACTGAACAACAAATGGGGCAATTAAAAAATTTAAACATTTCTTGAAACAAATGAAAATGGAAACATAACATACCAAAACCAATGGGATACAGCAAAAGCAGTTCTAAGAGGTAAGTTTACAGCAATAAATGCCTACATCAAAAAAGTAGAAAGATCTCAAATAAACAACCTGATAACCAGCCCTCAAGGAACAAGAAAAGCAAAAACAAACCAAAACCCAAATTAGTAGAAGGAAAGAAATAATAAAGAACAGAGCAGAAGTAAACTGAAGAGACCAGAAAAACAATAGAAAATATCAATGAAACAAAGAGTTGGTGTTTTGAAAAAATACACAAAATTGACAACACTTTGGCTAGACTAAGAAAAAAAGACTCAAATAAATAGATAAAAAGGAGAGATTATAATTGATATCACAGAAATACAAAGGATAAAAGACTATTATGAACAATTATATGCCAAAAATTGGATAATCTAAAAGCAATAGATACATTTCTGACACATACAATCTACAAAGGTTGAATTATGAAGAAATAGAAAATCTGAACAGACCAATAATGAGTAAGGACATTGCATCAGTAATAAAAAGTCTCCCAACAAAAAAAGCCCAAGACTTGATGGCTTCACTGCTGATTTCTACCAAACATTTAAAGAAGAAGTACCAATTTTTCTAAAACTCTTCAAAAAATTGAAGAGGTAGGAATATTACCAAACTCATTTTGCAAGGCCATCATTACCCTGATACCGAAACTAGACTAAGACACAACAACTACAACAAAACTATAGTCTAATATCCCTAACAAACATAGATGTAAAAATCCTAAACAAAATACCAGGGAACAGAATTCAAGAGTGCATTGAAAAAATCATTCACCATGATGAAGTGAGATTCCTTTCAAGGATGCAAGGGTGGTTCAACATACACAAATCTATAAACATGATACATCACATTAAAAGAATGAAGAACAAAAAACATATGATCATTTCAATAGGTGTAAAAAATGATTTCACAAAATATAACAATACTTCATTATAGAAACTCTCAACAAAAAAATATAGAAAGAATGTGTCTCAACACAAATAAAGGCCATATTTGACAAACTCATGGCCAACATTATACAGAACAGGGAAAAGTTGAAAGTTTTCCTCTAAAATCTGAAACAAGACAAGGATGACCACTCTTGCCGCTTGTATTCATTATAATACTGGAAGTTTTAGCTAAAGCAATTAAGAAAATGAAAGAAATAAAAGGCACCCAAATTGGAAGGGAGGAAGTTAAATTGTCCATATTTGGAGATGACTTGATCTATACATAGAAAACCCAACAGATTCTATTAAAAAGCTGTGAGAACTGATAAACAAATTCAGTGAAGTTGCAGGATACAAAGTCAACAAACACAAATCAACATTTCTGTACACTAACAGTGAACTCTCTAAAAAAGACGTCAAGGTAAGGCATGGTGACTTATGCCTGTAATCCCAGTGCTTTGAAAGGCTGAGGTGGGAGGATCACTTGAGCTCAGGAGTTCGAGACCAAACTGGGCAAGATGGTGAGGCCCTATATCTACAAAAAATAAAAAAAAAATTAGCCAAGCATGGTGG
This sequence comes from Homo sapiens, assembly GCF_000001405.40. Lineage (NCBI taxonomy): Eukaryota > Metazoa > Chordata > Mammalia > Primates > Hominidae > Homo > Homo sapiens. The sequence continues at coordinate 68,567,710 of NC_000003.12, read as the reverse complement.
TGTGCACCCGTAGTCTCAGCTACTTGGTAGGCTGATGTAGGAGGATCCCTTGAGCCCCAAAGTGCAAAGCAGCAGTGAACTATGATTGCGCTACTGCCCTCCAGCCTGGGTTAAAAAGTAAGACACTGTCAAAAAAAAAAAAAAAAAAAGTCAAGAAAACATTTATAATAGTTACAAAAAATAAAATTCTTAGGAATAAATTATCAAAGGAGGAGAAAGAGCTCTATACTGAAAATTATAAAACATTGATGAAAGAAATTAAAGACACAAATAAATGGAAAGATATCACATGCTTATAGATTGCATGAATTAACATTGTTAAAATGTCTATACTATCCAAAGCGATGTACAGATTTAATGCTATACCTATTAAAATACCAATGACATTCTTCACAGAAATAGAAAAAACAATTTTAAAATTTATATGGAACAACAACAAAAAAAGACCCTGAATAGCAAAAGCAATCTTGAGCAAAAAGAACAAAGCTGGAGACATTATACTACCTGACTTCAAAATATACTGCAAACCTATAGTAACCAAAACAACATGGCACTTGCATAAAAACAGACACATAGGCAAGTGGAACATAATAGTGAGCCCAGAAATAAACTAATACATTCACAGCCAACAGATTTTTGACAAAGGTGCCAAGAACACATCATGGCGAAGAGACAGTCATGTCAGTAAATTGTGTTGGGAAAACTGGATATCTACATGTAGAAAAATGAAATTAAACCTTTATCTCTTACCATATACAAAAATCAATTCAAAATGGGTTAAAGATTTCAATTTAAGTCCTGAATCTATGAAACTACTCAAAGAAAACATAGGATAAAATCTCCATGACACTTGTGATGTGGACAATTATTTTCTGGTTATGACCTAAAAATCACAGGCAACAAAAGCAAAATTAGACAAATAGGATTACATAAAAAAACACCATTAGAAAAATTAAAAACACACAAAAAATTAAACCTAAAGAAATTAAAAATCCTTTGTTGGTTTCTGTACAACAAAGGAAATAATCAACAGAGTGAAGAGACAACTTACAGAATGGGGGAAAATACTTAGAATCTATACATCTGGTACGGAGTTAATAATATCCAGAATCTAAAAGGAACTCAAACAACTCAATAGCAAGAAAAAAAACCTGATATGAAAAGGAGAAAAAAAATGAATAGACATTTCTCAAAAGAAGACATAAAAATGGCCAACAGTTATATGAAAAAATGCTCCACATCAGCCATCATCAGGGAAATACAAATCAAAACAACAGTGAGATATTCCCTCACTCCTGAAAAATGGCTATTACAAAAAAGATAGAAGATAACTAGTGTTGACAAGGATGTGGAAAAAAGGAAAAACCTGTGCACTGTTGGTGAGAATGTACTTCCATTATGGAAAACAGTATAGAGGTTCCTCAAAAAATTAAAAATAGAACTACTGTGTGATCCAGCAATCCCACTACTGGGTATGTATCCAAAGGATATGAAATCAGTATGTTGAAGAGATAGCTGAACTCCCATGTTTATTGCAGCACTATTCACAATAGCCAAGATTTGGAATCAACTTAAGTGCCCAACAACAGACAAATGGTTAAATAAAATATGTTGTATACATACATAATGGAGTACTATTCAGCCATTTAAAGAGAAGGCAATTCTATCATTTGTGACAACATGGATGAACCTGGAGGACATAGTATTAAGTGAATTAAGCCAAGTACGGAGGAATAAATACTGCATGATTTCATTCATAAGCAGAATCTGAAATAGTTGATCTCATAGAAGTAGAGAGCAGAGTGGTGTCTACCAGCAGCTGGGTTGGTTAGGAGGAAGTAGGGTAGGGAAATGTTGGTCAAGGGCTATACACTTACAGCTAGATAGGAGGAATAAGTTCGGAGATCTATTGTATAATGCAGTGACTATAGTTAATGACAATATATTGTATTCTTGAAAAGTGTTAATAAAGTGGATTTTAAGAGTTCTCACCACAAAAATAATGATAAGAAGTAATTCATTTGTTAATAAGCTAGATTTAGCCATTCCACAATGTGTATATAGATACTCCAATACCTCATGTTGTACATAATACGTATACATAATTTTTATGTCAATTAAAAAATAAATTTGAAAAAAGTATGTGAAGCCCACATTTCACTGTTTTTGGCTAGAGTTGTTATTGTTACATGGTTGTTTATTTTGACTTTATTTAAGTCTACCACATTTAACTGCATTGAATGCCATTCACAATAAATGCTAAAACACAGCTCTAACTATGAGCAAATATCCTACTACAATATGTGAACCACTCAATATTTTCTTATCATACTAAAAAGTGTGAATTAAATTATAAAATAATGAAAAACTAGAAGTTTGAAGTCATTTCAAATGTGGTGAATCTTCACCAGTGCATAAAATTTTTCAGTGATTGTGAAAAACATCAGAGTGGTTTAAGCCTTGAAGCTTTCACCCAATAACCAAAAAAGGGCCCAAAACAAACAAGCATAGCTAAGCATTTCATCCTGGAAGCAGCTTACTGAATTAATAAGACAAGTCAATTAATGTAATGCTCTGTTGCTTCAGGATAAAACATGAAAATGGAAAAATGTGAACTGTTTACCATATTGGGATCAAGCAACTAGGAAGACTCTGAACAAAACATCTTCCCTTCTCTAATTATTAAAGAAGAACTCAACATGGCTTCTGCCATGGATTGAGTTGTATTACCCCCAAATTCATGTGTTGAAGACCTAGCCCCCAGGGTGACTGTGTGTGCTCTTTCTCTCTCTTTCTCTGCCATATGAGGACAGAGTGAGAAAGCAGTCATCAACCAGCCAGGAAGAAAGCCCTTGAGAGATAAAAAATTGGCCAGTACCTTAATCTTGGACTTCCCAGCCTCTGGAACTGTGAGAAAGTAAATGTCTGTTGCTTAAGCTACTTAGGCTTTGGTGTTCTTATTGGCAGCTTGAGCCAACTTATATGGCTTCCCATAGCTTTCTGGAGAGGAGTACCCTGGAGAGGAGGTTATAGTGGGCACTGAATGGGCATTCAGCAAGCTATCTCTTTTCCCTTCGAGGTGTACAAGTGGACTTTTTTTTTTTTTTAAACCAGCTTTCCCTACAGTTAGGTGGGGCCATAAGCCAGAGTTCTGCTTAGTGGAATGTGGGCAGCTGTATTTTATACCACTTCCAAGCCTGTTCTTTAACATCTCTGGAGTGGTCCTCTGAGCTTGCTCTCTCTTCTTTGCTGGCTGATAGGAAGCAGAGGCTTCGTGGAAGGTTTCATAGGCCCTGAAATGTAGAAACCTCTCAGGTATTTTTAGCTTGGAATCCAAGGACCCCTTAGTCTATGGATAAAATTCAAGGAGTTCAACCATTTTCTAAGCTTGGTTACAAAATTCTACATCTGTATTTTCAGGAGGCTCTAACTTGATTTTAGCACTTCCTTCTATTATGAATGTAGGCAAATCACCACCATGCTATTACAAGTACCTGTGACTTTGTCACCTAGAGAAATTACAGATTTTTCATATCCCATTATAGTTGTTGTGGATATTTCAAAGTATTTTTACCCTCAAGACTCCTTAAAAATTATGATACTTATGAAACTTGCTGCTAGGTTTTGTTATTTAATACTTTAATAATGAAGCATGTATATTACTACATATTAAATTTGTTTTTAAATAGTTTGATCACTGAGTTTTAATATAATTTTCTTTAAATCCCATGAATTTTATTTTATGCATTTTAAAACTACTACTGTGCAAAAGTATTGACAGACAACACCAGACTGCCCAGTATCCAAGGCAGAAAGAGGTTAAGAATTTTGGAGTCAGATGGAAGGAACCTGTGTCAGTGTTACATGGCGGGGGGAAATAAACATTTGTTGGGTTAACCTACTGAGACATCAAATATGTTTTTTATATTTGTTAGTCTTCCTCTAAAACATGGGTTGGCAAACCTTTTCTGTAAAAAAAACCAAACAGATAGTAAATATTTGGGGCTTTGTGGGACTCACAGTCCCTGTTGTAATTATTTAACTCTGCCATTGCAGAGTGAAGGCAACCATAGATAATACATAAATGAGTGCACTTGGCAGTGTTCCAGTAAAACTTTATGTATAGACACTGAAATTACAATTTTATAGAATTTTGACATGTCACTAACTGTATTCTTTAAAAAAATGTTTCCCAATAATTTAAACATATAAAAAATATTCTTACCTCAGAGGCCATACAAAAGCAGGCAGTCGCCAACCTCTGATCTGAGACATGGGTCAGGTTATCCTTTGGGGAAGGGTTAGGGAGTGTCATTGTGGTTGACTGTTGAACTTTCTGGATGATTCAATTCCAAAACATATCCTTACTGGCTATGTCACTTAATAGCAATCTGAAGCAATTCTGTGTTGTCTAATCTTCCTAAATCCAAATCCTAACACTGTGTACGCTTAGTTTAGAATAGTGGTTCTCTGGCTTGGCTGTGCTTTAGAATAACATATGACACTTTAAAAAGAAATATTGAAGTCTGGGACTCACAATGTACCCATTAAGTCAGAATCTCTGGGGTTTGGGACTCAGGCATTTTTACAAAGCTCCCCAGCTGATCTCATGCAAAAGAATATTAGTATAGATGTGCTGAGGCTAAAGGTGAACAATTGTCCTGTGTCCCACAGTGGGGGCAATGAATAAAAATAGAGATTTCTTCTTTCACCATCTTGGACTTCAATTTATTTCATTTCTATTAGGTTGAAAACAGCACTTATCATTTTGGTTAAACAAATATAAAACATCTCCTCTCTTCTAACACATACCATGTCATCAGGCTAGAGCTGTTACCAAATATGAATGACTAGCGTGTAACCTCTTGCCCAGAGTTTAAAAACTGTTGTTTAGGGAATGGTTTTTGCTGTCTGTCTCCTTTTCTTTTTTCTTTTTCCCTTTTTTCCTTCTCAGCCTCATTTCCTCCCTTTCTTGTTCCTTCCCACCCATATTCCCTTCCAACATACTGAGAACCTACTATGTGCCTCCTAGGTACTTTTCTGGATGTCCTGAGATTTGTTTCAGTTTGTCTGTACATTGTCTTAAAATTTTTACATTATTTTCCAGCATCTAAAAATAGGAAGATTTCATAGAAAAATTAGTGGAGATGGTGATCCTGTACATTTCCACATGGTGACAATCAGGTGCATCTGAGTAACAGGATTCTTTGACACTGGGTTCTTTCTGCTTAGCTACAGTTCTACCCCTTCCGAATGTCTCATATGCACCTACATTTCTCATGGAACTGAAATTCTTCAGCCTTTAGAAATTTGAGCTGTGGCCCCTTAGGTAGCCCAGTTCTTTAAAAAAATATTCTACAGTCTGCACTTTTACTCTCACCCTGCAACTAAGTGCCAAATTCTCAGATGAAAGTACACTCTTCTGCTATCATCCATATCGGAGGTCTGCAAACTATGGCTCCTACACCAAATCTGGCTTGCTGCTTGTTTTTGTAAACAATTTTGTAATTAAGTTGTATCAGAATACAGCCCTGTCCGTTTGTTTATGTATTGTGTATGGCTCTTTCACATATTGATGGCAGAGTTCAGTAGTTTCCTGCAAAGTCTAAAATAATTACTATCTGTTCCTTTGCAGAAAATACTTTCTAACCTACGATCTAGACTTTTGGTGTAAGACAGTTGTGCATCAAGACATCTGTTACAACCTGGCTGATTTCAATTTTAGCTTTTCATTCAGATGTTTCATATTGTTGTGGTATCAACTTAATTTCTTGTAGCACAAACCAGAGGCCCCTTTCTATTAGAAGGGACCAGCTTTAGTAAGAGGAAACAAATGTAGAAAGAGGTTATTGGCATCTGTTATTCTTTTGCTAAAATACTTTTGCCTTGATGTTAATTTGAATCATGCTTATTATTTTTTTAGTCAATTGTTTCTTTAAACAGTCATTAGGTGAAATGTTTTATTTCATCTTATTATGTAAATTTTGTTACCTTGCTTGGAGAACAAAATCACTGCTTTACTCTTCAGCAAATTCCCACTTACTCCCAATTGCATTGAACCCTACAATGTAATAGGAATGGTGATGGAGGAAAGAAGCTAATGGTTTCAGAGCATTTGACCATTTTGAACACTACAATTGCAGCTAATCTACTTGAAATATGCTTAAGATATTATGCTCATTTTATGTCTCCAGCCAGCGGGGAAAAGATCTAGTTTATTGGGTTAGAGCCAAATGTCCAACAGTGGTAAGACACATATCAAAGTTCCTAATCTTTTTCAGGAAAAGATTGTCTGAAAAAAGAATCATTTAAAAACTCTTTTCTTTCACCTTCTTGGTACATTTGCTCAAACAACTGACTAGAGTTTGTTAAAATAAAATTTTCTCTCTGTAAAATGCTGACTTGCAACACTTTCTTAATCTTTCTCCATCCTGGAGAATGGACTTTTTGTTGAGCTTTATGTACTGGGTTCCAAACAAGAGAAAATATAACATAATATATAATTCACCATGGTAGCCTGTAGCATGAAAATGTTCTACAGGAAGGGGTATCAATGTTCTTGTCATTCCACATTTGTTTTGTCAAGTACCTAACAAGTGCCTAAGACTGTTCTCAAGTATAAAGGAATAATAAAAAATAATAAGCATGAGGAAAATGTGGCTTAGCTTTATTAAGATACAATGTTAAGAGCCCTGAAATTGGACCTGATATCTCATCACAGCTTTACTATCAAGAAGCCCTGGTGACACAGGCAGAGTGGCTTCAATTATCTGAGCTGTGTGTACTCTTCTACAGAATGTGGACACCACCATCTATCACCCGAGAGCTGACTGCCAATGTTATTTTTACTTTGGAGATGACCAAATAAAATGATAGAGCATTTGTACTCTGTAAAGGACTCTACAAAGGAAGGGAGTTTTTAATGTGCTGCTCAGGAAGACCTTGAAATTTCTACCGGAATTTTTTTTGTAGTTTTCTTTTATAAGTCCTTGGCAAGACCTCAGTAAGTTTCAATTGGCTGAAGATGGGGCAATTTGAGCATCAGTAAGAATAATACGTGCAAAGGAGAGAAATGCATCAAATATGTTTACTTCCATAAAGTAATTATCATACTAAAATATTCGTTAGCTTCTTTCAAGGTTGCTGGTGAAAGAATTCCATATTTTGAAAGCTGATAAACCAGGAGAACCAAGCATTTATCATGCCTTCTTATAAAATCTGTACCTCTGGATAACGATGTGAGAAAATTTCTCTTTAGAGAAGTATTCGGCTAACGAACAAAGGAAGAATGATAAAATTTAAAATATCATCCTTTGTAACTGCTAAAATATTAGTGTATCTGAGAAGTTGTCATCAATGGCTGATAATGTCATGAAAAGAGACAACCAGACACTATGTGCCTCTACAAGGAAATACACATCTCCACCTATGAAGTCTCGCCCGAAAAAACAAAGAACAAAAAAATACAATGTAAATCTGATCAAGCCTTTAGATTTAACTACTAATTTATAGAAAATTCAAGAGACAGAGGAACATTTTAAACAACACCATGGGGATGTTATCAACAAAATGCAGACTTTGGGAAAACTTCAGAGAGCAGAGACAATTCACTTCTTAAAAATTTTTTCAAAGAAGAAAAAAAGAAAGGCAGAAAGGAAACATATAAATTAAAATGGACATTAAGAGACATATCAATCAATTATAATATATGGAACTTATTTGGACTCAAGCAATTTACTGAAAAATTGTAAGACAGTAGACCATGGGAAATATCACTGACTTGGTAGTTGATAGTATTAATAATGTATTGTTAATTTTTTATTTGTTTTGATAATTGTATTATGGTTAAGTTTGAGGAAAATGGCTTATTTTTTACAGATACAGTGTGATATATTTACAGAAGATATAATTTGCTTTAAAATAATCTGAGGTTGGGAACTGGGTGGGTATATGGATGAAACAAGATGGGCCATGTACTAGCACTTGTTGAAACTGAGTGATGAGTACAGAAGAGTTATTACACAATTCTATCTACTTTTAAGTTTGAAAATTTGGATTTTCTCTGTTCTGTAAAGTTTTCCCAAAGTCTGCATTTTGTTGATAACATCTCCATGGTGTTGTCTAAAATGTTCTTCTGTCTCTTGAATTTTCTGTAAGTTAGTAGTTAGATCTAAAGGCTTGATCAGATTTACATTGTATTTGATCTGTTCTTTGTTTTTTTTAGGCAAGACTTCTTTATAGGTGGAGATGTGTATTTCCATCGAGAAGCACACAATGTCTGGTTGTCTCTTTTCATGACATTGTCATTCTGTCTACTTTTATGTGTGATATTTTCCATAATTAAAAGTTAAAAAACGTGAAGCAAAAGAGTTCCAGTATGAAACTATGGTAATGAACATAGGGATCCTCCTGCATGTTCAGGGGTTTTGGCCTGGGAGCTGGCAGTTCTAATAGCAGATAGGGCAGAGTGAAAGCCTAAATGAGTCACTTTTCTACAGATTATTAAATAATGTTGGGATCAGTCAACTTTGAAACCCATAAAACTTTAAAGCTGCCTCAGTAAAATTCATCTCTCTCTCTCTTTCTCTCTCTCTCTCTCTCACACAGACACACATTTCAAATGTCATTAAAATCTGTAAAAAATCTCAGAAGTTATAAAAACCAACATAATGACCACCAATTTTATCCCCACTGAAAGACTATCCCCAAAATAGACTTTTAGTCTATCTTGAGTTTCTTTAATAGTGTGCTCAATCTGACCCGAATCTATTATTCTTTTTAGATATAAGCTTAAACCAGTGTGAAAAGCTGAGTGGTCAAGTTGAAGGCTAGACTTCATTTTATTCAAAGAGGGAATTAATTGTATGTTCAGATTAAAATATTCAACAAAAAGGAGTTTTTATTTCCAGTTGTAGAATTCACAGTGCTTCTGTTAAGAGGTCAAATGGAATTATCATAGAAAAACACAAGACATGTCTCTAATCCTACTATGGGATTTTAAAATCTTCACTCGATGTTTAGAATAAAGAATGACATTTTTGAATAAAATACATTCCTTTCCTCTCTCTTTGGGACTACGGTCAATGTTTAAACTTAATGATTGTTTCATTAAAATCCCATCCCACAAGTAAAAGTGATTCACAGGAGGTTACAGAAGGCATTCTTGCAGTGATATCAGCCAGTGGCCAGCAGGCTGGGATATCAACTTTGTGAAAGTCTGCGCTACATTACCCATGTCTTCTAGGATACTCTGGGGAGATATTTTATTTTGGAAAAAAAAATGAAGTATTTTAAGAATTTTAGATTTTCCTTGAAACCATTGGAGACATCCCTGTGTATGCCAAAACTTGGTTTCAGAATCACGGACTTAGATCCTTGTTTTAAGTCTTCAGTACTTGGAAGGGGCCAATTACTGAAAATAAAAACTGGAAAGATTGTTTGCTGTTTTTGGTGACACCAGTAGTCCACAGTGCTTCTATAATTCTGCAAGCACTCTGCTACTAGGTTTTGCATTTGAAGCCCTTCCCATGCCTTGAGGCCCTCTTAGCTGCTATTTGTTTGTTTGAGACAAAGTTTCAATCTTGCTGCCCAGGCTGGAGTGCAATGGAGCCATCTGGCTCACTGCAACCTCCACCTCCCAGGTTCAAGCGATTCTCCTGCCTCAGCCTCCAGAGTAGCTGGGATTACAGGTGCTTGCCACCAAGCCTGGATAATTTTTGTATTTTTAGTAGAGACAGGGTTTCACCATGTTGACCAGGCTGGTCTTTAACTCCTGACCTCAGGTGATCCACCTGCCTTGGCCTCCCAAAGTGCTGGAATTATAGGCGTGAGCCACCATGCCTGGCCCTTACCTACTGTTTTAAATGAAAAATAAAAAATTAAATATTTGAGAAACAGGAAAACATCTAGCTTGGAATCTTTTTTGTGTTTTTATCCTCTGCCTTGAAGCACATTGCTGAACTTTTCCTCTTTGAGAAACATATTTTTGAACCTTAAGGGATATTGCAAATTCTCAAAAATACTGCACATCCTAGTCATATTTATTTAGAAAAATAACTCAGAATCCTGCAAATATTGCATAGATTACTGCACAAGAAAACATGCCACACTGCTATCTTAAAAGTTGGGATGAAATATGACAGATAGACAGGTGAGGGGACCAAGTCACACAACTAGGACAGTCCTTGAAGTGGTCTCTAAGGGGTGAAAAGTCGTGGCTATTTGTCAGTTTAGAAATCCAGGGAATTGTACTACAAACTATTTATACATTTTGGTTATATTTGCATGCATGCTGCCAGGGCCATGGTTCTCAACAGGCACAATACCTAAATCTAAAAATACCTTTGAGGGCCACATGGAAATTTGTGCAATGATTTCTTGGTTGTTACAGCAGTTGTGGGATGCTGCTACTATGTGGTAGGCTGGGAGAAGTGCTATATGTCCTGAAGTGTACGATGTATTTCTGCTCAAAGAAGAATTGTTGTCCCACTGAATTGTTAATGTCTCATTGAATATTAATGTAAGTGAAAAACCTGCTCATAATGATATAAGCCCAGAAATGAACTCAGTTTATAAAAAGTAATTTTTAAAACTTCAGACATAATTAACATTCCATAAAATTTACTCTTTTTAAGTGGTCTATAATTTGGTGGTTTTCAGTATATTCATAAGATTGTACAACGATTACCAGTATCTAATTCCAGAACATTTTAGTCTCCAATTAGCAGTCACTCCCTCATGTCCCCCTTCTTTCTAGCCCTCAGAAATTAAATTACTTCTGTCTCTATAGATTTACCTATTCCAGACATTTCATATAAATGGAATCATATAATATGTGACCTTTTGAGTCTAGCTTCTTTCACTTAGCATAAGGTTTTCAAGATTCATCCATGTTGTAATATGTATCAATATTTCATCCCTTTTTATGCTTGAGTAATATTTTATCATATGAATATGTCCTAGTGTCTTTTATCCGTTTGTCAATTGATGGATGCTTGCATTGGCATTATTTTGATTTATGTTAAAATTACCCAGGAATGCAACTATCATGTAAATGGGGGAAAAATTGTACTCTTTTGTTCTCAATTTTACTAAGAATCAGTTATCATTTTAGAAAAATCATGTCAGCAACAGTAGCCTGGCTTGTGGATTTGAATCATCAATAAAACAACTTGTTTTTATTTACAATGTTGTATTCTTGAGTTTATATCTACACACCTACACCCATGTGCACACGTATTTTTACTTAGCTTGTATTTTAAAATATAAAACATAATATGGCAACTGTATCTAGGTAAATTTACTTCCCTTAAATCTAATACTTACTCATTATAAATATGTACACAACTCTATATCATTATGTCTTCTGGCATTATGTGCCAGACTATTTACAAATTAAAACAAACATTTTAAAACAGATTTTCTTATATTTCTCCTTTATCTCACATTTGAGAGTTACACTGATTTTTCTGAATTACATATATAGGGATGTTATACTATTTATTAATTTCATTTCGAGAGAGTAATTTCACTTCTGTTATCAAAAGGCAGTATTAGATCTTGTAAAGTTGACAATCACTGTATTAGGGCAAGACTGTGGTGAGATTATCTTTGTGAGAACTGTCCCTCTGACATAGGCTACACATTTCTTCAGTAGTATTTGTATGCACATAGGCATTGTTTAGCTCCTCAGGGTATTTGAGACAAGTGATTTGTATATTTCTGTTGAACTCTGCAAATTTGCCACAATGACAAATTAATTAACAATGGCCATTGCACCTTTGAGTTGGAGGTGACTATTCCTATTTAAAAATTTTCCCTGAAGTAAGAAACACAAAATTTGTAATGAGACAAAAAAAAATCTGGTGTCTTCTTTTTAGACATTGCTGAAAAGATTGTTGAGATCTTAAATAGCATGTTAAAGCTGGAATGCAAAATAGAGTTGAGAGATTTTTGTCTAGATGAATTTTCATTAATTGCATATCCCTTAACTCATATGTTATTGCTTTATAAAGCTAGTATATAATTAGATGATATCTACAAATCTGATAAAGCATTATCTGTAAAGGTAGTGGTGAGATCTCTGGCTAAAATATTAAGTTACTTATTCAATTTTACATTTTTGAACCAATTCATGCCTTCAACCATTTTATAGTTTTGGCCAATTTACATCTCACCTATTTGTATTTGGTCTGCTTCCCTGTTATCAAACTCTTGGCAGGTTCATCTTTGCAGTTATAGTTATATCTGATTGAACATCTCTGAAGTCTTTCTGCCAGTCTCCATAAAAGAGGCCATTGGTTTATTATAAAATTCCTATGACTCCAAGTCCTTTCCATTATCATCCTATTACTGATGTAACTGACTAATTAGAGATGGAGCTGGCTTGCCTCGAGTGGCTTACTTACTCTGAAGAAACAGATGCCATTGAAATTGGTTAAAAAAAAAAAAGAAAAAAGAAAAAGAAAAGAAAAAAAGAAAAAAAAACACCCTGTTTTTGCCAGTAAGCAATGCTGTTAGACAGTTAAGGGATATCTGTATTTCTGAACAAAGCAACCTCCTTATAGATGGTATGAGCTGCTCTTCTGAATCTAGAATTCATTGTGTCAAAAGAATCTGGCATTAGAGAGTATCTCTAATTTCATTTTCATTATACAGATAATGAAGCAGGCTCAGAGAACCACAAATTCTGGGAAAGAAAAGACTGTATAGGCATGAATCCTTCTACAACATTCCTAACGGTTCTGCCAGTCTATGTTTGAACACCATCAATAACAAGAAACTCACTACCTACCAAAGAAAGTCTGCTGGGTGGTTCATTCTTATATTAAACTGAAATGTGTTTGGCTATAAATTCCATGCACTCTTTAAAAATTAATTAAATTCCTTTTCTAAATGACAGACCTTTAATTACTTAAATGCAGCTCACTTTCTTGATCCACTTATTGTTTTTCCATGAATCTGAACACTGCGTTCTTAGACTGTGTCTAATCATCACAGCTGCTTTTGTTTGCTTGTCTAGTTTACTTGAACTTGCTTCAACCATGCAAGGTAGTCAATGGCCATTTTGAACGTAGATCACCTGCAAAATTGGTCTGCATGCCATGCCAATGCCCTCTTTCACATAGTTGATAGTAAAACATTGCATAAGACATAGTCAGGACAGAACCCAGGATTCTGCTACGAGAAATCTTTCTCCAGCATGTGATTAGTCCATGAATTAAAAACATTTAAATATGGCTATTCATTAAGATTATGAACCTACACAACGTTTTACGAATGTCCAGACTTCTCCATAATAGGCCAGGGGTCAGCAGACTTTTTTTTATAATGGATCAGATAGTAAATATTTTATGCTTTCAGTGCCTTAAAGTCTCCGTTGCAGCCATTCTACTAATATCGTTGTGCAAAAGCAGCTATAGCCAGTATGTAACAAATGGTTGTGTTAGAATAAAACTTTATTTTTAAAAAGTCAGCAGGCCAGATTTAGTGTAAGAGCCAGTTTGCCAATCTCTGGTCTGGACTTGAACTTTCCTAAATTCTAGATGTATTATGTCCATCATTTAAAAACTTAATCCTTCAGACTAAACAATGAGGCCAATGGAAAAGGTGTCTGACATGATTTTTTTCTCAGTGAACTCAAGCTGGCCTCTAGTGATTACTGTTTCCCTAATTATTCATAAAAATTCACTTAAAGATACATTCTAGAATATACCTCAGGGTCACTAGTCCACAGTTTTCAGAATCTACTTATGTTTTAAAATAATTATAACTATACTTAACTTATTCTAACTTCTGGCACCTCTCCTTGGTGCCTCAAAATTCCTTAGCATTGGTGTGGCACTATTTCGATAGTTTTTTTTTTTTCTTTCTGGTTTTAGGAATGTAGTTCTTATGCAGGGAGTGATATACAGGACCTGGCTCTTACTGGCTTGTGAGAGCCGGCTGTGTACATCTCTTCCCAACTCCACACTGGTATCTTGAAACCAGCTGTAGTGAGAGGATTTACACCACAGGAATCAATAGATGGTACAAATCAAGGCTTTCCCTTTCCCTGTGTCATGCATCCTGGGTAATTCAATCATTGAGGAGAGCAAGATGCTGTCTTATAAATCTCTTCCCCTATCTTGGGTTTATTTTTCTCTTGACACTATTTCTTCTAGGCATTTTAGCAGAAACAACATAGTTGCTTGAGAAAAATCTGAATTCTCTATCACCTACACATTATTGGATTCAGGCAGTAGGTTTGTCCCTTCCTTGTTTTTCTTGCTTGGAACTTAACTACAAAAAGCTCTTTAGGTTGCTCTTAGCATTTTTGGGAAGCCATAAGTTACTGGGGGAATTTAACTTTCCTTAGTATGTTCTTCCAGGTTTCTGTCATTCTTATATATAGTCCTTCTTGATGGTTTGCTTTTGCTAAATCTTTTGCCAATGTCTTTTAAAATTCCAAACTGTTTCTTTAGCTAGCTTACCATATTTCCTCATTGTTCTCATTTGCTCTTGCCTGCATAGGATGCCAGTTCTAAGAATTGATTTGAGAAATTTAAGTGACTCCCTCAGTTAGGACTAAAAATTAGGACTCTTTTAACCCAATGCATTTACTGGGATGCTATGTTTTATTTAACATTCAGTAAAAGAAGATACTGGGATTAAGAGAAAAATTTGAAACCTTCTCATTCATAATTCAATTTGAACTTTGTTCACTGACAGTGAGGCTAGGTCTCATGGGAGTAGACTGAATCAGATGAAACGAAAGCTTTCTCTCTATGAATAACCTCTAAAAGACTCAGCATAGTCTTATTCTTGTTTATCAAGATGGGCTTAGATAGTTCGGTCCACTGAATGGCAACTGATTGATATAGCTGAGGCTTGAATCTAAGTCATCATCTCCTCCATGAAAGGAATAGTATTATTGACTGCTCTGTCCTTAGGCTTTGACATGGTAAGTCTTCCACGTACATTACTAAATACCACAAAAACATCCTTACTGGTCCTCTCAGTTTACTTGGGTGCCCTTCAATCTGTTCTCCATTTTGAAACCAGAGTTGTCATCTTAAAAGCTGCCTTAGGATTTTATTTGAAAGATGAAGCCAGGAAGCACTGATAAGGAAGTAAGGATATAAGACAGGAAATTAAGGGAAGCCAATAAAGTGTGTGTTTATGGGCAGGCTGCAGCTTTGGGTAACTTGGGCTCAGTCTTATTTGGGAATTCTTAAATGCTGAAGAGAACTGTGCAGTACAATATGATAGCCACTGGATGAATGTGGCTTTCTAAATATAATTTTAGGTTAATTAAACATTTAAAATTAAATAAAACTAAAAATCAGTTTCTGCATTGCAACTGCCACATTTCAAGTGCTCAATAGTTCCACGTGCCAATTGGCTACCACATTGGATAGCTCAGATACAGAATATCTTCACATTGCAGAAAGTTCCACTGGGTAGCCCTGATGTGGAGCATACCTCAGTGTTGCCCACCTGGGAGCAAGGGAGCTGGAAATTTATATATCAGCCTTATTTGTCAATGGTTGCTCTCCTAATTCCCTGACATATCTGGTTTGCCCTGCACGTATAAGGGAACAAGGACAGAATATGGATAGACACCAATAGCATCTGCTGCAAGTATAAATCAGATTGTGTCACTCTTGGCTTAAAAATCCTTTTTCATGGCTTCCTGCTACAAATCAGATAAAACCCACACTCTTTATCATGCCCTACATGGCCCCATAATCTGACTTCAAGGTTACTTCCCCAGTCTCATGCCACTTTGCTCTCAATTACTCTGCTTTCAAATCAAACTGAAGAGACTTTCTGTAAGTTTCACAAACACATTGAGTTCTTCCTTGGCTAGGGCAGTGGCACATACTAATTTGTCCACTTGAAACACCCCCACTGGTTCACTCCCACTCCCCCTCAGCTCTCTGCATCGTTGTATCTTGCTATCCTCTAGTTCTCAGCTAAATGCCACCTCCTCCAGGAGATGTTCCATGGTCATCTTACCTAAAGTTAGCATTTCCCTCCCATTGTTTACTTCCTTGGCTTGTTCTGAATTTCTTTTGTATCATGATTTTTAATTATTTGTTTACTTTTGTTTTTGTCTGTTTCCTCTAGAACAATGTAAGCTCTGAAGTCACCCCCAGTATCTAGTAGTGTTCCTAACACATAGTAAGAACTCAACAGATATTTGTTTATTGAATGAATGAGTGAATTAATGAACAAAAAAAGTCTTTACCAGTGAAGTGGGTGTAAGAGAGGGCATGAAAGGTCACACCTCTGCAGTATGCAGGGTTATGTGTGAATCTGCTTGGACAGTTAGCCTGAATGACAAAGGGGCTGAGTGTGAGGGAAAGAGTGGCCTGGCCATGGCATTGTGTGTAGTTGCTGATCATGGTCTTACACACCAGATGGCACAAGTCATTAGCAACTCAACTTCTGAATTAACACTCTGGACACCAGCAGGGTGCATTCTCCAACACGCTATTACTTGCTTATGTCAATGGTGTCACTCAAGTGTGGGTTATACCAGCATTTTACAGTGGCTTAAAAACACTGTCTAGCAGATGGAGA
This sequence comes from Homo sapiens, assembly GCF_000001405.40. Taxonomy (NCBI): domain Eukaryota; kingdom Metazoa; phylum Chordata; class Mammalia; order Primates; family Hominidae; genus Homo; species Homo sapiens. Next base: position 68,551,144 of record NC_000003.12, on the reverse strand, counting down.
ATTCTACAAAGTTGAGAAAGCATCTGTCTAGTCTTCCAGGTTTCTAGAAAAGGAATATGAAATAAAATTTTGGTTATTTTTGCTAAGTTTGTCTGTCTTGAGTGGAGCGAGCAGAGACACAGGGAGCACCTAGGTGACACCTTAGTAATTTGAGAATAACACAGTAACAGTTCTCTGGGAATAACCATTGCTTATCTACTGCTTTATATTTGTATAACATTCCCACTTTCTCCATTTCTCTAATCCTCCCATAACCTTTAAGTCTTGTATAATGATTTCCATTTTACATGCAAAAACTCTGGGAGAGAGGTTGCAAGCTTTTCTGGGTTGAATTTTTAAATGGAAGGCAAGGACCTGAATCTCTGAGGAGTTCTTTTCAATACACACAGTGCCTTTTAGGTGTGAGATGTAAAGGGGAGAAGAGAGGAGAAAATGTGATAGTGGTGAGATGAGCGGTGGGGGAGGGGGTGAGAAACCTTGAAAGCTTCTCAGTATAGCCATCTCGGGAGGAGTCAGATTAGGATCCAAACACAGCAAGAACTCACATGGAGTCCAGGTATGAATGTAGACAGCAGCAGGAGTCATGAAATGATTTTATGTGACTCAATATAGAATCAGAGGGGGAGGCCATTTTTATTGGGCAGCCAGTACCTAGCATTGAGTAGATGTACAAGCATCTCGGGACTTTTTGCACTAACTGATAGGCTCTGGCAACCTTATACTGCTTCCTTTTGGTCCCCAATGTTTGCTCCTCCACTAGCTTGGTTACCCCAAAGTTGGAGCTCATGGAAATGTAATAATTTTACTCCATTCTAGGAGAGAGGTTGGCTCCTTTTTGCAACCCTGACATTTCATGCAGTAGACGACAACTGATGTGCCCACAGCATCCTCAGTGGCATAGGTAAGACAGGCTATAGGTTGTGTGTAATTGCCTGCAAACTAGCCTTTTCTGCCACTTTTTCTACCACCAGAGGAATCCCATGAAAATGCAAATATATGAGAATAATATAATTTTGGGCCAGATTTAACAAAATTCCAATGGGTTATAAATATATGAGATTTGGACATTTCATATTGTGACATTGTGAAATATATTTTTGATTTTCAACATGGTTCCCTGGCATACAACTCTTAAACTCCTTAGAATTTCCAAGTGATGTCTTTTTATATGCTAACGAGCTGACTGATGATGGCTGGCTGCTTCTATTAGCTTTAGGATAGGGGCTGGTCTCTGGAAGGACCATCTATCCTAAAAGATTAGATCCAAGGCAGGATTAGAGGGTTGGGACTTCAGCCCCACCCAAAACATCTAGGGAGGGGACAGGAGCTGAAGGTTGACCTGATTACCAATGGCCAATGATTTTGTCAATCACGCCTATGTAAAGAAGCCTCCATAAAAACCCAGAAGGACAGGGTTTGGAGAGATCCTGGACAGACGAACACGTGGAGGTCCTGGAGGGTAGTGTGCTCAGGGAGGGCATGGAAGCTCAATACCCCTTCCTATACTTCATACTATGCATCTTTTCATCTATATCTTCTGTACTGTCCTTTATAATTAATTGGTAAATAAAAGTAAGTGTTTCCCTGCATTCTATCAGTCACTTTAGCAAATTAATAGAACCCAAGGAGGGGGTTGTGGGATCCTCAGTTTGTAGCCAGTCAGTCAGAAGCACAGGTAAAACAACTTGGGGCTGTGACTGGCATCAGAAATGGAGGCCAGTCCTGTGGGACTGAGCCTTCAACCTGTGGGATGCGACATTATCTCCAGGTAGATGTGTCATAATGGAATTGAATTAGAGGACATCCAGCTGGTATTCACTGCAGAATTGCTTGCTTCGTGTGCGGGGAAAAACTCCCACACATCTGGTCACAGAAGTCTTCTGTGTTGATTGTTGTATGGTGTGGGAGCAGAGGAAAAATATTTTGAGTGTGTTTTTGTCCACATTCATATACCAGCATCTGAATTTCTGGATAGTCCTAAAAATAAGTCAGAAGAATGTGGACATATGGCTCCTTAATGAGCAGCATTAAGCATGGTGCCATGCGTGGCAACAATAGGCTGAGATCAAATTCTGGCTACTAGTGCCCTGCAATGTGCCAGGGTTTCTACCTTCATCTTGGTATTTTAGGCACTGTAGGTGGCCCTGCTTAACTAACTTTTGTTACCTGGCTAGCTTCTGTAGGCTTATGTGCCTTTTAGGCCATGTTTGAGAACTACCCTTGAACCAATTATAATGCCTTTAAAAATTTATTCACAGTCAGCTGGGCCTGGTGGCTCATGCCTGTAATCCCAGCACTTTGGGAGGCCAAGGCAGGCAGATCACAAGGTCAAGAGATCGAGACAATCCTGGCCAACATGGTGAAATCTTGTCTCTACTAAAAGTACAACAATTAGCTGGGTGTGGTGTTGCACACCTGTAGTCCCAGTTACTCAGGAGGTTGAGGCAGGAGAATCGCTTGAACCCAGGAGGCAGAGGGTGCAGTGAGCTGAGATTGTGCCACTGCACTTCATCCTGGTGACAGAACAAGACTCTGTCTCAAAAAAAAAAAAAAAAAAATTATTCACAGTCTTTCTGAAGAAGCCATTTCCAACCCATTCCATGATCTATGGCCAATATCCATGTGCCATGGCCTCATGGCTGCAATACACCGTCTTATGGAAAATTTGGCTGCAAGTTTTCTTCATAGCATGTCAGTCTATTCTTGGGTTATAGCTTCTCTAAGCAGGTGGGAATCAGGGCTGGATAAACATTGCCTGGTCTATCAAAGTCAGTTAGGGCTGGGATCCTGGCTTTCATATTTGGTAACCAATTATTATTTCTTTTAATGATGTAACTAGCTACCAGAATGAGAGCTTAAACTTTTTGAAAATGAAGCAAACTACCTAAGTAAATAAACAAATGAGAGCCACTTGTGTACCAATGATGTGAGCATGTCATGACATCCATTGATGTGCCCTGAGCTCTTTCACAAGGAAAAAACAATCCTGACCTATTCAACCTCAAATCTCTAAACCTTTAATAGGGGATATAGTAAGAGGAGTGTATGTACAATTAATGGCCTCATCTTTAATTTAAAGTGTGAACCTGATTCTATTTCATCACTTTTGTATTATTCCCATGGGTAGTATGAAATAAGATTCCATTACTGCTCCCACTAGTACTGAGTTCTCACATTCCAGAGTAGTGCCTTTTATCATGTTTTCTTGTATTTATAAACTAGCTGGAGATGGCTCGAGCCCTACAATTCACTAAACACGCAGTCTTTTATTTAGAAGGTAGACAGCTCACAAAAAGACATGACACACTTCTTTGTCAAGAAAACTCTAATAGCTTTTGAAATGGGGCTGTCAAGCTTAATTAAAAGAAAAAGTCATACTATGACATGATATTTAACCTCCCAGGGAAGCAGTGTGTGCCTTGTGCAGGTGAAGAATGTGGTGGATCTCCTCAGATAAACAATTTTTATGCCTTCCATAACTTACTGTATCAGTGACAATGGCAAGGTGGTATAATATACTGTATTATAAAACCACTGTATTGCTTTGTGAAAGTTATACTCAATTTGATCAAAAAAACATGTTGAATTGTGTCTCGGTGAAAACATTCTTCATCATTCTACAATGTAAAAAAGCCAAGTAGTAAACTTCTCAATGTGCTTGCCTCGTCCATTAATAGATTAATCTAATCACCCCAAAATGTCAACAAATAAGATTCACACTATTTGAAAATCTTAATCTTATGAAATAAGCCACATTTTCACTTTTTTACTAAAAGAAGGGCTCTGGATAAAACTCTTTGCATTTACTCTAATTATGTTATAACATTATTCATCGTCCTGGATGCACAAGCTCAAAATCAATATTAGTCATACCACACAGAGCTCTTTATTACCAGAAATACGTGATATAAGTTTTTACACCATAAATGTGCAGATTCAATAGGCAGATGGTAGCTACTGAATTCCCCAAACTGGAGCAAGTTAAATTTAAACACAATTTGATGGTTCACACATTTGTGTAAGGGACTTGGATAAATCCAAATTGAATTTGACGACATTTACAAATATTTGCACTGTCTTATTGGATGATTTCCTGATTCTGTTGTGACTTTTTTCTCCAGGTCTTTTCATGAAAGACTAGCATGAATTGACCGATGGGAAATGAATGAACAGATGTGGACCTCTAGACCAGCCCCTTCATTGACTTAAAGGCTCTGGTTACAGAAAAGGAAAAGCTGTGACCACGACATCTTGTGAGTTATGAGAAGTGTCTGCATGTATGAGGCCATACAAAAGAGAATAGCCCTCTTTCTTCCCATTGGATTTTCATTTAGGATCAATGCTTTTAAAAGAGTATCCTAGGGAACACTAATAGTAAAGTCCACATGTTCAGAGAATTTGGGGCAATACTAACGCTGGCATCATTTAAAACATTGAATTAGTTCATCTCAATTTAGGCATGATAGAAAATTTTATGTAAAATCTAGATTTCTGGTTCTTTTGAAAAACTGAAGATATAACACTGCAGTGATTATATCCTCACATAGAAGCAATTTCTTACAGTTTCCCATTATGCAGGGCATGTGTGCTCCATTAGCCATGTGACCAACTAGAGGTTTCTTACTTGACTTCTCCTCTTCTAGTCTTTCCTAAAGACACACGGTGCCTTTTGGTTTATTAAAGCCTCTGACAATTCCCCCAGTAAATATCTCTATTTTGTTTAAAAAACTTTCCCAAATATACTTGATTATAGAAGTTCTTTTCTTCATATTTTGCATCTGGATCATAAATTCAAAATATTCCGATTTTCTGGTGTAAACTTTGTGCTACCTTCTGGCAAATATTTTGTGAAAGCATTTGAGAAGCCTAGATTTTGCAGTCAGGATTCTATTTCTGTCTCTGGATGCTTTTATAGGCCTTCAAGATGCAGAATCAGTTTATCTGGTTAGAGTGTTTGTATGTTCAATCAGACTTCAGGCTATCTTGGTAGAGATGGGGGAGCCTCTGGATTTGACCTGAGATTTAAATTTAAAAGTTGAGACTATGGGGCCCAATGTGCTACTAACCTAATAAGAAGCCATAACAATATTCATTCCAGAGAATATATTTTGCAGAAAAAGGGATACACTTACAAGATGACTGGAACGGAAAGTATGATTATGCTATCTCCAGGAAAACTAGAACTTAAGTAGATATTTCCTTCTTATAAGCATTAGCTGAGTAACTCTCAAAAAAAGAAGATCATTTTTTGGTGGGGTTAGCCCCATATCTATTATTCCAGTAACAACTACGAAAGCCCAATAATGGCATCTGACATTTCGGCTTGCTGACTGAGGACACTGCAGTTATAGTAATGGAGTTCTGATTTTCAAAATATTAACATTGTAAATAGTAGCCACAATGGAAGCAAAGACCTTATGGGAGAAGCTCTGGCTGACTATGAGTATCTGAGCAGTGCATTCTCTGGATTTGGTTAAGGTTGATTCAGTAAAAATAAATGGCAAAATAAAGAAGACAAGTAGGTTTAGAAAGAAGTTGTTTACCACTTTAATAGGGCTGTCCAACATTTGGTCACATAGATCATCTTGAAATCTAATTGTTTTCATGGCCTTCCTATCTCACAAGAGGAGACCTGAATACTCTTGGAAAAAGCAAACCAAACATAGAAAGAGATGCCATGATAAGACTTGTTGCTACAGCACTATGTAGTTAACGATGCCAGACTTTGGATTTAATCAGAGGACATTTCTGCAGTCTAGGACAGCTATACAAAGCCTTAAGACATTGTATTTACAGGACTTATTCATGTAGGGATCCATATCCTACCCATAACTCTGCCAGAGTCTTAATAGCATGGTGGAGTGGCTCCCTTAAGAATCCTCATTTTCTTCTAAGTGGAAAAGCTAGTAGTTCTAAAAATATTTTCCTGGAAGAGGTTAGAACGGTTATTATATATCAATTGAATATAAAGTATGACTATGTAAGCCAAGCTTGCATGCTAATATTGCACAGGGTAGAAAGCAATAAAACAGGACGATGTGCTTCCTTGGGCCATCTGGTAGAAGCAGAAGGAAGTTCTTGATTCAGTATCATTATGATGCCTCAAATTCCAGGAGTCCACCTGTAGCTGGCCTTCCCGTGTCAGTGCCATCTTGAATTCTCAAAAGGGCACATATCTTCCTTGCCGTTAGAAAAAGAAATGACTAACAAAACAAAGCAAAACAGACAAAACATCCAAAACTCAAAGGGGTACACCAGCCGTCTCAAACTGTGGTACTGTTCATTTCTTGAAGAGAATAGATAATATTTCAAAATATTATATATATATATATACATATATTTCAAATGGTACAAAGTAACTATAGATTCAAATTAGAAGATAGTTGATCGTTCTTCATGATGCCCAAAAATTTCACTGAGAAAACCCTTTTTTAAGCCCACTTTCCATGGTGTTGCCAAAACGCTGTGTCTTCTCACTGTAGGATATTTCGTTACACACAGTAAACGCACTGTGATTATCTGGTAGCCAGTCAAAGTGCAAGTAAGAAATCCATTTGGCTTGTATATATGTGAGATGTTTGAGATTCTCAAAATGTATTTTCCAGAGGGTTGGTTTTCCTTTACTACCACAAATGCTTCTGTTAGGTTCTTGGGTGAATCTGAAACCAAAGAAAGACAGACATTTCAGGGAGAACAGTGCAAACTGAAGGCACAAAGAAATGTGATTATGTAGAAAAGGAGGACACCTTGAATCTTTAGGATGTTGCTTTTTTTCAGGTGATCTGAAGTCAAAAATCTTAAAGTTTAGAGCAGTCATTTTCAAATGGTGATCAAATCATATTGATAGGCCACCATATTTTTATCAATGCAATAAATTAATGATGTCACTCCTGAGGAGTGAGGCTCCTGGAGCAATGCCTATCCAGGACTGGTTTCCTAGGCATGTGACCTATGAAGTTGCACAAGGCCCTATCCTGGAAAGAGCCTCCTGCTTGGTTTAATGTTCTTCTGTTGCCATCTTGAGATTATTAATAATTTTTAAACAAGGGCCCTGCACTTTCATTTTGCACCTGGCCTTGCATGTTATGTAATCACTCCTGTGTCTATCTGATGAGAATTTGAACTGGGTAAGTTATTCCATGGTCTTGTGAAGTTGGCCTGTTGTAAGATATAGAGGGCTGGCATGAGGTGAGGTCGTTGTCAAGGTTAGACCACATCTGTGTAGGAACACAGCGATGAGAAACTGTTCCTGTGCAAGGTGAGAAACTGTTGCACTCAATGACACTGTGTTCAAGGGCAATCAAGATTACATTTCTGTTGCTGTAGATGTCTTAATCCACTTGAATAGGGTATCAAAGGCTCAAATATTCAAAAGGACGCATGTACAGAGAACTACTAACTTCAAGCATAAATAACAATTCTAATAGAGTTGAAGACTCTACTCTAGAGTTCCAGGAAATATGGCATTTTTCTTTATTATCTCTTACTTCTTTACAGTTTTAGAAGTTGAGTGTTCTGAGGCTAGAGGTAGAAGTCCATTTAAGGATTTTAGAGTTAGGCAGGTGGATTTGTGTTGGGCCAGTTACAGAAAACACTGATTTGACAAGATGGCTATAGTGGTTAATTGTGCAATCTGGGGTCTTCTACCTCCTCGTTTTAGGGAATAAAACTTGACTTTACATTGTGTACTAACTGTTGATTTTCTCACTAGTCTGAGAGACATTCACATATTGGAATGAAGCAAACCCAGCGTGGTTTGCTGCTTCCCAAGATATGACACCAGATTATGTTCTGCTATTTTAACCTGTTAGTTTGTCTTTTCCAGTGACTGATTTTCTCCTCATTTCCTCCTCTTCCTCTTCCTGCCACCAAGTAACTGACATTCAGTTTTTAGCTGAAATTATTCCATCATTGTCAAATAACTTATTTTGTCTTTGAAAGGCAAGTAAACCTAGGGACTCCAAAATCACTAAGCCAAAGGGAAATTCAAGCTGAGAATGATGTCAGGCAAACCTGCCTCTCATTTTATTCCTAAATAATATAGCTACAAAGATGTTTCAAAAGCCACATACGTCCCTCACAATTTTACCACAGGGAAATTCCTTGTGGGTCCCAGATCTTTATCCTAAAACCTTTCTGTTGAATTTTACCCTGGCAATGTAAACTGATAACTTATTTTTTCAGGTGCAGGACAAAGGACAGAACTCTAAGTCATCCCCCTGCTCACCTGAGACAAATGTATATCTGATTGCGTCCTCTGTCGTAAAAATAAAGATTAACTGAGCTACATGAAGGCCTAAGTGGCTCTTCCTCTACCCCCTTCCCACATGTAAATGGTGTATTTGGTGAAAGGCTGTCAAAGACCAAAAGAATGTAACCACCATTTGTCTCTTAACTACCCACACCTTTAAAAATTTGCTTCTTTCCCCAATATCCACCCTTTTCCCTTTAAATATTAAAACCCTCAAAATCATCTCTGGAGAAAGGCACAGACCTACCTCTAGGTCATGCATTCATAACCTTTGCCAAATAAACTTTCTAAATTGAGTAAGACCTGTCTCAGATACTTTTCAGTTTTACATCTCTGAGGGGAAGTCTGTCTTTCTAAATTAAGCCATTGTTCCTGAATATAAAAGGTATAGACATGTATCTGAATACATGGGATAGAGCCTCCCCAACTTTCAAACTTACGTATTTGATATAGTTTAAAGAAAAGACGTAAATAAATAGGTGTCTAAAACTGCAAGAATAAAATCTCTAGTCAATATTTTGGTTGGTTAGTCTTGCTCCTAAGTACCAACAAAGCTATTTAATAAAGCAATTGAAGCAATGATCAAGCAGACGCAGAGGAATAATTTGGCCATGAAACTTCACCCAGATGTACTGAGATTCTCCCCAGAAGTGTGTGTGTTGCCAGATTTATTCTACTCCAAGCTGGGTCTTGGAAAACCTTTCAAGGTGAATACTTCCTTTCTATAGGGTGGCATCCAGGAGTCTTCCTCTCTTAAAAAGTTATTCCAAATCTCCTGAAAGAAAAGGCTTTGCCTAATTCCACCTATATTTTCTCCTTCCTTCTGGGGTAATAATATCACTCAGATCCATTGTTCCTGAGGTTTTTCTTTAGACTGTGGCCTGTTACCTGGGCTACTCCAGACGTTCTGGGGTGTCTGGTAGTTTAGATGAACCACCACATTTCTACTCTTCACCTTCCTTAAAAAATGAACACCATAAAGTTTTAAATTAGATCAGACTTTGAAACATTATTTAACCACATTTCGAAGAGAATTTTGTTCAGGATGATTATTTTGGAAGTAACCTACAAAAGATGAAGGTTTGGAACAGTCTTTTATAGGAAAGAGAATGAAGTCCCAGGAACCTTTCCCTGGATTATCTTTATATTGAAGTTACTTTTAAAATAACAGTATGAAGGAAACTCTCAGTTGCTATTAACAATCTGAGTGTGTTTCCCCAACTTTATTTTTATCCTGAGTGAACTGTCTTTGAATTATTCTCACACAAAAAAGAACAAAAGAGGTAAATTTCTTTGTTTTTTTTTTTACCTCTTTGATAACAGCAGAACAATGAAAACATGTGACTCATAATAATTAAAGTACATCTGTGAATTAAACCATTCTTAAAGTTAAATTGTTAGAATCAATATTTGAAGTGAGTAAGCATATTTGTGCTCTGATGGAGAAGAATACATAAGATGTAGAAGAAAAATTAATACAGAACATATTTTCAGAGCAGATGATCTAAGGACTGGCGTTGACACACCATTTACACAGAATAGATGGTTCCTATATACATCATCTGGACTTAGTTGGTGCTCCTTGTGTTTAAAAGTGCTTATTTCATTGCAAATTTCTTGAGAAGGAGGGAGGAGGGAGGACGTATGTCAGTAAGAGCATTTGAGTCCTCTGAAGGTTTAAAAAGTACAGCTTTTCCAGTGTCTTCTCTTTCCTTTTCTAAGGACAGACTTGAGAATTCTCAGCTGACTGATGTGCAGCTCACATGGCTGTAGAGTGGCCTCCTATTTCCTTGCTTGAAAAGGATGTATACGTCAGAACAGGTACATCCTCTGCTTTCAAACCGACTGCAATGGCAGTTTGTTTATCTCATCCATTCAACTGCTTGAGTTGAATTCAGCCCACCCAGGGAGGTAGCAAATGGTGTGCTCCAGTCTCTGGTACTGTGATCAGATCCTGCACAATACTCCTGTGTTGTTGGAAAATGTCTAGGGTGCATCTGCAACATGCCTGATGGTTTTAAAATGTACTCTACAGAGGCCAAATAAAAGAAAGTTACATTGGTCTCAAAAAAGTAGCATTAACAATCTATGTTTCTGTTTTTTTGTTTTGTTTGTTTTATATTCTATCTTCCAAAGAGTCTCCTAGTTGGTACTCTTGGAATTTCACATATTTAAATCCTGACTTGAATTATTTTTCTTTACTGTGTTTCAGGTCTGGAGACACCATGAGAATAAGACTTGCCTTCAATAAAAGGCAATCAGTTCTTTAGAATAGAGAAAAGAGATTTGGCAGGAAATATATCAGCAATGTGTTTAAAACAAAGGTGGTTAGATTCCAATCATACTGGCCATAATTCAGAATAGCTTAAAACAAACCAATTTGTGAGGGCAACTTCAAATTATTGGGAAGAATCAGTTTTAGGCAAAAGGTAACCAAAGGGAAACCTGATTTCCCACCTTCTACTAGTTAATTAAAATGGTCTCTGTGGATAAGTTGCATGAACCAGGCTTATTTCTGAATAATGTCTTTTGTAGGTGTTTCATTAAAATGAAACAGGATAATCCACATTAAGCTACTCAGGCACAGACAGATGCATGTTAGCAAGCTAGGGTGGTTCAGAGGTTCCTCCTGGTCGCAAGCCGGAAATGTATAGCCATTTACTACTGGTCAAGGGGGTCAAAAAAGGCAAGGAAATTTGATACACAAGATGTTTTCACCTATTTTATATGTGAAAAATAAGTTTTATATAGTATTATGTAGCATTAGTTTTGTCTTCTGCATCACAAAGACGAAAGAACCAATTTTATTCACTGAAAAAGTGAGGCTGAGAAGAAAGAGTAAGTCAAGATTAATAATAAGGGGTGGGAAACAGAGACATCCTTTCAAATACATCAGACCTTTGGTAGAATAAAACTTCAGCATACTGGGATTTGTAACCGATGGAGCTTGCTTTAAAAAATACTCCACAGGCTGGGTATGGTGGATCAGGCCTGTAATCCCAGCATTTTGGGAGACTGAAGCAGGAAGATAGCTTGAGGCTAGGAGTTAGATGCTGCAGTGGGCTATAATCACACCACTTCACTCCAGCCTGGGCAACAGAGTGAGACCCCCCTCTCTCAAGAAAAATTCCTGTAAATTAAAACACACACAGGCATGCACCCCCTCCCCCCACCACACACATGCACACACCCACCCACCCACCCCATGCCCCCCCACACACACACACAGAGAGAGACAAAGAGAGAGAGAAACAGGGCTGATACTCAATTGATACACATACATATGACCACACTTGTCAAATAGACATACTTTTTTATTAGTGGATATATAATTACTATCTTAAGCATCCGGAGCATCTCCCACCCCTGTCCCCTTTAGGATTCCAAGGCTGTCCAGTAACTACAGGGTTAATATCTAGCTAGCTGGGCCTTTCTGCCCTGCTCCAGCATAAGGGTGCCAATTTTGATGGTTTGGATTACCCCACCCTGAAGATTGTTATTTATTTAGAAGATCACTCCTGATTTAACCAAAGAAATCAAAGAATGATGTATTCACTCCCCAAAACCCTTTTCAGTTCTCTGACGGATCATCACAGAACTCTTTTAAAGAACATTAGAAAATGGCTTCTGTAGGTGTACTTAAACGCAGACCCTTTCAGCAAACCATCTGGATGAATTAGGGAGGAAGTTCATTTGATTATCATTCTGAGCATTATAAATGTTGGATGAATTATCCGAATAATTACCTCATGATTCCTCTCCACTCTGGCTGGAAACCCAACTTAATTTATGAGTCTGTGACAGAAACACTAAACTGCTCAGTGTGGGAAAGTCAAGTTCAATCTCTAACGTCTCATTCACGGATGGACACTGATCTGCATAGTTCAGAATGCTTTCTGTCAGTGGAGAATCTTCTCTCCTGTGCAAAGCTTCTGTGGATGCTGTTTGCACAGCACAAACTCAAATAGTACAGTCTGTAACATCCAAAATACATTTGAAATAAGTGCACTTACTCTCGTGGTCTTAATTTTGTTGCCTGTTGCGCACATCCATCCAGAATTGTCAGGGAGTGTCTTACATTCTTCTCCTTCTAGGCAAGGCTCCATCTCACACCACCATTTCCCAATCACTATGGAGGCTGTGCAGAAACAGGAAACAACTGTGTTTGCAATTCATCCAAACAACCTGAACACTGACGTTGTGTCCCTCTGCAGATTTTCACGTTCTTGGAAGCACACTAAGTTCTCTTTAATCCTCCATGACTAGCTAAGAAAGCTCTATTAAAAAAATAAGATTTTAATTTATATGCCTTATAATGCAAATATAATTATGTGGACTGGTTTCATCAAGCAGCATTTTTGTTGGGGATTGAGACTGCCTTTTCAAAATTATGACAGTAAGAGAAACCTAACATAGCTGACTCCATCTTGCTTCTAACATCCAAGCTATCTTTGGTCATTCCTGGGCATAGGCTAAGCTAACTTTGGGAGGAATTTAGTTTAAACTTAAAGCAAGGATAATAATAACCCTTCCCAAAAGTAAACTGCCTTTGTAAAACTAATGAAAGGCCACAAAGTTAGGACTATGAGAGGGGGCTGAATTCTCTTAAGATATAGAAGTAGTTAAATGATAATCAGCTACTGTTCTGGAGGCTGCGAGATTTGTAACTTTTCCAATTATTCCTGTAGATAATATCACTATTGTAGAACTGAAAATTGACTGAGATTTTTTCAGACTTTTGCATTCTAGCAACTGACTCCACTGAGACCCACACACTCAGGACCCAACCAGTCCTGTGGCCCCCACCTGGAGGCTGACTTAGCACATGAGAACTGTTTGCCACACCTCTATCATTTCAACCCCAATCAACATTCCCCATTCCCTAGCCCCCTGCCCACCAAACTACCCTTGAAAAATCCTAACCTCGAAGACTTCAGGGAGCCTAATTTGAGTGATAACTCCAGGTTTCCCACGTGACCAGCCTTGAGTTAATTAAACTCTTTCTTTACTGCAATATCATGGTCTCAGTGAATTAGTTTTTGTCTGTACAGTGGACAGGAAGAACCCACAGGCAATTAAAACAATCTTTTTGTTTTTATGCCAAATGCATATGGAAGAGGAAGACTTATGAAGGAAATAAAAATATTTTACTCCAAAATATGCTTCTTTGACATAGTGTGAGACGGCTGTTCAGAGAGTCAGCAAACAGAAGTAGTCCAGCAAAGTTTTCTTTCATGGGGGAGATTTGTATCTATAAAGAAAATCTGCACTGATACAACCAGGCTTTCTCTGAAGCCCCCATTGTCCAGTCTAGGAAAAATTAACTGAGAGTCTGACACTTTTAAAGGCCTAAAAGAAATATTTACCAGCTATTTTCTCTGAGGGCTGCTACCTGTGAGACCAACGTTGCTAGCCAGGCCTCCTTTTCTCTCCCTTCCCTAACCTGTCTTGCCATATAACCTGATTTACCATCATAACCTGTTTTGGGCCATGCACTGAGTCCCCATTCTTTATGAAGTTTCAAGATAGTATGTAAGTTTTTATATGCCATTAGGGGGTTAGTGTAATCACTGTGATTCTCCCTCATGTACACATTAATAAATTTGTATGCCTTTTCTTTTATTAACCTGCCTTTTGCCCATTGATTTTTCATCAAAATTTCAGAAGATGAAGGAGTTTTTCTTTGCCCCCTACACTTAATTTTTGGGTCTTCAGGAACTTTCGTGCTCTTAGCTTTTGTAGAGCACAGATCTTGCACTATTTCTATTCAATGAAGGGGACAAATGCCTCAATACTCTTCAGAATGACTGAGGCATTCTTCTCAGAAAGGCAAATTTATCCACCAAGCATTAGGGTTTATCGCCTAGCCTAGGGCCTTGAAGAATTTCAAAGGCCTGGCATAGAAAAAATGAATTGACTGAAAGTACAAAAGAAAAGTTGCAAAATAAAAGTCAAGAGTAATATTAGATAAAAATATATCCTTACCATCAAGAGTATAGTTGATATGAGTTGTGGTTACCTTTTAATATGTTTAATATGATGTGGGGGGAACTATCAAAAGTTGAGCCTCTGATAAAGCAGCCCTAATTTTCAGGGGAATATCAAGGATGACCACAATAGGAAGCTGGCAATGAATTTAGTGTATGTACTAAATATTTACAGCACACATTTTCTGATAACAAAATTTTATAAAACCAGTGACTAGATTCACTCAATGCAAATCAAGAAACTCTATATTTCCCTTAATGCCTTAATTGAAAAATGATTTCTACACAAGCACCAGTCATTTCTGTAGCTCCTCCCTGTGTTAGCTCTTCCCAAATCCACCTGGGCATTTCCCATTCAGAATCCTCAAAATGTCAGCCAGGTGTTTGTCTTACGATGCTTTCTGGTTGGCTGTTTTTACACGGGACGAGAACCCTCGTTCTTTACTCACTCCCCTCCATCCCCCATGTTCCAAAGATGCTCTCCACCATGATCTTTAAGTCTCACAACACAAAGAAGCCAAATGACATATGATAATGTCACAGAGGATTAACATTAAAACGGGATGGAGTAGACCCTGAAGCAAAGCAGGAGCACATTAAAATTCTCTCTCTATCCAGTATTCACTAGAGGGATGAGATTGCTGACTTAAAAGCAGAATGGTTTAACCATCCAGACATCTCTCTGCCCTTAGGCTTTCCTTCTATGCTTTTCTTACTTCAGTCTTCCCCTTCTTTAGAATTCAGTGTTCCTCAATCTTTACTTTGAATAAAATTATTATGTAGTGAGGAAAGAAAAGAACTTTTATGTGAGGAATGTGAGCCTTTTCAAATTATTAGGCCCAGGGAGGTGTAAAATGAGATAGCAATCACACCCTGCTTCCTCTGTTTTGAGACACACATTCATCTAAGGAGATGGCTTGCAATTGCCACAAATAGCTATGCATTAACCTAATAATGCCTCAGTGGACACCATATCCCATGCCCTATAGCTTAACAATGGATAGCCAATCACTAATGAATGTTATTTCTGTAAACCAATGAGAGTTCCTAACAAAAACTTTCCCCCATCCCCATTTTTCCCCCTTTAAAAACCTGCTTTTAACTATGGCCAGTAGAGCTCATATCCAAGATTACTATGGTCTGAGTCTTCCAGGCAGCTATCCTTATTTTGGTTCAAATAAACTCTTCAAGTTACATTTTGTGCTTCAGGCTCTTCCCTTTAGGTCGACAGTAGGATTCTATATGCAAAGTCATGTCTACTCTATTATATTGTCAATTTAAGAAACTTCTCAAGGGTAATTTTGCCATATTTAATTTTTGCCTTATATGTGGACCAGACCAAAGTATGTATGATGCAATTCCACTGGATATGGCCAGCAAGCATAGGTGGTAAAATCTTCTAAATAGCTGTATTCATATGTAAGACAACGTAATATTATGGTAAAACAGAGTTTGAATAGAAGACAGAAATCCTCCACAGGGTATAGAATGATTGAGAGTTTAAAGTTGTTTTTTTTTTTTTCTTTTTGATGGCAGTGCTCTGTATCTGGGCATGAAGTAAAGGAAGTAAAGGAAGATTCTTGTCATGGGTAAAAGTACTTATTTATGTGAATGAACAGATGACAATATTACATAAGAGAAGCAAGAAAAACATACACTATTGAAAGGGAACAAAAATATATTGTAAAACTTTCAGTTACATAAGACACAAATCAAGGTTTGCCAGTGTTTATTGAAAACCTATAATCTGAAGTTTCCTTTGGGCAAGCACTTAATCAGAAACAGTCCAGTTACATTTACTACCATTTCTGATGCTTATCCACTTAAACCCCACCTAATATTTCAATATTGTTGCCCTGAATCTAAACCATCAAGAATGGAAACCCTTTGATCTTAGCATGAGAAGAAATTGCCTTTCCCAACAACCCTTCAACTTAGCATTTTGTCACCCTTTTTTTCACAGAAGCTAGCGAATAATGCACATCCGCCAGTGGGGTCAGCTTTTTGCATTTTTTTTTTGGTGTTGCCTCCTTCTAAGCCCTGTTCCTCCTCCTCCTTCAGGCTGCTCTCTGCCCTCTTGGAGCTGATCTACTTTGTTGCAAGTTAACAAAGCAGTTTCCTTTTGTCTTAAGCATTAATACCTCCTAAATGAAAATGTAGACATTAGGGAAAAAATAAATCTCCAAACCCATGCATCACCTTTAATTCAAGGTTGTAAAGATCCACTGGTTCATAGGGGGAAAAGAAGAGGCTTTCTAAGAAGAAAAACGTCCTCAGAACTGTTATAATATCTAAAAATTCACATTAGAGTTGCCTCTTCTAAATAGAGTTGGATGATTTGCTTTACCCTTTGGCTTACTAGAATCCAATTCATTCTTCCAGTTGTAGAGAAGTTTAAACCTGCAGATTTGCTAATTTGAGTCTATAAAACAAAATAAAAATAAACATTAACAGGAAAAAAAGGCATACAAATTATGTGCACACATGTGCAAAAGAATCATTCAAAATATAAAAATTCAAAGAAAGCCAAGATTATCGATGTTTTTATGCCATCTTGAGCTTACAGAAAGAATAGGGGCTTGGAACAGGTTATGGAAGAAGGCGAAGAGAAATTTGGCTAGCAAAGGTGGTCCTGTTATGCAGATGAAACTTCTCAGGTAGCAGCCCTCAGAGAGAACAGCCAGGTGTCAGACCCTCAGTCAATCTTTTCTAAATACTGACAAGGTGGGGGCTTCAGAGAAAAGCTGTTTGCATCTGTTCTTTAGTTCACTTTTTTTTCCTCTACAGATGCAAATCGTCTCCACTAGAGACAGATTTGGGGGCTACTTCTGTTTATAAGCCCTCTGAACAACCATCTCAAAGTATGTCAAAGACATATATATACGGGTAAAATATTTTAGTTTTCTTCACAGTGTTGCCTTTCTGAAGATGTCATTAGACCAATTTTGTTTCTGATTGACATGTTACATGGCCATCTTCATATATATCCTTTTATATTCCAGGTCAAGGTGTGAAAGGAAAATAAAATCTCAGGACCACAAACTCACTATGCCAAAGGGAAAAGTAAAGCTTGCGAACTGAGTCACACAAACACAAATCCTTTGTTTCTAAACAGATAAGTGCAAGATAGAAGGCCACATGTCTCTCTGCATGGTCTCACTCACTCTGACAATGTAAATTAACAGCTTATCTTCACAGGTACAGGACAAAGACAGGAGTAGAAATCGATCCTCTCCCCACCTCAAGACAAATGCATATTAGACTTCTTCCTCTGCTCTATGTTTACTTTATCTCATGTAAAATGCAGTTTTACTGAAAGCACAAGGCGAATCCATACTTTACTGTTCCTCTGCCTGCTCCTTTCACATGCAACATGTAGATTTAGTGATCACTCACTAAAGCCTCTGATATGGTTTGGCTGTGTGCCCACCCAAATCTCATTTGGAATCACAGGTCCCATAATTCCCATGTGATATGGGAGGGACCCTGTGGGAGATAATTGAATCATGGGGGCGGTTTCCCCCATACTGTTCTCATGGAAGTAAGTCTCATGAGATCTCATGGTTTTATAAGGGATTTCCCCTTTTGCTTGATTCTCATTCTTTCTTGTCCAGCACCATATAAGATGTGCTTTTCACCTTCTGCCATGATTGTGAGGCCTCTCCAGCCACATGGAACTGTGAGTCTATTAAACCTCTTCTTCTTTATAAATTACCCAGTCCTATGTATGTCTTTATCAGCAGTGTGAAAACGGACTAATACAGCATCATAAGGATGCGACCGCTCACCTTACTACATACCTTCCTTCTTTTTTTTTTTTTTGTTCTCCTTACCACCCTGCCCACTTTTCCCCTTTAAATACTGAAGCCCTCGAAACCCTCTTTGGAAAAAGTGCAGGCCACAGTCCTATGGTGACTGGTGTCTCTTTTTCCCAGGTGTGTCCTCATCATTGGCAAAATAAACCTCCAAATTGATTGAGACCTATGTCAGACTTTTATTATTATTATTATTATTATTATTATTATTTTGCTTTACAAAGCTACATTCTCTAAACATAATTTTTTCATAAACTCATTTTATTTCTGCAATTTAAAAAAAAATTTACAATGAGAGAATTTCAAAATTGCCTCCTCTTCACCCAAACTGAAAGCTACCTGAAAACCTTCAGGTTATTGAAAGAGAATTGATCCACTAGATTTAATAAAATGAGCTAATATCAATGCTAGTTAACTGTTTTTACAATTTTGTCTCATGGAGATACTTATGATAAGTGATGGAAACCCAAATATGCACCCTCCCCAACTACTTCTTTGGTATATTTTGAGATGGCTACTCAGAGGGGCTGTAGACACAGAAATGGCTCTGAAATGCTGTGTTTTTTGGGGATGATTTGTATCTAAACAAGAAATCTACATTAGTGAAGAGTGGATGCAAATGGGCTTTCTCTGAGCACTGCCCACCCTCCATCCCCCCTCCGAAAAAAAGACTCAATGTCTGACACTTTTAAAGTCTGACAGAGAAACTTTTACCACAGGCTACCATTTATTCTTTCTGAGAGTGCTCCCAGATACCTGAGGGGCTTTTATCTGCATAAGAAGGCAGCCTTTCTTTGCCAGGTTTTGCCTCTGCCATTTTCCCATAACCAGTGACACCACCTCCCCTCCTCCTCCTGGGAAGACCCGAGCCCCTATTCTTTCTATAACCTCAGGGTGCTGTAAAATCTTCAGTCATCCAGCTCTTTAGGGGTCTCACATTTGTGGGACTCCCATGTCTATGTACATGTTAATAAATTTGCCTACTTTCTCCTCTGTGGATCTGTTGTCCATTCATTTTAACAGACAGATTTGGACGTTCAGAGAGAAGAAAATTCTCCTCAACCCTGCATAAGAAAAATATAAAGATAAATAATTCTTAAATATTTTGAATTAAGATAGTCAATGCAATAATAAAAAGGATAATTAACATTTATTGAGTGCTCCTATGTGTTTCTCTGTTAGGTATTTTAAATGTATTACCTCAGTCTTTGCAGTAACTCTGTTAGAGCAGGTAGTTAGGTTGACATGAGCAGGGCAGGAGAGGGCCCCCCACCAGGAATGCCTGGCAACCATCAGTTGATGGTCAGGTGCTTGTTAAACTGTCTCTCTAAAATAATAATTGGTCACAACCAGCGCCAGGGAAAGGCAGTCTCCCAACAGATAGAAAACACCTGAAGCTGGTGATCAGCAGCTTCCCCATAAGATCTCAGGAGTTGGATGAGTAGGTTCAAGCACGTGCTCTAAGAAGCAAAATGATGGAGTTTAACTGACCTTCCTCTAGGAACACTCAACTGATAAGGGAAAAATGCCTCAAATGAGCATGAGCACAACTTCCCAAGTGCTGGCGGGTCACTACACATGTGGACAGCCCCGCTAAAGGAAGAATCAGGGGAGATGGGACACAACCACCCAGAAGTAAGCCAACTTATAAAACCCCAAGTCAAAGGTCAAACTGTGCACTTGGATCTCTCAAGTCACCCGCTTGTCCCTCTTTCAAGTGTGCTTTACTTGCTTTCATTCCTGCTCTAAACTTCTAAATAAACTTTCACCTCTGCTCTAAAACTTGCCTTGTTCTCTCCCTCTGCTTTAAGTCATTCGGTCAAATTCTTTCTTCTGAGGAGGCAGAATCTGAGGCTGCTGCAGACCCACATGGATACGCTGCTGTTAACAACCCTATAAAGTAGGTATTATCACTAACCCATTTTAAAAGTGATGAAACTGAAGCCCGGAGAGACTAAGTAACTTTCCCAAGCTTACACAGGTAGGAAGTGCAGGAATTAACACTAAAACCCCAGCTTGCTTCCCCACCAAATCCATGTTTTGTTTTGTTTTGTTTTGTTTTGTTTTGTTTTGTTGTTGTTGTTAATCATTATAATGCTAATTCAGTGCCTTCTAGTTTTGTATTCAGCATTCATAGAATTAAAAAAATATATTGGCTTTTGAGTCCATGAGTCCATGGATTCTGTATGTTGTATTACTATCGAAAATAAATTTCATATCAAACACAAATACTTGCAGAAAACAAAAACATTTAGATTCTTGTAAAATTAAGTTAGCTTTAAAAAAAATTCAAGCAAGAGCCAACTTATCACACTTTTTTTTTGATCTGAGCTACTCATTACTTGATTTCACTAGTTACAGCATTTTAATAGAAATTCCCACAAGTGAACCATTTTCGAAGCCATGAGAAACTTGTGAGGTAGATGCATAACTGCTCCGAGGACTTTTTATCCCCTAGAACTGAGTTAATTAAATATCAGCCACCAAAACCAGCTTCTCTTATCTGAAGTGATTATGAAAGAAGATCTTTAAGGTCCCTTTTAACCCTGGGGTTCTAGGACTTGCTCTGTGAATTTGCCATGCTTAGGAAAATATTTGATCTTCAACTCTTTCCAGAATGTTCATCTTTCTTTGAGAGATTCTTAAAATCACTAAAGCTTCTTTAATCATGAGTCTTGATTTTTCCCTTATACTAGGTCATATTGCTATAGAGCAAAAGAGAGGCTGTAAAAGGAGAATCAATCCTTTATTTCAGTATAAATCCTAAATAGAGCAGAAATCTGTTTTTCATTATGGTTGTTGTTCACTCATGAGGCATTTTGCCATGGAACTATAGCAAGATACTAATAAGCAATGGGCTTAATGAAAACAATAAATAAACATTATATTGACTAAGAACTGCAGTCCCTTTCTACTGTTTCAGTAGATAATCAAATTCAGCAAATGTTTATCAAAACATTACCTGCTTTACCAAGAGTGATAAAATAAAGAACATGACATAGTCCTGTCCTCAAAGATGACAGTTTAGATCAGAGTTTCTCAATACAGGTTACTGGCATTTTGTCATAAATTACAGGAAAGAAGTATAAATGAGCAAAGTGCTCTTCCCCTAGTAAATATGTTGTGTTAATAGAGCAGGCTCAGGTTGGGGAATAAAAGGAGAAAACCTGCTGTAGTTTGGATTTTTTGTCCTCTCCAGAGTTCATGTAGAAATTTGATCTCCAATGTTAGAAATGGGGCCTAATGGGAGGCATTTGAGTTATCGGGTGGATCTCTCATGAACAGGTCAATTCCCCTACAGGGGAGGGTGAGTGAATTCTCACCCTCTTAGTTCCCACGAGAGCTGGTTGTTTAAAGGAGCCTGGCACCTCTCCTCTCTCCCTTGCTTCCTCTCTGCCATGTGGTCTCTGCACACACAGCTCCCCTTCACCTTCTGCCATGAGTGGTGGCAGCCTGAAGCTTTCACCAGATGCCCAGTCTTCCAGCCAGCAGAACTGTGAGCCAAATAAATATTTTTTATTTATAAATTACCCAGCCTGCAGTATTCTTTTATAGTAACACAAGCAGACTAAGACAAAGGCTTAATAAGACTATGGAAGTTCTTGAAAGCAAGCAGCTTGTGTTCTTTTTTTTTTTTTTTTTTTTTTTTTTTTTTAGAGAATGGTGAATCTAGATTCCATGAGCAAAGGGGAGATATGATTAAAGGGTAGGTAGGGGAAGATGCATTGGTGTAGTGTGTAAGATGGAAGAAGAAGCAGATGAAATGCTAGTTAAGAGTCACTAAACTCAAAGAGAAAAGATAAGCTCCTGATTTTACATGCTTGCACTAGAATTGTGAAGAAGGGCAGGGTGGAGGGCAACGTTAGGAATAACAGAGGAACACTTTAACCAGTAACTCGGTCATCTTAGCTTTCACTCCAATCACACTGGACTCATCTGCTTGCCTACTTGTACTAGGCAGTGAACTCCTTAACAGTAGGATTAATACTATACTAATCTTTGAGTGGCATGGGGTAGGTCAAGATGGATTTCCAACTTATGAATGAATAAACACAATGAAACAAAAAGAGAAAAAAAATAGTGCCTATATCAAAGGGTTGTGAGGATTACATGAGAAAGTACATTTGAAGTACTTAGCAGAGTACTGGGCATTCAGTAAATCTTCAATAAATATTAGCTATCATTATCTTCATTGGCATCATCAATTTTATTACTCTAAAGAATAAAATCATGCCAAACCAAAAAGGCAATTCTTCACTAAGTGAGAGTAAAACATTATTCTTCGATATGCCAAACTCTCAGCTTGCTTCTATGACTTATGAGAGTTTGAGCATAAATTAAATGGTTGAACATATGATTGTATTCATGTTCCCAGAAGTAGGTTATAAGTACCTCAATCAAGACAAATCTCCAGACTTACTTTTGTGCAACCTGTCATGCAATTTAAAGCAATGGCTAGAACTCCACTGTAAGGATGGGACAGATCTCCAGCCTCCCTTTTTGCACTGGTTGTTGGAACAGCTGTTACAACTCTTTTCTTCAAAAGACCTGTAGTGACTCCCAGTGTGTTATTGTCTTTATCAAAGCAAACAGGAAATTAAAGGCATTGGATAACCTTCCCTGCAGTTATTTCAAACTTCGCTTTTCTATGAGCACATATTTAAGGATAGGATCCAATTTTGAGACATTATGTATTGACTAAGACTCTAAACTCTTGGGTATGCGATAGAGGGACCTGGGTTTGAATTTTAGTTCTACCACTTTGTAATAGTATGACTTTGGAAAATTGCTTAGTTCAAGATTAAGTTTTCTCAGTTGTAGATGAAGTTAAAAGTCACAACTGGTTATCGTGAATTTTAGATAAGGCACTTACCATAATGCCTAATAAACTTTATACTCAGCATGTGGCAGTTATCACTATTATTTATCCATGTGTTTATTATCCAGCTCTGTATGCATCCATCCCCTCACCTTCATACAGGGTTAATGCCTTATCTTTAATGCAAGATTATACTAATTCTGAAATGCATACGATCATTTTTTACAGCTCAAATTGTATTTCTTTAGAGGATCTACATTATATTTCAAAGACATACATGAAGTTAAGGGCTGATGATAAGATTCATTAGGATTGCATTCCCTCTACAAATTCTATTCTAGTGCTTTTCGAACAGACAATCTTATCTTGGTGAGGGTAGAGGGGAGGACATGGATTGTGAAATGGGAGGATTGAAAGTCACAAGTTAAATGTGGTATAATTTCCTTCAGTCGGTAGATTTTTTTTAAAGGTATTTGAGACAAAAGTTATTTTTTATTCATTCAAAAGCTAATCATTTACTGCAGTGCTGGACATAAAATCAAGACACACAGTTCCCACTCTAAAGCAGCATACAGTCTCTTTTTGGAACTCTGCACCAAATATAAAGACCAGACAATATATATTGACAAGTTGTGATGCATAAAAAGATACAGCATGCTATCAGAGAAAAGAACTAGTGGATATAATTTAGATTCTCAGAGTGTGACCATAAGAAGACTCCTCATTGATGAAGTAATTTAACCATTAAGTAATTAACAAAACTGTTTTTGTATTAAAACAAGTAAGTATATATTATGATATAAAAGGCTACCTTGACATGAATTTTAAAATAAAACACAAAACAATTAGAAATCTTTTACCTGTTATGGGCTACTCTAAGCTGTCTTATTGGAACACAGGGGTACATGTCCTATTTTGAAAAAAGCTGTATGCTCTGGTGACAAGGAATTTTCAGAGACCTTTTGCAACTCAAGGAAGCTCTCCTAATTCCTGCCACTAATAATACTCTTTGTCTTAGGCTGCATACCAGTCCTGGAGTCCCTGGCTTATTCTATACTTTTAATCTGTGGTAACTTTATCCCTGATTCTATTTGTAAATCAAATCCTGAATGTTGGTCTTGCTTTCACTAAATAGATGGTTTTATTTTAGAATTCAGCTTTACATGACTTTGCATCTGTGTAGAAAAATAATTTTTAATAAATGGTTAGCAAGGAACACAAGGAATCATGCTTATTAAATACATGTCTTACTGTATATACCTTGTATCTTAAAATTTAACATTCTACCTTCAAATTATTTAAGAGTGACCCTAAAGTTTATTTACAGTGGATAGTAATTTGCAATTTTGTTGAAGAACAAATGTTTTTTATGTTTCTTATTTTGCCAACTTAAAAAACCTTTATTTTTTTTCTAATTCTGAAAGTAATACATATTCTTTTCTAACATTTAAAGCATATGGATAATTATTTAAAAAATTATCACTCATGATTCCATTTGGCAGAGGCATTCTTTTACACTTTGGTATTTTTCTTAAACTTTAGAAATGGCTCTTTGAAGGAATGAGTTTATATACAAACATTTCCCCAGTTTTAAAAAGTACATTATGAGAGTACTATTAGACTCTATAATATAGTTTTTGCTGGAATTGCTACAAATTTACCATGATCAAATAATGTCAGTTAAGTACTCTTTCCTCTTTTTATATGTAATCATTTTTATAGTTATTGAGGTATTAAAATATCACTTTTGGTTGATTCCACTGTGCAGTTGATCTCAAATATTAAATTATGCTCAGAAAATTCCTGGTATTGAGTTCATTTGCAAAACTAGTGTTCACAATTTTGGCAGTAATGGGAAAGTTGTACACTGATTGTAAGGTATTTCATTTTAATCTTACTCCCACTAGAGAAGATTGATATAAATAAAATTTAAATAGAGAACACATTTTAGATGCCAGCACTGAAAAAGACTTTGTCAGACTAATGAAAAGTTATCAATTTTCTCTACTTCATTCAATGAATTGTGAGTCATTTTCTAAATGGATTAGATTAAAGGGAAGTTCAAACTCCCAGGGAGATGCTCTTGGCATTGATGGAAACTTTAGACAAGGGAGAAACTACAGAGCATGCAAAACCTCTTAGGCCACTTCAGATCTATACAAATTGATACCAACTAGGAGAGAAGTGTCTCTTAACTCTGAACTCACCTATTGCCTTAGAAGCCAAATCCTAGGGAATCAAAGGAGATACATTGTTTCTCTTATTTTATTAAGCTGTCATAGGTGGCTGAGTGAATCACAACTGAGAACATGGAAAACTCAGGAGGACTAAGGTCTGGATGAAAAGCTTGTGGTTCTCAGCACTATTTGCCTGGCTCACAGACACTTGAGAATGTGTTAATACAGGTGTTTGATTAAAAAAAAAAGAGAGAGAGAATAACAGGATATAATACCATTGTGCTCTTGCAGTCTCTAGGGGAGACTGATATCTTCAGGTTTGCTGTAATTAACTTCAAAAAACATAACTAGACTCTCATGTGAAGATGAAATATGGACTCCTTAATCATAGAGCACTCTTGAAACTAATTTGATGTGTGTCTATATTTGAAATGGCAAAATAATTTGATAGTTGATTACTTCAGTCATTTGGCAAGAACTTCCCAATATCTCTGGAATATGCCTTTGACCTTCACCTCTTAAAAAGTGGAAAACAACAATCAACAGCTTTGTTTTCCTATACAATACCACACAACTAGCATGGTTATTTTTGTGGAATTGTCTGGACTATTTGGAAGAATTTAGCTTTACCTATCAGAAAAAATATTTATAGACCACCTGCTCTATGCTCAGCACTACTTAAAATAGGCAGACTGAACTATATAAAAGCATAGCAGAGCCTTCACCTATGAGTTTTAAAGCAGATGAGAAAATGAAGGATGATATAAGGATTCTTATATTTTGAAATATGTAATTTCACTAATATCAAACCCGCTAAACCAGAATGAATCTGCCAACTGCCAACAAACATGGGTAAAAAATAAAATTCCATACTGACGCTTCGAAATTCATTTTGTTCGTGTCAGTGATGGCATTAAGAAAGCTAAAAAAATAATCAAAGGAGACCAGGAATATACATGCAGCAATGTTTCAGATGGATCTGTTTGCAAAAAGTTCAACATCTTAGTTCTACTGCCTTGAGCTGCACATCCCCTACGCTTTTGACTGTATTTATGGCTATATATTTAGCTAAATTGAAAGTCGAGTGGAACACATACCCAAAGTTCAACAATAAAACCTAGAAACGGCCGGGCGCGTTGGCTCACGCCTGTAATCCCAGCACTTTGGGAGGCTGAGGTGGGCGGATCACGAGGTCGGGAGATCCAGACCATCCTGGCTAACACTGTGAAATCCTGTCTCTACTAAAAATACAAAAAAATTAGCAGGGGGTGGTGGCGGGCGCCTGTAGTCCCAGCTACTCGGGAGGCTGAGGCAGGAGAATGGTGTGAACCCGGGAGGCAGAGCTTGCAGTGAGCCGAGATCGCACCACTGCACTCCAGCCTGGGCGACAGAGGGAGACTCAGTCTCAAAAAAAAACAAAAACAAAAACAAAAACAAAAAACAACCTAGAAACATAGAAAAGTACTTCCCAATCTGAGGGCTCAGGATCCTGGGAGATGGGGAATCTTGTGGTAGCTTAAAACCTTACTTTTCTAGCAATAGTGGTTTAATAATGCCAATTCATTTTGATTTTATTTTCTAAATGTACTGCCTCTTTATGTCAGGTAATACTAAATTTCTATTTTCTGATTGTAAGAACAATTACAAATGCTTCCTCTTCTACACCTGCCTCTGTGCACTGACTTTGCCTGTCCTTACATTAAGAAGTAGAGTCTATTTTGCCAGCCCTTCTATCTGGGTTTGGTTATATGATTTTTTCATCCAATAAAAGGTTAGCAAGCAAGAGACAAGAAGAGATTTGAAGGTGCTTGTATTGGGGCTTACTGCTCTTTAGAAACCTGTCGTGACCATGCTGAAAAGTCATGTGGAGCAGAGAGTAGCTACCCCAGCTGAGGTCCTCCTGGCATCATCAACCTGTCAATCATCAGACATGTGACAGAGGCCACCCTGATTCCAGGTCCAATGGAGCCAGCCCAGACCAGAAGAAACCACCCAGGCAACACACAGAATCGTGAGAAATGGTACATTTTTGTTCTTTTAAGTCATTCAGTGTGTGGAGATTTGTTATACAACAAAAGGCAATGGGAAAGTAGTCAGAAAATATCTTTTTAAGATGAATACATTTAGGTAAATTTAAAGAAAAGCATCAAGCAAGTAATGATAAAGACAATGTACTGGTATAGCACGAAATAGGAAGATGGTATGAGACTGACAGAAGTTTGGAAAAAAATGACATAAAATGTTGGGTATTCTGCACCTAAATCCAAAACAACAAACCCCAATCTATAAATGCATTTTGCCCTTGGATTTACTGGGAAGCAAGAGTACATGCAAAGAAAACCTAGGCCTTTGAAAAGAAAAATAAAAACAATCTTTTCCATAATACACTTAAATAGCAAAACACTAGGAATATGAAAATGATCTATTATACTGAATAGTTATTAAGAGTGTTATTTTAGTATATATATTTTGGGGGATATTTTATTTTAATCAAATTCAGATACTATATTTATGAGTTTTTGCTTCTAAAAGCACTGATGTAAGAATCAAGCAATTGATGACAGGGCATTTTTTCATGGCTTCTTGATCATTGACTACTCACTTTCCTGATTAAAGGAGATGTCCTGTTCTCCAGTCAAATTGATCCTAAGAAATTACAAAACACTTATTTAACACAAAGGTCAAAAGTTGGCAGCTTATGTGCTTAAACTGAAGTGTGGATTCTTTTTTTCTCTCTACACAGTACTTTTAATAATTGAAATTAATCACCAATATTCAAATTAGGAGATTTTACATTAAAGTACAAATGTTAGGTTTCTGGGAAAAATAGGAAGACTAGCAACACTGGGGCTGCGTGTTTATAAAAACAACTGAGCAGTGTTTTCTCCTTTGGGTGGGGTTCATGTTCTCCAGTTTGCCATAGTCCCTGCCACTCCCTATCATCCCTGGCATTCCATTCACTCATCCCATAGACACACATACACTTCTTTCAAGTGCTTTATTTATTTATTTATTTTTTGAGACGGAGTCTCGCTCTTGCTGCCCAGGCTGGAGTGCAATGGCATGATCTCAGCTCAGTGCAACCTCCGCCTCCCGGGTTCAAGCAATTCTCCTGCCTCAGCCTCCTGAGTAGCTGAGATCACAGGTGCACACCACCATACCTCGCCAATTTTTGTATTTTTAGTAGAGTTGGGGTTTCACCATGTTGGCCAGGCTGGTCTTGAACTCCTGACCTCAAGTGACCTGCCCACCTCAGCCTCCCAAAGTCGCCCAGGCTGGAGTACAGTGGTATGATCTCGGCTTACTGCAAACTCCACCTCCTGAGTTCAAGCAGTTCTCCTGCCTCAGCCTCCAGAGTAACTGGGATTACAGGCACTCACTGCCATGCCTGGCTAATTTTTGTATTTTTAGTAGAAACGGGGTTTCACCATGTTGGCCAGGCTGGTCTCGAACTCCTGGTCTCAAGTGATCTGCCCACCTAGGCCTCCCAAAGTGCTGGGATTATAGGCATGAGCCTCTGTACCTGGCCTCAAGTGCCTTTTATGTATGTACTCAGAGCCTGACTTAGGTGCTGCCTCTGAAGCACCAGTCCAATTGACTAGAAGAAGACTTGGAAGCCTTTCTTTTTCTGCTTCAGTAAATCGGAATGGCCATCTAGCTCCCCGAACCTTTCCCTATCATTTCTCTGCACATTTATGTATGTTGCTAACACCACTGGAACTGCTCTCCTTCCACTGGCCCATCGAGTAGAGACTTTTGACATCTTACAATCTCAATCCAAATACGTGTTCTCATTGAGAATTTGTAGTGAGGAAATGATTTATATCAGATCTCACCAAGTTAGACAGAAAGACACTGGAAGACATTACACAAAATCAGCCTATCATATTCAATCCACAGCTAAAATCTCAGGATATTCTAGAAAAATTTATAAATAACTGAAAAGTTTTTGATATTTTGGTGGCTCACACCTGGAATCCAAGTACTTTGGGAAGCTGAGGTGGGAGGATTGCTTGAAGCCAGGAGATGGAGACCACCCTGAGCAACAAAGCGAGACCCCATCTATGAAAAATAGAAAATAAAAAATTAGCTGGGCTCGGTGGTGTGCTCCTGTTGTTGCTACTCAGGAGGCTGAGGCAGGAGGATCATTTGAGGCTGCAGTGAGTCATGATCATGCCACTGCACTTCAGCCTACGTAACAGAGTGAGACCCTATCTCCAAAAAAAAAAAAAAAAAAAACAGAAAAAAACACAGAAAAACCCAGACTCACTTCTATGTTTCTGTCACAACATAAGCAAACAAATTTCACTTTTCCCAAACTGTCTATAGGTTTTTTCCTTCCCTATCCCTTATGAGTTCTGTGTCATTGTTACTTGATTTAGTTTACCACTGACTTTCTCAAATACAAGAAAATCATTTGCATGAGGAATAAATAAACCACATGCCAAATAACTGTCTCTAAGGTATACTTTGATACTGTACAAATTTCTTGATCAATTCCACACTAAACCAAACTTAAGTCTTCCTTCTTTTAGGCTTCTATGGTATTGTGCTCCTATTTCCTCACGTATTTTAAATGTTTCCTCATCTATCTCTCCACTAAGCTGTACGCTTCGTGAGGCCAGTGATTGTACATTTCCAGTTGTGTGTTTAATGCACCAAGCAGAGTGCCTGGCACATAGAAATTGTGACCAGCATTGTAAATTGGCTACAGAAAAGCCATTCCCAACTCCTTCTCCCTTGATACTTCCCACTCCAGCAGCGGAACTTCAAAATAATTGCTTTACTAGCTTTCCTGGTAGCTGAGTTTGGGCATATGATACGATTCTGGTCTATGAGAGCAAGCAAAGGTCTGCTGGGGAGGGCGCTCTGGAAAAGTCTTGATTTCCTGCTGAAAAGACAAAGTCACTGCTGGCCTGGTCCTTAAGTCACCTACTTACACAGTCTGAAATGCGTATATGACAGCTGCAGCTACTATAGCCATCATAAAAGACAGTTCAGGAAAATTGCTGCAAGGCTGGCACTTATGTCAAAAACCAATACCTCCTTACTTTCTGTTATGCAGGAAAAAATCAATTCTTATTGTCAAAGCTGCTTCAGTTGGGCATTCTGCTACTTGCCACCTAACACAATCCTATGCTACACTGAAGGTGCTCAATAAATATTTGTGGAATAACTAAATGATTGAATGAATCCAGGTGTTTGACTGCACCAAAGCCAGATTGCTGCTATTTTCTAGCCATTTAGTACCGAATATTAACAATTACTGAAGAATGAGATTTTGCATTAATATTAAAAATTTAGTTGACTAATAGATAATCCTGAGAGTAGATTTCTGTCCTTATCATGTGTCCCTCCACTTTACATGCATGATCACACTGTCCCTCATAGCATGCCAGATGCAGAAGTTACAGAACAGGCATAGATCTATGTAAATTAGTCATTTTCCTAGCATACTTCTGTGTCAGTGGTAATGTTGGGTTTTCTTAATTATAATCCAGATCTGCTCACAATGGAGTAATACTAACTGTTATGGCCTAGAGAAGCCAAATTCAATTTTACTCAACTATTAAGATTCATTTGGATGTTTCTGACATGATTTCTGCAAGAAGACGAGAGCATTTAGAAGTTGCTCTTATAGTGAAGTATTTTTCGAGGCTTGCTGTAGCACAAGAAAGAAATTGGGAGAAAACTGAACATCAGCCATCAAAAGAAAAAGGGAAAAAATAGCAACTAAAGAAAAGGCTTCTAATATTTATTTATTGTTCTTTTAAAATCATTTTCTGTCCTACCTGTGGCAGGCTGAAATCTATCTCTACTTGAGCCCGAGCCACAGGGACAGAGTCTGAAAATCTTCGTGAATATAATTTGTGGAGAAGACAGGTCTAAAGAAAAAAATTTTTTCTCATGCTCTGAATTTTCAAGTTGGCTCTAGCCCAAATGCCAAGCTCAAAAACCATTTTCATTTTACTTTCTGAGACGACAACTTTTCCCAAAGAAAAAAAACAATCACCAGTGCAACATTCTGAGTATAGGCAAACTGTTTTGTGTTTTAGGATTTTGTTGGTCATACGATCCCCTTCCTACAAGAAGGAATACACCCAAATTACTTCCTTTCATTTCATCTCATTATGAAACTCTTCTTCAACAACATTCCCCCTCAATTCAGAAAGGTAATATGTAAGCTCATGTTATGAACTAAATGTTTGTGTCCTCCCAAAATCGTATGTTGAAATCCTAACCTGCAACATGATGGTGTTAGGAGATAGGGTGTTTGGGAGGTAATTCGGTCATGAAAGTGGAGCCCTCATGGATGGAATTAGTGCCCACATAAAAGGGTCCCCCAGAAACCTCACTCTGCTTTCTGCCATGTGAGGATACAATTAGAAGCCAAGAGTATACAACCCAGAAGAGGGCCCTCACCAGAACCTGGCCATGCTGGCAACTTGGTCTCAGACTTCTAGACTCCAGAACTGTCAGAAATATGTTTCTGTTGTTTATAAGCCCACCCAGTCTATAGTACTTTGTTACAGCAGCCTGAACTGGATAAGGTAGCCTATAGCACATACATATGAATTTATTTATGAAATGCATCATACTAGGCAAAGTAGTTGATACAAAACTATGAGGTAATCATTAACAATTGGCTTTGTCCATTTGGGATATTATAACAAAATAATATAAACTGGGTACCTTATATAGGACAGAAATTTATTTTTCACAATTCTGGAGGCTGGGAAGTCCAAGATCAAGGCAATGGCCAATTCTTTGTCTTGTGAGGGCCTGCCTCCTTGTTTATAGATGACGTCTTCTCATTGTATCCTTACATGGCAGAAAGAGACAAAGTAGTTCACTGGAGTCTCTTTTATAGGGACACTAATTTCATTCATGAGGATTCCACTCACATGAGGCCCTCGTCTTCTAATATCATCACATTGGTGATTAGGTTTTAACATACGAATTGAGGGTGGGGGAGACACACACATTCAGACCACAGTAGCAATATTCTAATTAGCCTTTTACATATTGTATTATAGACCAACAAGCTCAACCACCTTGATATATATAAACGAATGTATCAACTCATTCTGTTTGGGAATGGAGGAAAGATCACTGATATTTAAAATAAACTTTAATCTTATCACTTAAATTAACTGCTAGGTTGTTGCCCTGGAATGATCCAAGAGGCAGGCTTTATGGACAAATAAAAATTACTCTGAAACCAGTGTTGTACTCATCTGACATTTTGGTCTCCCCAGCAGTAATCCCAATTTTTTTCCCTCTGGTTGTGGTACTTGGGTTTATCTTTGGGGAAACAACCTTCACTCACTCTCTCAAACCATGTGGTCATGGGACCTTGTCTTAACCCCTCTACATGTTCCATTCCCCCTATCTCAGTGATGGGTTCAGATGTGAACGAAACAGCCAATTAGTTGGTTTGGGGACTTTGATTCCCAGAATGCCTAGTTCAAAGTAAGTGCTCCATAAACTTGCTGTTGTTATTGTTATTATAAAAGTAATCATCAGTAATTACTAATCAGTAACCATCAGTTGCCCTCATCCAGATGCAATTCAATGCAGTTCAATTAAATATAAATATGTTATATTCCTAAATATGTTGAGGCTGAGGACAAATTTAATAAATTTCAGTGCATATCCTTAAAAAACTATCAGCTTAATAAAGGACACTATTTAATTGCAATCAATGTAGTCAGGGCAATGACAAAATAAATAATACTTTGAAATCATAGGGAGAATTTAGGGAGAATTGGCTGTGGATCAGGCTCTGTGCCAAAAAAAATTGTATTCATTCCATAATTTAAGCCTCATAATAATCTTGGATGTGGGCACTACTATTATCTCATTTTAGAGAGGAGGAAACCAATCAAAAGGAGGCTACATAACATGCCCACGCTCACACAGCTATTAAGATGCAGGATCTAATCCAGAGTTGAGAGGAGGTTGAAAAAGGGATGTCTGCAATGAGTGCTAAAGGATCAGTAGGAATTTGCAAAGGCAGTAAAGTAGAGAAAGGGAATCTCAGTGGAAGTAATGCTTGTGCATGACCCAGAGGTATGAGTTAGAATGTTGTATTCTGGCAACTATTAGTTCAGCATTTCTGGAGCAAAAGTGTGCGAGTGTGTGTGAGTGTGTGTGTGTGTGTGTGTTTATCAGCAAGTGGGAGCAGATAAGGCTGGGTATATTTTAGGAACTGTGCTGCTTAAATTTGATCACAGTCCACAGTCTTAATTAACTAGGCCTTATACAAATGCAATTGCTGTGACAAATCAAAGATACCATGAGAATAATAGAAATGATCACTTTTGATCCAGAGCAAGTTCTATCTCATCTCAGCAATGCTGTTTCTCTGTCAGATGACTGTCTCCTCCTGGGCCATAGTTCTGCTTTTGTGGAGTATAATTTCATAGATGGAACTGAAAATGAATTAGTTCGTTTGACAGGATTAAGGGGTCTGTCCTCATCAAATATTTTCTTCAGTACAGAAATCTATCAGATGCTGCCCAGAGGAGGCTTGTTCAGCATTTGTATCGCTCATCTTATTACAGACCACTTGACTACACATTTGCACGGCTTTCCCTGCACCCAGGTCACCAAACAAACTGGGTAGTCTTGGTTTATAAACAAGCAGCCAGGGTGAAAGGCACTACATAAGGCCATGACTAAAAGAGCTCCATCTGACTTCTAAAACAAAGGGTGTCACTTTTAGGAACTGATTCTTTTAATTCAATGACTTTATGTAAAAAGGAAACATTATTACCTTACTATAAGTGGAAAACTGGTATTACATTCTCTGCGGTCAATATAAAAATAAATACAACAATAAAAAGATTACTGATTATAGTTAGACACTATTGTCTTCCTAAGGTGAAATCCTCAGTTTCTTTTAAGAAGTTGGAGATGAATATATTTTTGAGAGGTGTTGAAGACATGATAATACTAAATTGAGATTTTCTCCTTCAATGTAGCAAAAGGATAGAAGGAAATGGAAACAGGAACAATTGGCCAGGCGCGGTGGCTCACGTCTGTAATCCCAGCACTTTGGGAGGCCGAGGTGGGCGGATCACTTGAGGTCAGGAGTTTGAGACCAGTCTGGCCAGCGTGGTGAAGCCCTATCTCTATTAAAAATACAAAAATTAGCTAGGTGTGGTGGCGCATGCCTGTAGTCCCAGCTACTCGGGAGACTGAGGCAGGAGAATGGCTTGAACCCAGGACGTGGAGGTTGCAGAGAGCTGAGATGCTCCATTGCACTCCAGCCTGGGTGACAGAGCAAGACTCCATCTCAAAAAAAAAGAAGGAACAATTTATTTACTCTGTACTTCAGTTGCTATTTGGTGTCACCTGTACTATTATCTGAAATGATTTTATTTAGCAGTGGTATGACCCCTACGCACTGAACACAACGAAACATTCCCTTCCTCTCCTGTTCTTTTATTGCCTCTTCTAGCAGCAGGAGAGAGAAAGAACCAGTGCTCTCCTTAATGCTGCACAATATCCTGATAGCTTTCAATCCAAGATCACTTTTATTTAGATCCAATTCAAGAACTAAGCACATTAATTGAAAATATACACAAAGGAAACTATAAAATATGAAGGAACTGCAACATATGTAGCCTAATTTTTTCAGTTGGCATTCACATTAAAAAATGTACAAACCAAGGCTAACATTTCTTGAAGGACAGCTCAGTTTCCACACTGTCCCCTTGATGAAAAGCACCAGACTGAGAAGTCATCAATCTAGTATCTTAAGACACAGTTAATCGCTGAATTTGGAACACAGCTTTCAGCACCTGGATGCTCAGGAAAAAATATTAAGCAATCAAGTTTTATCAGTGATGACCAATAAAAGAGAAAAAGCTAAATTCAGCCCTAAATTCCATTATCAAGATGGGTTGGGATGAGCAACCTACAATA
This sequence comes from Homo sapiens, assembly GCF_000001405.40. Lineage (NCBI taxonomy): Eukaryota > Metazoa > Chordata > Mammalia > Primates > Hominidae > Homo > Homo sapiens. The sequence continues at coordinate 68,516,162 of NC_000003.12, read as the reverse complement.
TTCTTAAAGGACCAGTGACCTTGACTGCTTTGGATTGTGAGAGAAATGAATTTCAAAGATGAAATAGGAAAGTATGTCACTGCAAAGATGCATAGAGGTACTCTCTCATGTGAACAGAGACCAATATATCTGCTTTTACTGATCAAAGTGAAAATGTAAATTGCATTTGGGAAGTAAGGGCCAGTGCAGCCTGCAAATAATGCTTGGTTTCTACACACTTGAAACTTCTTAGGCTACTATGCTTCAGGTGGCTCTAAGAGGGGGTGCTAATTTCAAGAGGAGCTCGTGTTCACAGTTTAAGAGGTTTCATAAGGAAAAAAAGGGGATAATTGTTGAGTAAACCCTAAGTGTATAGCACTCCATCTAATGCTTGCAGCAATCCTGGGAAGAAGATCATTATTATCCACATTTTACACATAAGGAAGGTAAGGTTCAGATTTTAATTAGCCCAAGCTAGTGAATGGCAAGGTTTAAGGTTCAGGCTTTTATGGACCCCACATTTTGATATCTTTTTTGATTTCATAATGCTTGTTAGAATTATTATATGAGGCTTGGTGATGTCAACATCAATTTGTCACATAGCTCTTATTTCTACATACCTAGCATCTGCTCCCTTCTCTTCTGGGAACAATACTTTAATTTTCCTTTGGGGAGCTACTCTCCCTACGGTGTTAGTCAGATGCTTTAGGTGGAGCTAACCATACTTCCTGGAAACAGAGGTGGCCACATGACCAGGCTGGTCCAATCAGATCATCCATCTCTTTCTGGCTGAAACACTGTTGGAAAAAACAAATAGCTATGCCTCTCCTTGAGAACTATGATTCCTCTCCTGCTGAAGCTGGGCTGGCTCTAGTTACTTGCTTGAACAAATGAATGTAACCCAAGTAACATTCTAGGATTTCTTAAGGTAAGTCATAAAATGTTTTGCAGCTTCCACCCACCCTTTTTAGACTCTTATTTCTGGGAGTCCTGAGCCAGCCTATAAAAAAATCCTACAGCCCTGACACTACCATACTGGGAAGTGCACATGCAGATGCTACAGTTGATCATCCCAGCTGATCCCAGCCTTCCAGCTGTCTCCTTCAAGCCAAGGTAAATGAGCCATTTTGAACTTTCACAACCAATTCAGTCACCAGCTGAACACCATGGACCTCTGTCCATGAGTAGTTTGAAACAATAGCCATTTTATTACATCTCTTGTTTATTCTGAAGAATCATCCTGCCAAACCTTATCCAAATTGCTACCAATAAAAACATGAGATGTAATAAAATGGCTATTGTTTCAAACTACTAATTTTGGGGCTGTCATATACAACTAAAAACTGGAACAATCTCTTTGGCCACAGTGACTGATTCAGAAATAGGCTTGTGACCTAAGCCAACCAATAATTTTCAATTCCAGGATTTTTTCTAATGATATTGGGAAAAAACGTTTTTTTTTTTCATTGCTGGGTGGTACCCTGGTGTTATATAAAACTAGGCCTGTTGGTAGCATTTTTATTACTACTGAGGCACAGCTTGTTTGAGATGGAACCCAATGTAGAAGAAAACAGAATAGAAAGATGGAGAGAGAGATAGTGATGTCTGAAGTCAGTCATTGCCTTGGCCTTATATTTCATGGCCAGAAAACTTTTTGTTTAAATCAGTTGAATGGCATTTCTTGCTCCTGAAAGAATTTAAACCAAGAAAAGCCATACTGGGGGAGAAAAGTAAAATGAGAAGTAAATGGTTACAAACAATGAAAGGAAGGCTCTCTACACATATATATTTATATACCTATGCATATTTGTAATTCATGTCAAAGGCACTGTTTCAAAGTTGGAGGTATGCAAAAAGAACAAGATAAGCTTAAGGACCACATTTAAAAATATTTTGCCATATCTATATAGAAGGGCTCTCAGTTCAAAGGCCATTTTAATCTTTCCAAATATACTTCTGCAATGGACTGATGTTTATGTTCCCCCAGAATTCATACATTGAATTCCTAACCTCCAAAGTGATAGTGTTAGGAGGAGGGCCTTTTGACATAAGGATGGAGCCCTCGCAAATGGGATTAGTGCTCTTATAAAAGAGAGCCCAGAGAGATTCCTCACCCCTTTTGCCATGTAAAGTCAGAGAAGACAGCTACCTGTGGGGAAGTGGCCCTCACCAGACACTAAATCTGCAAAGCACCTTGATCTTTAACTTTCCAGCTTCCACAACTGTGAGAAATAGACGTTGTTTATAAGCCACCCCATTTGGTATTTTGTTATGGTACCCTGGAAAAACTAAGACAATTCCTAAACAGAAAGAAAAACTGTATAGTTTGATCAAAAGCTACTTGAGAAAAAATAAATAAGCAGAATAGTATGGTAGTCAAAACTATCAGCTTATGTCTCAATGGGCAAGTTACTCTGATGACCTGAGTTTTACTTTCTTTATCTGTAAAATGGAAGTAATACCTGTCCTGCTTTATAGTCTTTTTTGTTTTTTAAATTAAATGAGTTAGTGTTTCTCGAGGCAATAGGAAATAGGCAAGTAAAACCATGTTAGGGCTCACAGTTTGGAGGGACTTATTTGAATGCATCAGGCTTTATGAAATAGGTAGTGGTCTACATCCACAGAAAAGATATGGACATGACTTCTGAGGTTGATGCTAAAAAAGCTAACACTATGGCTGTCAAATAAGATAACTACTAGCCACATGTGGATATTTAAATTTAAATTAATTAAAACTAAATAAAATTAAAGTTCCTTCTCAGTCATACCAGCTACATTTCAAGTGCAAAACAGCCACATATGGCTAGTGGCTACCATATTGAATGATACAGAATAGAACATTTCCATCCCTACAGAAAGTACTATTGGACAGTGGTGATCGATCTGGTACAGCAGATCATTCTATCTACATGGCATTTGTTAGCCATCACTTGGCACAAACTCACTACTCCTTCACTCCCACCACTCCTAAAAGAGTTAGAAGATCTGACTTTCACTTCCTTTCATGTCTTATGTTCACCACTCTGGAGGCACCTGTGGATGAAAAGTGGAATGGAATCATAAAAAAACCTGGGCATTGATACCATGTTTGCCATCGATATTGGTGAGAACTCCAGATAATCACATCATGTTAATGAGCCTCAGATTCTCATCTGTAAAGTGAGTCTACCACACACAACATGGACCTCCATCCATGACATGTAGAACCACCCACTTTGCACGGTTGTTGAAATTGCCTGAGAGAACACTGGTGCTTTGAAAAATGTACAAAGGTGGAGATGGACAAAGTTCTCCAAAGGTGAATTTTTTTCTAAAGAGGACTTTCTCAAGGTTTAAATTAATAGTTCATGTAACAACGTAATCAAGATCATGAGTTCTGACACCAGAAGAAACAGGTTTTTTTTTGTTAACTTAAATCCTACTTTTAGTCACTTAGTAGTTATAAGGTCCTGGACATTAAAAACAAACAAACAAACAAACAAACAAACAAACAAACAAACAAAAAACCAGCAAAAAACCACCCAGAACTCTTTTACCCTCTTTTCTCATAAAATGAAGGAATAAAACCCACCTAGCAGCAATGTTGTGCTGATTAAGTAAGATAACATGCTCTTTATATTGTGTCAGGAGCACAGAATGAAGTAAGAATTATTAGCCAATTCTCTTGGCCCTGGACCTTCCACAGGCCATTGCATGAACTTCAATCAGTACATATGCAAGATGGTAATAGGACTGTATCTGTATTTTTTGTGGCAGGTAGAGAAAATTGCAGACAGCTAATAATACCAGCATCTATTTTCTTTTAAAAGTACATTACTTTAAAAGGCTCATTATTCTTTGTGTTGAAAAAATAGTTTCTACTGTTAAGTGAATTCCTACTATTTTTTAGAGTAATATTTTGGAAGCATCTCAGTTCTATATTGTGGGAAGCAAATACAAAAGTCCACTAAATGATGAAAGACACAGATTGAACTTAGTAAGTAAATCGATAAGTCTAGTTATTGGTACACTCCTCTGTGCATCACGTGAAGCATTTAAGCAAGTGAAGTGGTTAAGAACTTTATCACTGGAGTTGGTGAGATCTAGGTTTAAGGGACCTTGATCAAGTGATTTAACTTCTGTAAACCTTGGTGCCCTTTTTATTAGATAGGGATAATCATAATGTTCTTATCTCATAGGGTTGTTGAGGTAATGATATATGAAATGAGTTAATACAGAAAGACCTTAGAAGAGGACTTGTCATATGTAAGTGCTATCTATGTTATTGGTGATGATAATGATGGCCATTATCATCATTTATACTATGCAGAACAATTCCAGGTATGCAACAAGTATCTAATTAAATATTGTGTATTACTTATATTTATCTACTATAATTTTAAAATAACATATTTGATTTTAGTTTGAATAAGTAAATGATGTTGACAGTTGTAATAAAGAGATTTACAATCAGGAAATTAAGTTTATCTGTGGTAACTAAGACTACCAGGAAAACATTCAACTATCATAAGCCTGGTGACCATTAATCTATATTTAATTATATTATGTTAAAATTTTAAACTACTTTTCAACCAAATTGCTGTTAATATGTAGTTATTTAAAGTAAGATATACCTTAGAATCATTTTAAGGCATGAAAACCTCATGGTATTTACCCAGTTCACACTGGATTGTCTCAATTCAATACAGTTTAGGTTTTTATCGTTTTGTTATAAGAAAACTAGTTACCTTCTCCAGTGTAATTCTAGCCAAGATCTAGAGGAAATAATTTATTTCAACTTGTCTGCTAGTAGAAATATATGATTAGAAATCTACTGAAGCTAAGAAAATAATTAAGTTAATAACACTTATGGCAACTACGTCTGCTAATAGTAGTATTTGCACATTTGTTTTCATACCTGTTACTTCATGTTTAAATTCATCACACCAAGGCTGAGCCTTATTTCCATATTTATTGCTACCCAGATATTTATACTATATGTTTGTTTAAAAAACAGCAATGGGTGTAATCTTGAATGGGCAAAGCAAATAAAGTACGATTGCAAAAGTTCTAATGAGTTTTTTCCCCTTTCAGGGACAAGAAAATAGCTAGCATAGTTGAGAGGCACATTTGCATTTGAGTCTCTTTAATGTATACTCTGGAAAATCAATACAATAGATATCTGACCTTTCTCCTGTACTTTTGAATAAGCAAGAACAGACAGAAATCAAAACGTGTAAAATCTTTAGGAATGTAATGAGCTGGTTTATATCAGAGGACACATTTCTAACTTACATTTACCTGGTAGCCAAACAAGAAAATTAACTTGCCTATGTCTTCCTGTTACATTTTTTTGCAGAACCCAATAAACCTGTCACCTTCTTGCATTTTTATTTTTGTTTTATTCATTTTACCTTTACTATGCAAAAGAGACAGTGGGAAGAAATTGAATTGGGAGTCAAAATTCCCCAGTGTACATCTGCCCTCTGTTGTTAATTAACTATGTCACTCATTTGACTCACTCAACTTTTTTGAGTCTCAGTTTATCCTAAAAAGTGTGTAAATTCTAAGTTTTAGATGCAATATAACCTATTTAGCAATATTGTGTGGACTGTTGGCTACATAGGCAGCCGAGACTTACAGCTCAGGCTTTTGCCCCAAAACATGCAACTGGGAAATGTGATACTGTACCCAGTCAACCATGCACAGTGGCTCCCTGGTTTAAAAGGGATGCAGGCTGCTCTTCAGGAGATGGGAGAGTTAACATTGTGCTTCCTGTAGTTCAAGATGGTATGATTGGGCCTGAATCCTCACCTCTGAAATGTCTACTTTCTGTCCTTTAAGCAATGGACATACAATGATGGCCAAAGCCCTGTCCATTCCCTTCCCTTGAGGTGCTCTAATGGGGAGATGGCCAAGTTAACAGGACATTATGGTTGAGTATAATATGTCCTATTGCAAAGACAGCAATGGATACTAAGGTAGCAGAGGTGAGGGGTAACAGACTCTGCCTACGAGAGTGATTAAGGAAGATTTATGTTAGTGGACAGTGATCCAAAGCAGGATGGGAAAGAGCACTGCAGGGAGAGGGATGAGGCTTTGCAAATGCCTGAACCCGAGAGGAAGCATGGAGCAAAGAGATGGGGACAGACCATTAAGGATATGATAAGCCATGATAATGGCATTGAACTTTATCCCGAGACAATGGGGACTTAAAATTGGGAAGTTACATATAACATGAGTCTTTCTTAGCTTGAGTCAAGAGGGCATAAATTAGTGGTAATAGCCCACTCTGGAGCCAGTTGCCTCAGCAAAATGGATCCAGTTCCCTTCAGCCCCTTTTCATTCTCCCTTTCAGGAAACTATTTCCCTGTGAGGCATTTCCCATCCTCTGCTCCCTGGCAGTGTCTGTTCTGGGGACTTTCCTTTGCTCTTCTTGTGTAATTCTCTCCAAACAGAGAGAGTTCTGGTATCTGAAAAGGATCAAACTAATACATTACCTTTACATAGCTGGTAATGGCTGGTAATGACAGGATATGTTACCCTTTCAAGAGGCTTTGGGTTTTAAAAATAATTGTGATTATAACAGTGATGCTTCAAAAAGTCTTCCATTTTTTTCATGGCTTCTACTAGTCCTTGCCCATAAGCATATCTATTTTCACTTGATTTACATGAAAATCCAGATAGTATTTTGAATGTTTTTTGTTGTTCCTGTAAAATTAAGAATTAGTTTTGTCTTGATAATGGCCTAACCTAGTGGAAGAGTGGAATTTTGCATTTCAGGAGACAGGCCTGCAAAGGAGATACACACAGACAAGACCATGACGGAAATCTTGTCAGTGTCCTTCAATGACCTCCACAGCTGCTTTTTTCTCTACCTTGACGCAGGGTAGGATGGACATGAAACGAACTCTAATGAGACCACATGTGCTGATGACATTTCATTAATTAACTTGATACATTCTTTCTTTCCCCATGGGACCAACCCACACAGAATTTCCCCAGGCAATTTTGGTAATCAAAGTGACAACCAATAATACATATGAAGTACCTAGCACTGTGCCTGACATTTACCAAGTGCTCAATGAATATTAATTTTCCTTCCTTATCATAGAGACTGGAGATTGACAATGGTGCATCAACACTTGGAGGCCAATGTGACAGCAATTACCAAGTTGGACTCTTGGGTTAGACAGACCAGAATTGGACTCTTGGCCTCATTGCTGTTTCTCAAACACACCCACACCATGATGCTATCTTTGGGCCTCTGCTCTTCTTCCTTCTGTTGTCTCAATTCTCTTCCCTCATGCATTTACTTGGCCAGCCTTCTCATCTTCTTCTAGTGATCACTGAACTCTTACTTGCCCTATGAACTCTATCTATACCACTTTATTTAATGTTGTTACTTGCCTCTACTTCTTCCAACACTACGAATCTACCTTAATCTACTATATTTTTTCATGCACTATAATTTCCTGATTTTGTATATATTATGTCTATTGGTGTTATTTTTGTCTGATTTCCCTCATAAGAATGTAAGTTTCTCAAGGATGAAGATCTTTTTCTGCCTTATTTGTGCATGCATCTCAGATATGTAGGATTGTTTTTAGCACAGAGGAGCCAAAAATCTTTGTTGAACGAATTAATGGTTACTTCATGAGTTGTGTGATCACTGGAAAAGATGCTTGACCTTCCTAAACATATAGAAAGTAGGAAAACTAACAGTATCCACAGCATAGAGTTGCTAAGAAGAGTAAATAAGATAACGAAGAGTTTGACACCCAGTGAAAGTTCAATAACTGTTGTAAAAGATTTAGGGCAAACCTAAGATGTCTTTCTGAACACTAAGATTTTTTTCAGGTAGTTATGGACTGCATGTTTATGTCCCCTTGAAATTCACATGTGAAAGCCCTAATCACCAATCTGGCAGCATTTGGAGTAAGCAAGTAATTAAGGTTAAAAAAAAAAGATCATATGGGTGGGGCCCTGATCTGACAGGATAAGTGTCCTTATAAGAAAACACATCAGAAAACTCCTCTTCCACCTTACTGCATACGCCAAGGAAAGGCCATGTGAAGCCATAGTGAGAAGATGGACATCTGCAAGCCAAGAAGAGAGCCCTCATCATAAATGTAATGGGCTGGAATCTTAACTTGGACTTCTAACCTCCAGAACTGTGACAAAATAATTCCTGTGTGTAAGCTGCCCAGTCTATGGTTATTTTGTTATGGCAGCATGGGCTGGCAAATACACGTGTTTAGATTTTTTGGTATATCTTGCAAAGGAGAACTGACATCTAAATAAATACTACTTTGTAATAACATGACATCATGTTTCTTGTGAGGTCAAAACACTTTCTCATTACTTAGGTTATATACTATCACCATCATCCCAAGCACAATAGGGGTTGTGCGGTTTTTGTATTTTATCTTCATTGCCATTTTGCATGTGGAGAAATGGGTCTGGGTTGGTTAAGAGGTGTACATAAAATCATACAGTGAGATATGCTAAGAACCTAAGTGTCTGACTCAAAGATGTCTTTATCACACTACGATGCTTCCCAAGACCAAGTCTTATTGAAAATATAACAACTTTAGAGCCTAAAAATCTTGTGAGCTCCATAATCATTTAATAGAACAATACCTGTTTCTTCATTGCAAACACAGCTTAAGTATAGGTAGAAGGTACTACAAAGGGGAGAAGGGGTGAAGAATTCTAGACGCTAGTTTTAATCAACTGTTTTTGCCCTGATCTGACAACCTGGTAATCATGTTATATAATTTAAAAAGCATAATAATATATTTCATTTTTTCCATATAAATAAATAATATTTTAATATAACCTTTTAAATTTTTTGTCTCAGTAGTAGGGATCTCTTTCCCTATCCTGTCTCATCATGGTTCTCCATTAGTCTATGTTTTCTATTTGCTTTTGAGCAGATAATTTCATCTTTAGTTTAGTTTTAGGGCCCAGTGGTGGCTCTATGGTAAAATAAGCTAACTGGCTATCCAAGGGCTGGCCAGCAGGTTTAATTCAAGTTCTAATCCAGCCATTGCTAGTGGCTGCCTAAGGCATGGTGTTTAAGGTTCTGAAGCTGTGTCTAGATTTCACGAGCAAGAGAACTGTGATTGATTATCAATGTCTGCCCTGGTGAGAAGGACAGAACGGCAGCAGGAAAGCTATGAATTTGCTATGCATGGCCCAGAACTTAAAATATCGAAGACCTTCCTGCATCACAGGCTTTGCGTGAGGCCATAATAAACACCCTTCCAGCCCAGAAAAATAATGTAGAATATTCTATTGCCATACAATATGTATTTCTGATTCATTTGCACTGTGGCTGCCTTTGAGAATAATTTAAATGAAATGAAATGAAAGGGTATATTTTAGTCATTTTGAAAAGAAGGGCATTTTGGGGAACATTTCATCTGACAAATTTGTTGAAATGGGCATTGTTAGGTTCTCAGCTAGAGCAACCAGGAAAAATGTCTTCTATGAAATATGTTAAAATATATTTAACATTTTCTCAATGCTAGAGCAGCTATTTCACCTTGAGTTATCAGGCTTCAATGACTAATATTTTGACCAATCAGACCATAACAAATGCATACCAGTGGAGCACAGCGTTGCCCTGATTATGCCCACACAGTGTTTCCACCAGCTTTCAGATCCTGGTAACAAACCTGGATTGTAAACTGATAAAGCATATTTGCTCTGTGTGTGTGTGTGTGTCTCTGTGTGTGTGTGTTGAACACACCCTAAGGTGACCCCTAATGATTTATGTCCTTGGGTCATCTCTGCTTAAGTGTGGGCAGGACCTGTGAGTCAGTTTTAAGAAATAGAATGTGGCACTGGTGATGGGAATGCCACTGTGTTCACAATAGCAAAGACTTGGAACCAACCCAAATGTCCATCAGTGATAGACTGGATAAAGAAAATGTGGCATATATACACCATGGAATACTATGCAGCTATAAAAAGGATGAGTTCATGTCCTTTGCAGGTACATGGATGAAGCTGGAAACTATCATTCTCAGCAAACTAACACAAGAACAGAAAACCCAACACCAGATGTTCTCACTCATAAATGGGAGTTGAAAAATGAGAACACATGGACACAGAGGGGGGAACATCATGCACTGGGGCCTATCAGGAGGTGGGGAGGTAGGGGAGGGATAGCATTAGGAGAAATAACCTCATGTAGATGACGGGTTGATGGGTGCAGCAAACCATCATGGCACATGTATATCTATGTAACAAACCTGCATGTCCTGTACAAGTATCCCAGAACTTAAAGTATAATAATAATAAAAAAAAAAAGAAATAGAATATGGCACTAGTGATGGGAATGCCACTCCCATGATTGTTTTATTGTATAAGACTCCTTCTTGGTAGACTAAAGAGATTTTCTTGCTGGCCTTGAAGAAGCAAACCACCATGTTGCAAACTGCCTGTGGGAGGGGTCTTGTGGCAGGGAATTGCAAGTAGCTTCTAGGATGTTGAGCAGGCTCCATCTGGCAGCCAGGAACAAGCTGGGTCCCCAGTCATACATCTGCAAGGAAATAATTTCTGCCAACAGCCTGAAGGAGCTTGGAAATGGAATCTTCCATAGTTAAGCCTCCAGATGAGAACACAGCCCAGCTGGCACTGATTGCACCCTGGTAAGACATTGAGAGGAGGATTCAGCTAGGACATTCCTGAACTTCTGACACACAAACATTTTGAGTTACTAATGTGCATTGTTTTAAGTGCTAGATTTGTGTAATGTGGTTTGCAGAAATAGAAAAGTAATACAAAGTAACAGAGATGAATTTAAAATGTGACCCTTAAACTTGCATAATGTGATTATAAGGTTACAACCATGCTCACAATGCCAGTGAGTGTAAGAGAAGCTGTTAAAAGATAAAAAGCTAAAGACTTTGGAAGAATACAGCTTGCATCATATGTGACTATTCCCAGGACAGTAGTTTGTAACTTTTTGTGTTTGGTTGAACACTTGAAAAGTGTAAAATGTTTCTCTCTCCACAGTTACTTATTATTATCCACTTGATTATCCTCCGAAACCTTGTCCCTGTTTGAGTAGAACAATTTACTGACCTGGCTGCAGTTTTACATACTCAGGAGGTAGCTCTTGCACATTTCAGCAAACATGCTTTGATCTTTGGTGTCTGCTTAATAGGCTGCCATACTTCTCACCCCTACTCGCAACAAGACACACTCTGTTCTTACCATTCTGCATGCCCACAAATGTTACAATCTGACAACCTTTTCTTATAAACTTGTTTCTGAGTAGATACCCTCCTCACTTTTAGCAGGAATAACTTGCATTCTTGATCATACTTTGATCCCTTTGAAAGGGTCATGGTACATCTGTGTACCATAGCACAGGTTGAAACCTGGCCCCACTACTTTTGGAGAGACTTTTACTTTTACTGAACATTGATATTTTTGTTGCTGCAGATGGGGAATATTTTAAAGCTCATTAGCTTAACTGTTAAGAGGTTGGATGGTAAATTTGTGGTGAGGGGATAAGAAAAAGGTGAGGTACAATTTTGATTTGGTAAAGGATTCCTTTTCTGTATTAAGGGGCTGAGTCAGATATGAGGACACTTGATACATAGTGACATGACAGGGATAGCTGCAGATCTCTTACAATTGTGTGCCTGTGTGGACCAGGTGAAACTAATCAAATCAATTTAAAGCTCCAGTGGCAGACAATGTAGGAACAATGTGGCTGTCATGCTTGGATCATGGTATCAGCCCTAGTTAAGATGCTCCAGGAATGCATGCCAGAGTCTAGGGAGACCCCTCATGGGGCCGTTGCAGGCAAATGCATACTGCTTGCTCTGGGAACAATTTGTGCTTGGAGCAATTCATGTTAGGATGGCAGCTAAGGGGCCCTGCTGGCTTTCAACACAAAGGTCTAGCAAGCAGTTTCTCTGTGGCTCAACTCAGAGAGCTGGGCAAGAGGGACTAGGTTTTATGCGAAAGAAAGATCCTTATGGAATAATGTTTACGACAGACTAAGGGGACATACAAACTCCAAGGCTGGAAATATTTACCCTTTGCTTTATATTTGGTTATACATAAATAAGACTAAAATGTGATTATTAGCCTTTTTCTTGTCCCTTCTCCACGTATATTATGCTTTAAAAATATATAATCCTCCAAAAAAGCAGTCAATTAGGTATGCACTAAAATTCAGTTTGTGTACATTGGATTAATTATTTCTGTGGTTCCCAAGTTTATCCAAATTATATGATTATGATAATATAATGATGATGATCAAGGTAATTGTCATTATAATTATCATCATCTTTTTACTTAATCATTCTCTTAGCATTAAGCATTTTGTTCAAATATAAAAATAAATCTATGAATGCTGTTCCATTAACTCTCTTTCCAAAATATTATTAGAAAATGATGCCCTTTCCTGGAGAAATGGAAACTTAATAGGTTTTCATCAGAAAGGCCTCCCTACTAGGAATGATTTTTCAAAAAACGATTCGGTAAAATTCACATAACTAAAACTCATGACTTCAAGTATTTTAAAGTGTACAAATCAGTGGCTTTGAGTATATTCACAATGTCAAGTCATTGCCACAAGTTAATTCCAGAACATTTTCAGGATCCCAAAAGGAAACCCTCTTCGAATTAAGCATCATCATTTTCCTCTCCTCACAGCCCCTATTGACCTCTAGTTTGCTTTCTATCTCTATGGATTTACCTATTCTGGACATTTCATATCAGTGGAATCATACAATATGTGGCCTTTTGCACCTGGCTTCATTCACATAGCAGGTTTTTCAAGTTCATTCATTTTAGTGCAGGCTAAGTATCCCTTATTTGAAATGCTTGTGACAAGAAGTGTTACAGATTTCAGGTTTTTTGGGTTTTGCAGTACTTGTACATACATAATGAGATACTGTGGGGATGGGACCTAAATCCAAACACAAAACCTACGCATGTTTTATGTGCACCTTATACACAGCCTGAAGGTAATTTTATTTTTCCCTTGGGGACACTAAATAATCTATGTGTGTTGTTCATCTGCATTTCGACTCACTTGACTTGTCACATGAGATCAAGTATGGAACTTTCCACTTGTGCTGTCATGCTGGCACTCAAAACACTTCAAACTTCAGAGTAGGTCAGATTATGGATTTTTGGATTAGGGATACTTGGGCTATACATCATTCCTTTTTATGGCAGAATAATATTCCATTGCATGGATACATCACATTTTGTTTAGCTATTCCCCCGCTGGTGGGCATTTGGGCTGTTTCCACCCTTTGGGGATTATGAATAGTGCTGCTGTGAACATTTGTGTAAGAGTGTTGGTCTGAATACATGTCTTCAATACTTTAGAATCTTAGAATAATGCTTGGTTTTGTGTCTTTTGTGGGGAAAATCTTCAGACCTGGTCAAAACTGTTATAGATGATGCCATAGCTCTTTGCATATTGTGTCTCAGAGTATTAAGAAGGAGCTGTTTTACTTGGGAGGGTGAAGGTGAATGTGGCAGATCAAAAGTACATGGGGCTGGGGAGAATCAGGGGGGAATAGGCAAGCAGAAAAAAATAACTGGGTCCTCTCTGAAATAACTCTAATTTCTCATAATCTGCTATATTGGTAGTATTGACATGGTGTCTATTGTCTGTGATTATTAGTATGACTGTCTACATTCATCTGTGTTTCCAGAAAAATAATCAGTTTCTACCCAGTTTGTCAATTTTTAGTAATCCATCAATGGTCTGAAATAATTAGGATATTAATGCCCAAAATAGTATATTTGGGCATGGTAGCTGAGGTTTCATAAGTAACTATTTTGTGTTTGGTGAAAGTCTTTTTTTTTCTGTGTGTTCTAAAGCACAAGAAGGCTCAAATTTAATTTTCTGAGTAAGCAATAAAAAGAGTAATTATAAACCTTATCTGTAAAACAGAATTAATTATAGGGTTGCTATGAAGATTAAGTAACTTAATATGTTTAAATTGCTTAGAATGATGCCCTTGCTATGAAGCAACCATTATATCATGATTATTACTCATTTAATATAAGAGAGCAAAAATAGTATTATAAAAAGTAAATCAAACTACGTCCTCCACTTGCTTGAAAGCCCTTCAAGGTTTTCTCACTTTGCCAAATCAGTAAAGAATTTCCATGTACTAAGGCCCAGCTTGAATGATTGGGTTTCTAACCTCCCAAATAGTTTGGATTATTTTTCTTCTAGCTTACTTTGATTTTCTTTCCTGGAGGAGATCAAGATTTTCCTGCCAGAGGGCCTTGGCACCTGCTTTTCCTATGCATGTCCACACTACACGTCTCTATGCTGTGTCCAAACTACACTTCTGTTGGCTAGTTGCTCCTCCTCTTTCTTATGGGACATGGCTTCAATATCACTTTCTCCTGGATACTGTCCTTGCTAAAAGAGATTCATTCCCCCATTACTAATTTCTATTTCTTCTCCTTTTGGCTATGGTCAAATAATAGCCTAATTATAACCTGCAGTTTGTAAATTATCCACTGACCACAGTTTTGTCTATCCTTCCAACTCTCTGCAACTTACCTGTCCACTGTCATCACTCTTGTGGTTCCCGCATTTAGCACAGTGTTTAGATATTCATGGTATATATTGATTAAATATTTGGTAAACAAACATAATTTCCAAATAGTTTTCATTTCCATTTCTGGAAAGTAGAGTTAAGTAAGTATTTTATAAGTATGATTATTTTATACACTCTCATGGTAGGTATTATCAATTCTCTTATTTTAATAACATTTTCAGATTATTTATTTATTGCTTTGCATATTCCGTGGCTTTTTTCCTCAAAGGATTTGAGATGACAAATTCTGTCAAGCCTCGGTTATGACCTGCATTCACTTAAGGCATGGTTTGACTTCGCAGTATTCATTTTATACAGTAATTCAATTTTCAATAGAGTCAGCAAAAGATGAGAGAATTAAGAGTAAAAAGATCTAAGTTTGGAACTAGATATTTACAGATTTTTGGCTCCCTAAAACATTTTCCCTTTTTTTTTTTTTTTTTTTTTCAGACAGGGTCTCACTCTGCTACACAGGCTGGGGTGCAGTGTCATGATCTCAGCTCACTACGACCTCTTCCTCCTGGATTCAAGTGATTCTCGTGCCTCAGCCTCCCGAGTAGCTGGGACTATAGGCGCTTGCCACCATGCCTGGCTAATTTTTTTTGTATTTTTAGTAGAGCCAGGATTTCAACATGTTGGCCAGGTTGGTCTCAAGTGATTTACTCACCTCAGGCTCCCAAAGTGCTGGGATTACAGGTGTGAGCCACCATGCCTGGCCCATTTTCCCCCTCTTTTGATAGCTGAATCTCAATTTCCTTTGGAGAATCATCTAGTTTCTACTCTCTGTTCATGAACTTCTGAAGTGGGGGTGTGCCTTCATCTTGATTAATCATAAATCGTGATCTTCTGGTCACAGTGATTGCTTAGGGTAGGAATAGGCAAACTTTTTTTTTTCCATAAAAGACCAGATAATAAATATTTCAGCCTTGTACGTCACATACTCATTGTCACAGCTACTCAATTCTGTCATGACATCACAAAAGCAGCATAGATGATATATAAACAAATGGGTGTGACTAAGTTACAATAAAACTTTATTAAAAACTAGTGGTGGACCAGACTTAGTCAGTGGATTGTTGCTTGCTGACTCCTAGTTTAGAGTACTGCTCCTCAAAGGGTGATTATCTGTTTGTTATTGCTGGTCTGTAACAAGTACAGACATTAAGAAGTTTTATAACAATTGGGCAGGGAATTTTATGTCTGAGAAGTCTAAAAACAAAGAATTTGGGCTTATATTTTATGTCCTTTCATTTTATTTTCATGCTAATTCATTTTTATTGTATTTTACAAAAGTATCGGCCCATGACAGATTGGGTATTTTTTAAGAAGAATAAAAAGGTCCTTCATGATGGAGAGTTTGAAAAGCACTGGTTTAGAACACAACATGACTTAAGCCAAGCCCATTAACCCAAACCAAGCTGATCCCATGACTCACCTAAAGAGACAGATTTCCTCCATTGGCACTCAAACCCAGAAAAAATGTGAGCTTGGAGTTGTTTAGAGCCATGTCAAAGAGCCTAGGAAGGAAGCCAACATAGTAGAAGGCACAACCAAAAGATGGGATGGAATGGGATGGAAACTGAGCACAGATGGCATCATTTGAGGCTATGCCTTAAGAAAACCTGTGGTTTATTATCGTGTACTTGCAGTCTGCTTCCCTCACTAATAAGCTTTATCCCTGGACTTTACTTGAATATAAGACTACAATTCCTTCCTGCTTCTTAAAAAAAAAAAAAAAAAGGAAAAGAAAAAAAAATTCAGTTTGAATTGGGTTTTCTGTCACTGATAACCAAGAGAATCTTGACAGACATACATTTTCAAAACTGCCCTTTGCTTCTAATAACTACCTGTGAGATATTAGAAAAATCACCTCCATTATTCATACGTTTATTTCTGCTACTATAAAACTAATGGGGTTTTATCAAATAATACCTTAGTTCTACTAGAACTTTAAAATGTGTTTTTGGTGGGGTTCACTCACCACACACTGGCTCACAGCCTGGCCCTCGCCCATAAGATAAATAAATACATAAAATAAAGTGTATTTTAGCTTACCTTTTCATGGTTAAATTGAAGATATTTATGATCTACATTTAAAACGTGAATTCAGAAATTTTAGTTTGTAGCATGTCTTCTCAAAAAAAAAAAAAAAAAAGAAAGGAACACAGAAAGAAAGAAAACAAAGAAGCAAGCTAGCTCCAAACAATAAACAAAAACAAAAAGCAAAAATACCCTCTCTACTAAGAATTCAAGGTTTGGTTCAGTCTGCCATTTTGGCAATGGCAGGCTTAAGAATGATTTGAATGCATCAATAAGCAGTAAGTAGCTTTTTTTTTTCTTTTAACATATAAAGAGTTTCTATGAAAAATTCTACCCTAGATATTTGTTATTCATATTAGTTTGTCCCTGACAAACAAAATGAGTTGTTTAGTATAAATGAAAATTCTGCACAGATCTCAGAAGATATTTTAATACCTAGGCTGCTTTAAAAGAGTAAGGAAAAATCGTATCTCTTTGATGATTTCTCCAGTTCCATTTTAATGACAAGAAGTTGACTACTTTAGTTTCTACCAGGATAAAGGGAAAAGACTGTTGCAAAAGTAGGAGAGAGAAAATTTACTTCTAGGCCCCAGCCTATACATGTCAAAAATCCCTTTTGCTGGAGACAGGCTTTCAAAGCTCCATTTCCCAGTAAGTGTTAAAAAATATATCTCCTTTACTCATGAAAGTCCCTGAAGACCATTTTAGTCAATCACGCTGGCAGCCAACCCTCTATACACAAGAATTACTTCAAATGTTTCTTTCTACATGGTGGCCACTAAAATAGTTTTCTCTCTCTCTCTCAAAAAAAAAAAAAAAAAAAAAAAAAAAAAAAAAAAGCCACCAAACGGCTTTGGGAGGAATTTTTATAATCCCAAATAGCCTTCTTCTAATCCTCTACTTGAATCAGCCTTCGAAGGAAAACTATCTTTGTGCCCTCAAGCTGTCTTGCATTTTCAGTGACATCTTGGGCTCTGTAATTACCATGTTTTCAGCCAAGGTCAGACATGGTCTTTTTTCCTTAAAATAATAAATTTCTCTGCTTTAAGGAAATGCAGATACTCAGACCCACTTAGCAACAATATGCTTTTGTAATTTGGTATTCATATTTTGCACAGCTGTGGCATTGTTCTTAGCCCCCAGCTTACGTTTAATCTCTGATTTATAACCCTGCCTCCTAGGTGTATCTTTGAGAGTGGGGACATTGACTAATTCATCTTTGCATCCCCAGTGCCTGGCTCAATACATATGTGTGGATTAAATGATTACAAAATAATATAATAATTATTGAGGACTTTCTCCATTCCAGGTGCTATTATAAATACTTTTCACACTTTTCATCCTCATTGCAACTTCATGAGGTAGACACTATCCTTATGCCCATTTGACAGATGAGGAAAAAGAAGCAAAAGGTTATACAACAACCAGTAATTGCCCAGCTAGGATCAAACTCTGATCTAGAATCTCTTAACTATTTGACAATACCAAGTGCCTCAAGCTACGTTGGTAAAGAATGTACTTAGTATCAAGCAAAGAGTTAGTAATGGAAGTCACCTATTCTCCCCAGAGTAGCATCAGATCCAAGTGGATCCTTTGGAAAAAGTTCAATTAGTGGGTTACCAGGTGGAGATAATTTTCCTGTAGCAATGACTGCTGAGCATTTTTCTCTATCCATGCCATCACTCCCAAGGGCAAGCTATTATCCTCTTCCACCTGGGCTACAGCTATTTCTATGCACAGCAGTCAAAGCTGTACTAAGAAACAAATGAACAAACACAAAACCATTCTGCCTGTGTCATTCCGCTACTGCAAAGACTTTATTATATATCCAAATAGGATAAAGTCAGGATCCTCCTCTGATTGTGGAAGGTCCTTTGTGAGTACTCCACTTGTCATTTCAGGCTCCTTGCAAGATCATTTCCCATTCAGCACACTCTGTCTACTTTTGTTTCCTGGAAGGAACCAGGCTGTTTCCTAGCTTAGGACATTTGCTCAGGCTGATTCTTCTGCCAGGCACATTACCAACCTCCCACCCTTCCACCCTCCCAACTGACATATTTCTACTCATCCTTCCTTTATGTCTTAGCTTGGCTAGGAAAGAGTTTCTTGATACCTCTCAATCTTAGACCACATTAGATTATTGTAATGTGCACAGTCATAGGTGTGTCTTGCTCTTCTAACAATTACCTTTTAAATATCTTCCTACCAGCCTTGCCATATTGCTATTATCTATCATAATGTCTGCCATGTTGCTGACATTCCAGTGGCCTACTAACCAGAATGCATTAATGAATGAGTGGACATATGTTAAAGAATTAAAGTTGGGTTAATTCTTAGAACCACTGCCTTAGAGATGATAAAGCATCTAGAACATATCTTGAAAGCATGATTAGCTGGTAGAGTACTGAAATAGTTTAGCCAAGGACATTGGCAATCAGAAAAAAGGTGGTATTATAATCATGTCTAATACATGCCAAACACTTACAATGTACAAGGCATCATTCTAAGCACTGTACCAAGTGGCCATTTTCTTTTTTCCACTGGGCTTTTTCATGAAGGCAGTTCAAAGGTCTCTCTCTCTCTACTAAAAGCTGACAAGAAGTAACAACAGCAGTAGCAGTAGCATTGATGGTAATAGTAATGATGATGATGATGGTGTTGTGGGGATAGAATCTTACTGTATGTTATATTATTTATATGCAGTATAATCATATGTTGTCCTAAGGACCACCCCATGATATAGGTAATGGTATCACCCCCACCATAGAGAAGAAAATGACACAGAAGGGTTAAGGAACTGTGTAAATTTACATGCATAATTACGGCAGAGCCAGGACTCACATCAACCCAGTCTTGACACTTGGGTCCCATATTCTTAACCACTGTGCTTGACAACATCTGTTCCAGTTATCTTTCACTCAAAATTAGGTGGCTCAAAACAACACAGTATCTTGATTTCATCTTTGGTCATCTAAAGGTTCAACTGGGCTGGATGGACACATCTAAGATGGCTTACTTGTAGGACTGGCAGTTGATGCTGCTGTTGCCTGAAAGCCCATTAAGTCTGTTAACTGGAGAACCTACACGTAACATCTCCAGGTGGCTTGGGCTTCTCAGAGCATTGAGACTAGCTTTTGACAAGAAACAGCCCATAGGGACCATTGCAAGATACTAAAGGAAGCTGCAAGATTTCATACGACCTAGTCTTGGAAGTTCAGACTTCTCTAACATTTTATTGGTCAAGGAAGCACTCAGGACAGCCCAGGTTGAAGGGGAGAGGAATTACAGTCAACTACTCAATATTAGAAACAGCATCTTCTGGAAGGCCATCTTGGCAACTATCTACCACAATATCCTGGCTGTTTTCCTAATTTATTCACATTTACAACTGATTCTCGTTAACGCTGATCTTTCTGCGTAAAAGGGTAGGCCTTGCTACCCTCCTTGCATGTCTCACTAGGGAACAACTTTTGGTATCCTTTAGCCAAACCACAGACACAGTGATATTTGATTTGAGAAGGTCTGTTGTTTGTCTTTTTTTTTTTTTTTTTTTTTTTTTTTTTGCTTCAGGGAAAGAAGGTTCACTATCGTTGTTATTTCAAGAGGCAAGTGAGAAAATCCTGCAGAATAAACAGAAGCACTTCAAAGGACGCTTCTGAAATCACTATCTGCACAGATCACTTTTCCTTTTAAGCCTGTGAAGGAAGTTTGGCATTGCCTAACTTGCTTTCATGTAAATTCCTTTCTTGGTTTCCTTTCTTTCTTGATCCACATGTGAGCCTGGAGAGCATGTGTCTTTCTCCACCCTCACAATCAAACCTGAGTTGTTTTAGATACCTGTCCTCGGGCCATGCCTGCAGCAGTGTGGACTGTAGATCATTCAAAATGATCAAGAAAGTTAGTTGGTAGGTTAGTTGGAAAACTCGGTGGAAGCAATAAATGACAACTTGATCCACGCATCTTGTATACATTTCAGTCTAACTAAAATCAATGAAACGTACACTTATTTGCCGACTTTTAAATGTAAGGCCAAGGACTTTCCTTGGATTAAGAATTCATATATTGAGGTCCCAAGCAGTCATTCTTGCATACACTAAATTTATTATGCATCATCTTTGATGCCTAGTTTTTAAGTAAAATGACAACTTAATGCAGAACATATAATACTTCCAATTGTTTTTAAATGATTTTGCCAACCTGCAAAACAGAGAAAAGAAGTTGCTCTTTTTACCTAACCTTCAGATTTAACTCTTTTTCTTGTCCAACTCGTATTCCATTCCTTTATATAATATTTAATTAAATTATGTATTTCAATAGTAAGTGCTACAGGCACAAATGGGTTTGGAAGCACCAAATGTTGCTAAGTATACAGCTCAACTGCTGAGAACAAAAGTGCTCAGATGAACTAGAAAGTGTCCTACAAGCCTGAAGCCTGTGTTGTGGGTGTCCACTGGGATTTTTATATACAGAATGGAGAACATCAGTTAACCTGTTGTATTGGTTAGAGGTCAGTTAATAGAGCTTCTGTTGTTTTCTTTTCTTTTCTTTTCTTTTGTTTTTACTCTAGTTGTCTCTTAATCTCATTGATAACCATGTTGTCCACAGTACAGAGAAGAATCTAGACTTTCAGCCTGATCTTTTTGTTAACGTCCTATGGAATCCAAGCCAAGTTTAAACAAAATTGATCATTTTTAAAGCACATTATTTGTGCCA